>NT_113891.3:4200000-4500000 GCF_000001405.40 Homo sapiens
GAAGTTTCAGGAACCAGAAGAAGAACACGATTCAGGATGTTTCTTCTTGTGACATTTATTTAAATTCTCTGGTTCTTATATTTGAGGTTTGACTGTAGCTGGGGGAGGGTAGGAGAGGGATGGGAAAAAGAAAATGGAAAGATATTCCCTGGAAAAGAAGATAATTGTCTAAGAATTGTTCATTTTTTCCTTGTCTTGGCACTATGAGACACTGGGATATAATATAAAAGGTAACAGATTTTGAGAAAAATGCATTTGTCCCGCAGTTGGAGAATTCGTTAAGTTTGTGACCCTCAACAAATCACATATTCTCTGTTAGCCTCAGTCATTTTAACTTTAAAGTTTAGATAGCTTCCATTTGGTGGGATTAATATTAAGATGAAATGAAATTTTATATATGAGACCTACTAATTGCATATTCTGACAGAGAGCTACAACACCAAAGCTAAGCCCTGTTATGTGCTTCCACAGGGGACAAAATAGAGGCTGTGAAAAGTAGATAGTTGAGTAAAGCTCATCGAATTATTTAATCAGCTACTTCCATTCTTAACCATAAATCTTGCATAACCATTTAGAGGATGCTATCCTGAAAAAGATAATCAGTTTTACAGAGAAGTCTTGGTAGCTCTGAGGCTATTAATAACCCCAGTTACTACAGTAACAACCGGGAGGTGAAACAGATTAATCAGAGGTAAATAGGTTAAAATAAAGGTTATCGGAGTTCTGGGAAATCTCTATCTATCCCAGAGAAGAATAATGCATAATGAGTGATAAAATATTTGATTCTAAAAATTTAAATTACCCACAAATGATCTCCCATTCACAATTGCCACAAATAGAATAAAATACCTAGGAATATAGCTAACAAGGTAAGTGAAGAACCTCTTCAAGGAAAACTGCAAATCACTCTTCAAAGAAATCAGAGATGACACAAACAAAGTGAAAAACATTCCATACTCATGGATAGGAAGAATCAATATCATGAAAATGGCCATACTACCCAAAGCAATTTATAGATTTAATGCTATTCTTATTAAACTACCATTGACATTCTTCAAAGAATTTTTTAAAAACTATTTTAAAATTCACATGGAACCAAAAAAAGAGCTCGAAGAGCCAAGGCAATCCTAAGCAAAAAGAACAAAGCTGAAGGCATCACATTACCCAACTTCAAACTATACTACAGGGCTACAGTAACTAAAACAGCATGGTACTGGTACAAGAACAGACATATAGACCAATGGAACAGAATACAGAACCCAGAAATAAGACCACACACCTACTAGCATCTGATATTCAACAAATCTGACAAAAACAAGCAATGGGGAAAGGATTCCCTCTTTAATAAATGGTGCTGGGAGAACTGGCTAGCCATATGCAGAAGATTGAAACTGGACCTCTTCCTTACACCATATACAAAAATCAACTCAAGATGGATTAAACACTTAAATGTAAAACCCAAAACTATAAAGACCCTAGAAGAAAACCTAGGCAATACCATTCAGGACATAGGCATGGGCAAAGACTTCATGATGAAGAAGCCAAAACAATTGCAACAAAAGCAAAAATTGACAAATGGGATCTAATTAAAGTAAAGAGCTTCTACACAGCAAAAGAAACTACCAACACAGTAAAAAGACAACCCACAGAATGGGAGAAAATTTTTCAATCTATGCGTCTGACAAAGATCTACAATTCAGCATCTATAAGGAACTTAAATTTACAAGAAAAAAACCATTAAAAAATGGGCAAAGGACATGAACACATACTTCTCAAAAGAAAACATACATGTGGCCATGAAACATATGAAAAAAAGCTCAATATCACTGATCATTAGAGAAATGCAAACCAAAACCGCAATGAGATACCATCTCACACCAATAAGAATGGTTATCATTAAAAAGTGAAAAAACAACAGATGCTGGAGAGGTTGTGTTGGTGGGAGTGTAAACTAGTTCAACCATTGTGGAAGACAGTGTGGCAATTCCTCAGAGACCTAGAGACAGAAATACTGTTTGACCCAGCAATCTCATTACTGGGTATATAACCAAAAGAATATAATTTACTCTATTATAAAAGACATATGCATGCATATGTTCATTGCAGCACTATTCACAATAGCAAAGACATGGAATCAACCCAAATGCTCATCAATGGTAGACTAAATAAAGAAAATGTGGTGCATTATGTAGCCATGAAAAGGAATAAGATCATGTTCTTTGCAGGCACATGGATGGAGCTGGAGGCCATTATCCTTAGCAAATTAACACAGGAACAGAAAACCAAATATCTTATGTTCTCATTTATAGGTGGGAGCTGAATGATGAGTTCATAGTTCTCATTATAGGTGGGAGATGAATGATGAGAACACATGGACACATGGAGGGGAACAACACACACTGGGGCCTGTCGGAAGTAGGGGATGGGAGGAGGGAGAGCATCAGGAAGAATAGCTAACGGATGCTGGGCTTAATAACTAGGTGATGGGATGATCTGTGTAGCAAACCACCATGGCACACATTTACCTATGTAACAAACCTGCACATCCTGCACATGTACCCCTGAACTTAAAATAAAAGTTGGAAAAAATATATTTAAACTACTATTATATTTATCAAAATTATTATACTTATTGGTATAACAGTAACAGTTATCTTTTTTAGACCTTAATATGTGCCAGACATATTGTACATTAAAATATATTATCACATGTGCTTTTCTTAACAGACTATGAGGTAATTATTATTATCTAAATTTTCAGATAAGGAAAACATCTTTCAGTTTGAGTACCTTGTCCAAGATCACAGCTCATAATTTGTTTTAATGATATACCTTAGATAATCAGTATTAAAATTTACATAATACTTCAGTCATTTACACTAATAAGAAAAGTGTTTGAGCAAAATATTAAAAAAACAAAATTACATAATTTCAAATAACACAGCTTTTATTAACCCATTAAATTCATTACAAGGAACCAGTCTAAGGACTGTTGATTGAATCAAAAGAGTGATGGTGACATTCTCTTTATAATTGTCTTGAAATTAATACAAAACACTAATTTATATCACATATTATTCATATGAATTTATTTAACAACATATATTAATTGATTATGTATAAGTGCTTTCAAAATACTTATGATGTTTGAAAATTAGACACACATTCGTATTTTAATGCCCCAGTTACACCTCTCCCAATGTATTACTGAGTAATCTTTTTAATTTTTATTGCACAAACAGAATCTCAGGTAAGTCTTTGAATTAATTAATGCTGGTGATTAGCAAATAAACACCCTTTATGTTTCATATGTCATGCACAATTAAGGACCTGAAATTAATTGAGGAGAATAGAGAACCTGCATTAACGAGACATTCCCTTGCTACCACTGTTGTAAGTATCCAGATAATTTGGGGGTTCATTATAGACATGGAAGAAGTATTTTGTATAAGGAGAATCTTCCCATGTATGCCTTTGGTTTTGCTCTCTCCCCATTACCCTTAGTTTTATGATTTTCTCCTTTTTCAAATCTAAAGTGTTCACAGATCAATCTGAAGAATTCCATATGGATTCAACAGAAATTTACTAAATGCCTAAAATGTGCTAAAGATATAGACAAAATAACTGCCTCTGTTGTGTATGTATATTTTGGGGGAGGAAATACACTAAAATATTTTTTAATCAAATATTTTACCAGCCATTATGCATCAGTCACTATCTAGGTGCCAGGAATGTTGCATGGAAGGAAAATGGGCATGGACTCTGACTCATGGGGCTGAGACTGTAGTAGACATGACAAACAGTTGTCTTTTGTTTTCCTATCATGTTAAGATCTGGGAGAGCATTCCAGGCAAAAGAGAGTGCAAGGCTCTGGAGGACAGTGTGAGCTTCATGAAAGAATAAGAAGGCCAGTGAGGCTGGAACAGAACGGGTTGGTTGGACAATTATAGGAGACAAGATTGGACAAGTACACATGTAAGACATGGTAAGGAGATTTGATTTTATCCTAATGGTAATCAGATCAAATATCTCTACCCTAACACTTCACTGTCACATTTCATAAAGATACATACAAATGTGAAATCTTCCAGTGAATTTTTTCTGCTTTTTTTTTTCTAAACAAACCTTCATATTCTCAAAACTAAGGAGATAGCACCCAAGAGCTGAACCTAAGGAGAAGCAAATAGAAAAAGAGAAATTAGGAAATAAGAAAGTTAGCAGTTTTCTTTGATAGCAAGTGGAGGAATTAAACATTCCTACACTGGGCTGGGTGTGGTGGCTCGCGCTTGTAATCCCAACACTCTGGGAGGCCAAGGTGAGAGAATCGCTTGAGCTCAGGAGTTCAAGACCAGTCTGGGCAACATAGTGAGAGCCCTATCTCTACAAAAACTTTAAAAAGAAATTAGCCGGGCCGGTGGAATGTGCCTGTCGTCCCAGCTACTAAGGAGGCTGAGGCGGGAGGATCATCTGAACCCAAGAGGTCAAGGATGTAGTGAGCTGTGTTTGTGTCACTGCACTCCAGCCTGGGTGACAGAGACCCTCTCAAAAAAAAAAAAATCCTACATTGGAAGAAAGGAGAAATAACTTCTATTTTTACATTACTAAAGGGGAAAACACGAAATACAAAGCTGTCACCTGGCTTCCGTCAACAGTGATCTGATGATGAACGGTGTCCCCTCAGAATATAAAGGTGTTCTTTGAACGTTCACAGGAGCGATACCTAACCCGGATCATAGAGGGTGTTTGTGTTCAGAGGACACTAAATTTGAGTCTCTGCATGCATCACACAAGTCTTCACCCAAACTACCATTTGCAGGCTCACTTCTTAGCCCCAACCCTACTGAGAACGCAGAGCCATTTGCACGCTTCCTGTCCTTGGAAACGGAAGAAACTTCAATTACATGATGGCTTTATGCTACCTAGACCTCTTTCTTCAGTCTTTGGCATATTCTAATCTCGGAGGCGACTTTACACAGATGGCAATAGCATTCGCAGCTTGGAGGTCTTTTACCAGTGGCTAAAACTTGATCCAACAGCCTCAGCCGGTTCCCCCTGACTCCAGCCCTCTAGATGCTTCTCAACATCACCTTCATCTCCTTTCCTTTATTCAGGACAGTCGTGCCAAGAAATGCCTAAGAGAAGGGTGACCCTGGAAATGTCTTGACTCTGGGAAGATCTTCTAACCACTCCACATGGTAATAAGCACAGTGTTGACAGGTGTGAGGACTGAAGTGGGAGATCAAAGAGGAAAAGCCACGAATGAGGGTGTGGGGGGCAGTCAAGAGAAGCTCCCAAGGGAGCATGATCTGTGTAAATGCAGATTCTCTGGGTATTGGAAGATCCTTGGGGACAAATGCCAAGAAGACACCAACTTCTTTTATCAGCATCTCTCAGAATCCATGCCCTGTGGGTAGTTATATGTGAATATCAGAATCGCCCTCCACTGCCAGGGAGACCCAAGGCTTAATCTTGTATCTAATTTGGAAACAAAAAAAAATGTATATGATGAAATTATTCTGTAGTTTTGCTTGTAGCAGCCTCAGTTATCTTAAATATTCCTCCAACACATTATTTTCTTTATTAACTGTTACTATGCCCATGGCATTCATCACTCTGACACTTTCATAATGGATTATGAGGCTTGTACTTGTACTGATTTATTTATGTATTTGTCTCTGTTTGTTTTTTAGAGATGCGGGGGGTCTCACTGTGTTGCCTAGGCTGGTCTTGAACTCCTGACCTCTAGTGATCCTCCCGCCTGGGCCTTCCAAAGTGCTCAGATCATGGGCATGCACCCAGCCACATTTTTAACCTATATAAATAGAGATGGGGGGAAAAAACAAAAAACTCCAAAGCATTTTTCCTTCTGTCTTACACAGTTACTTCTGACATCAGGTATGTGGAGATTTTTCCCCCACACCAAGCAATTCTCCAGCAGACACCTGGTTCCTCTAAATCAATTCAATTCTGATACTATTTACCTAAAAATAGCATCAGATCCCACAGATTGAGGGATCAGTCATGCAAAACTGCCCCCCTCCCACTTCAGATGCCAGTTGCTATCACCTGTACTTCTGACCATCCAATTATAGATTGGAGGTTCCCACAAACCTTTCCTCAGGTTCAATTAATTTGCTAGAGCAGCCCAAAGAATTCAGGGAAACACTTACTTACATACACTGGTTTATTACATAGGATAAGACAAAGGATACAGACTAACAGATTGATAAAGAAAAACAAAACACATAGGACAAAGTATGGGGGAAAGAGTGCGGAGCTTCCACACCTTCTTCAAGAGCCTATCCTCCAGGCATCTTTCCGTGTTCTGCTATCTGGAAACTCTCCAAACTCTGCCCTTTTGGGTTTTAATGGAGGCTTTGTTATGTCAGCATGGTGAGTTGATTAAACCATTGGCCATTGGCAGTCAACTCAACCTTCAGCCCCTCCCTTCTCCCCAGAGATTGTGAATGGGCTGAAAATCCCAACCCTCTAATCCTGCCTTGGTCTTTCTGGTGACCAGCCCCAGCCACCAGTCACCTCATTAGCATGCAAAAGACACTCTTATCACTCTGGAGATTCCAAGAGTTTTAGGAGCTGAAGGGCAGGAACCAGGGTCAGAAACCAAATATATACTTCCTATTATATCACAATATCACACACACTAGCTTGGGTCAATCAGTTGCATTAATTATTTGTGTATGATGTGAAGTACTCTTTTTAGTCACAAATTTATCTCTTTCAAATTACCAGGTAGGAAGTCAAAGGGAAAATTCTTTATTTCACTTTTGGAAAACTAATGAATAAACTAAATTAGTAATTGCATGCTATTTCCACTTCTGTAAAAATGATATAGACTCTATATGCCTGTTATGAATAATAGATGAGCTTTGCAATGAAGAGCTATGCATGTTACTTTTTATTAGAATGAGTATGGCTTCAATTTTTATGTGACTATCAAAAGAGAAATATGGTTCTTTTTTCTAATTTAGAGTTTATCTAATAATGGTCTGTGAGCTCTTGTGACCTCTCTTTAAACTAAGGTACATCTCACTGTTTCAACTCATGCCTCTGTGTCCTGCTCAGTGATTCACCATCTCCCTATACAAGAGATCCCCGACCTAGCAAGCTCATCTACAAACAAATATTCTTATTCTTGGAACAGAGTTGCCAAAAGCAGAGGCACACAGAAAAAAAAGTCTGTGTTTGAGAGCTCAGGAGAGAGAGGAGCCAAAAGAAACATCTACCAGCAGCTAAATGATTTGGTTCCTGAAGGGATTCACTTCCATGAATAAGAATACGAGTAGGTACTCTCATTGGTACTTCTTCCTCATCTGTAGGTACCTGAGATGACTGTGTCCTCTAAAGCTTCTGTGATGCTAGATGCACCCAACATCATTTTCTATAATTGAGGATCGTAGCTTTCCCCTGTGATCCTCTGGCTCTATTGTGGGAAGATAGTCAAAAAATCATCTTTTAAAGTAGGAAATAAACTTCTTTTTATAGAATCAGCTCCCCTTCCTCTGCGCTTGTGGTTTCCATTACTATAAAAGAGAGCACTGAAGTCCAAAGAAAGTACTGTGTATTTCCCTTTTGGGGCCCTGATGTCCTGCCCATGGCATTCATGCCCCCAAAATTGTTTCATGCCACCATGAAATTGCCTCCACGTGGTGCCCATCTTTTTCCCTTCACTCATATTCTCAACATTTCCAGAACCAGAGAGAGAGAGACGGAGAAACAGAGAAGTTCTGACCTCAACACCACCTTTTCCTACAGAATATGTGGCACCCGTATTTTGTCAGAGAAGACAAACGCGTTGTTCCTCAGATTGGTAGGATTCATGGGCATTTCATCCTCATAATATGAGGTTGTATGCAGACAGTGCCTCCTGGTATCAAGAAGCCATGTGAGTTACACCACAGAGGAGAGGAAGTTAGGGGTTTCAAATATTTCAAAGAATAAGGAAGCTAAGTCATACTCAGAAGTTAAGAAGAACTTTGGGGAGAGAGGAAGTCAAAATACAGAAATGCATTCAAAAAAAAGTTTAGGATGTAGAGGAGGATGGGATCACCATGAGACAGCCGTCCAATGCCCATGATAGTTCCTGTTACAGTAAGCCACGTCTTCAGATAGAGAGAGAAAAGGCTACATGTATACTTGCCTTGTATGAATGAGCACTGTTGTTTGATGAATTCCATCTCTTCCCCTCTTTTCAGTCCCTTCATCCTCATTGTAATAACAAGACTGCTGGTGATGTGGCCATGCAGAGCTCTTGTCCCTCATGTTCTTTCCACCTCAATCTTTCACTTTTCTCTATTTCTGCTTCTCCTGGTCCTACCTGGGCTCTCCCCAAGGGCTGCTCCTCACCGGGCAGCTAGTTACACGGCCACCACCACCCTGCCATCTACACAGAGGCCCTCCATCTCTCTGACCATTTTGATGAGATCTCTTTTTTTCATGGCATCCATCTTGGCAGTAGCAAGTTCATAGCCCAGAGTAAGAGGATTACCTGTTGGGATGCACAAAGGAATTTAAACCCCATTAAAATTTGTGACCCAAATCATTGTTTATGCTTAACAGAAATAGCAGCAATAAGATCGATTGAGGAATTATTTCACGTACTAAAACAGAAGACCTATCATTTTGTGGGAGGTAGTAGCCATGAATCCAAATCAAGCCTAGTAGTAGTACATTCCCCAGCGTGCTCAGAATATGCATAGAGAGTTTAAATCAAGGCGTAAGAGTTTCCAACCCTTCTATCTGTATGGCCAAGCCCCATTCATGTTAGTGCTGGAAGCATTCTTCCTGTATCTCATTGGTTTCTCGGGTACTTTTTCTCAATGTCTCCATTTAAAAACGTTTATATAGAGTTCTGGTTTCTGCTTGGGGATGCAGAGAACTGGAAACAATGATGCTTCCTTGCAACATGAAAGAAATCACACAAATTGCAAGGTCGCAATTTTTTTCAACCCATCACAGAGCTGGGATTGAGCTTCCAACTAGCTTGAAATCTAGGAGAGTTGTCGCCTGAGTGCTTGCTTACCTAAGGCAGGTACAGCTGGGCACTGGTAAGAAGAATTTAGCTGGAATCATTTAAAAATTGACTGAGGTCAAATGTGGGCTGGAAAGAGTACAGAGCCCCAGGGGCTCACGAGTATAGGGCGGTTCACACCTTCTTGCAAGCTTCGTATCCGGGAATGCCAGTGGGTGTTCACAAATAAAAAATGGGAGAGTCCTGAGAAGGCATTCCGCATGCTTTTCAAGGAAAAGAATAAATAGAAGTTAAAGGCTTTATACATCGATGTGCATCAAATGAGTTAATTAGCAGAATATAAGGGAAGCAAAGACTTTACTATCTCATGTTGAGAGCAGACTACATACTCAAACCCTACTTCGTCTGTTTTTTGTTTGTTTGTTTGTTTGTTTTGAGATGGAGTCTTGCTTTGTCGCCCAGGCTGCAGTGCAGTGGCGCGATCTCCTCTCACTGCAACCTCCGCCTCCCCATTAGCAGGGATTACAGTCGCACACCACCACACCCGGCTAATTTTTTTTTTGTATTTTTAGTAGAGAAGGAGTTTCACCATGTTGGCCAGGCTGGTCTCGAACTCCTGACCTCATGTGATCTGCCTGCCTCGGCTTCCCAAAGTGCTGGAATACACGTGTGGGCCACTGCGCCCAGCCTCCTCCGTTAATCTATTATCATTCTTCTCTAATATTCTCAAACTTACTTAATTCATTAACGTGATATATGTTGACATCTCATTAAATATGTCTCTATTTATGACATACTCAACAACATGTGTGTAGTGTCATAAAATTTTAATTTATTTTATAAATATTTAACACTAACTGAGTGCCAGGCATTCTTCTATGCACTTAAATAGCAGACAGGCATGGTGGCCGACACCTGTAACCCCAGCACTTTAGGAGGCCGAGGCAGGAAGATCACTTGAGCCCAGAAGTTCAAGACCCTGTGGTTTCAGAGGCTGAGGTGGGAAGACCACTGGAGCCCAGGAGGTCAAGACTGCAGCGAGCCATTATTGCACCACTGCACTCCAGCCTGTGGGACAGAGGGAGTGAGACCCTGTCTCAGATGAAAGAAAGACAGAGAGAGAGAGAGGCATAGAGATGCATATGCACACAACGATTACATCGTAGGGCTGTTTAAATTACTCATTCTGGCTGGGGGTCTGTGCTCTAAACCACTATTGGTATGCTATTTCTGTGTGGCTGGTCTGGAAAGCTTCACACCACCCCCCTCTCCCTTCCCTGAATTTCCATATTCCCCCCAACCCTCATTATCCCTTTCAGAGTCTCGCAGGTTGAGGTGATGTGAGAGAGGAAGCAGAAGCGAAGGTTACGCGAGGAAAGCCCCTCGTTAAACTTGGGATTTTCACGGGGACTCAGTCCAGAGGAAGTTGAGAAAACCAACTTAAATTACGGTCTCGATCGCCATCTGGCGGTGGAAGTCCACATTACATCCGCGGAGCAATGGCTGGGAACGTTGCATAATAGAGCGGGGCTCAAATTCCAAATTAAGTTTCTGAATTTTTTCCATCTGGAATTTTATTTGATGATTAGTCTAGCATCGTAATGGTGTCCTTCGTGTTGACGTGAAAACCCAGTCTTCCTTCAGTTCATTTCCCGTTTATTAGGGATGCAAAACTCCAGCCACAGATGACCTACGACTCTGACTCCTTCCCCACCTACTTTACCCTCCCCTCCCCCAGTACATTCTGGGGCTAAACCCTAAGAGGTACCCACGCATCGCTGGGCCGATGATGAAAATGAAGAAGTCTTCTGATGAAGCGAGACCCCGGAAGTGCAGCTTCAGGCAAAATCCTGAGCGAATTCTTTGCTGCCAGGACAGTCCATAGGATCTTACTCTTAGAAATTACGTAAGCATGAGCAGTCAACGCTGAAAAGCAGAGAATGTGGTTTTCTGGTGGACTCCAGAGGGAGACCAGGAAATCCTCTCACTTACAATCCATCAAGAGTAGTTCCTCCAAATTGAGTACAAAGTCTCTAAAGGCCAGCAGAGACAAGTAAGGACTACAGCTGCAGCTCACCACCCGTATCAGAACATAAAAGACAGGAGACCTCACGGCCTGGAGACCCACTAGAGCAAAATCTGCCATCCCAGGCAGGGAGGAGAATCAGGGGGAGGCCTGACATGGTGAGGCCTTGCTCCAAGTGGAGAAGGTGCATAAACTTAACAAGCTTGTTATTGCCCTGAGGATGTGATGTGGCAAAGGGGACAAGGATTGGATAGATTGTCTTACTGATGGAAGTTGGTAACAAACAAGGCAAATCAAAAAAGAAGCCATGAGATCCAGGGAACTGCTGTACAGGGGACATGGCTGCATAATATTAGTATAGTAACTCATTATGCACTAGTGTGGCAGACAGTGGCTGAATTCTGGAGACGGAAAATATTAATAAGACACGGAGTCCTGCTTACCACCCAGGAGACATATTAGCAAACAAAGGGGCTCAGCAGAAATATGTGTGAAATTGGGACATTGAAGTCATAAACAATTAGGAAAATTTTCTAGTGGAAATGACATTCAAGCTGATCGAGGGTATATGGAGAATGGCTTCCAAGTCTAACAAAGCATGAGCGGCTTGGACACTTGGACAGGCTTCGAGGGAAGTGAAAGTCATTCGGAATTGGTAAAATGGGTGGGTGACAGATGAAGCAGAGGGCTAGGGATGGATGCCTCACACACCAGGCTAAGGACTTGGGTCTTTGATCTGCAGTCAGTAGGACCAGTATGCAGACTGATAGTAAGGGAAGGGTCATGGGCAGCTTCACGTTTTAGAAAGACTACTCTGGTGGGAAGAGTGGGTTAGAGGAGCATAAAATTGAAAGCAGAGAAAGCAGCGTGGGTAACTGTTAGAGTAACACAGACCAGACATGATGCGGCTCGAATTAAAGTAGGATCAGGGATCTAGAGAGAGGGTCAGAGACATGTGAGGGAGCAGATGCAACATGATGTGTCGTCATCCATTGTATATGGGAGAGAGGAGAAGGCGAGAGCAGAAGATGCTTGGGAGACCAAGTGGTTAGTAATTCCAGTCATTAAGAAAGGACAGTTTAAGAGAACATTCCATATTAGACATTTTGTATTTGTAGGGCCTGTGGGTCATCCAGATGAAACTTTACTCTGTGTGGTAGATGGAATAATGCCCCCAACTGCCACCCCTGAAAGATCTGAATCTATGAAACCTGTGAATCTGTTACCTTACATGGCAAAAGGGACTTTGCATTAGTGATTAGATTAAGGATCTTGAGATGGGGAGATTATTCTGGATTAGCCAAGTGGTCCTGATATAATTACATGAGTCCTTCTAAGTGAAAGAAAGAGGCAAGAGAATAGAAGAAGGAGATGTGATATTAGAAGCAAAAATCAGAGGAAAGTGATTGCTGGAAGGGGGCTACAAGCCGAGGAATGCAGCTGGTCGCTGCAAGCTGGAAGAGGCAAAAAACAGATTATCCGCTAAAGCCTTCAGAAGGGGAACACAGACAAGCTAACACCTTGATTAGCCCTGTACAAGTGTTAAAAGAAAAACTTTGAACAAATTAAATTTATTTTGATTTATTTGAGCAAAGCACAATTCATGAATTGGGCAGCATCCAGGACCAGAAGAGGTACAGAGAGCGCCACTGAGCAATAGGGGCAGGCAATATTTATAGAGAGAAAAAGGAAGTGGTATACAGAAGCAGCTTGTTTACAGCTCAGTGTTTGCCTTATTTGATCATGGTCTGATCAGTTGGCAACCTGTGATTGCCTGAAGCTTGGCTGCTGTGTTTGCCTGAGACTCAGCTATTTATTACAAGAATATGCTCTTAAGTTAGGGTACAATTTTCTTACACATTAAGTTAGATTTCAGTATACTACGTAGGAATTCAAAGTACAGAGGCTGCTTTAAGCCAAATTTAATTTAATTTAACAGGACCCATTTTAGGCTTATAATTTCCAGAACTGCCCAACAATAAATTTTTGTTGTTTTAAAACACTAAATTGTGGTAATTTGTTACAGCACCAATAGGAAACTAATATATCCTGTAATCACGAAGCAATATAGCTCAAACCTCAGGCTTGGGGACCACATGGATTTGAGTTCTTATCATAGCTCCATCGCTTCCTACCCATATGAACTTGGGTGTCTTAATTAACCTCCCTAAGCCTCCACTTTCTCATTTGTAAAATGGGACTATCTACTAGAATTTCTGTCTGGAAAGAGGAATGGGGAGGCAGTGTGGTCAGCTGTTTTGCATAACAAGCCCTGTAGAAATACAGATGCTCCTTGACTTCAGGTGGGTTTGTGTCCTGATAAACTGCAAGTTGAAAATGCATTCAATACCCCTAACCTATCAAACATCATAGTTTAGCCCAGCCTACCCTCAACATGCTCAGAACACTTACATTAGCGTGGCTGACTGGGAGCTGTGGCTCACTACTGCTGCTCAGCGTCAGGTGAGAGTGTTATACCACATATCACTAGCCCAGAGAAAGACTGACATTTCAAATTTGAAGTACATTTCTTCCAGAATGTGTACTGCTTTCACGCCATCACAGCTGAACAATCTTAAGTGGAACCATCATAAGTCAGGAACCATCTGTATTTGATGTTTTAAACCATGTCATGTATAACTTTTTTAAAAAAAAGATAAAATAATTTTAAATATTAAAATAGGAAAATTTTAAAAAGAAAAAAGACATTTTTTCTTTTCTTTTTCTTTTCTTTTTTTTTTTTTTTTAGGCAGAGTCTTGCTCTGTCACCCAGGCTGGAGTGCAGTGACATGATCTTGGCTCACTGCAGGCTCCACCTCCTGGGTTCACACCATTCTCCTGCCTCAGCCTCCCATGTAGCTGGGACTACAGGCACCTACCACCATGCCCAGCTAATTTTTCATATTTTTTAGTAGAGACAGGGTTTCACTGTGTTAGCCAGGATGGTCTCGATCTCCTGACCTCGTGATCTGCTCACCTCAGCCTCCCAAAGTGCTGGGATTATAGGCGTGAGCCACATTTTTTATTTTCTAAAATGAAAATGTTGATATTTAATTTTTAATCCCCTTCAAAAAAGCAACTACTCTGTTTATGAGATTTATAGAGAATTCCATATAGTTAATACTAAATACATTCCTACATCAGAATTTGTTTAATACAAAATCAATTATTTAGGTTAAAATGTTAACACTCTTCCGCTAAATTACCACTGCAATTGTGTAACTTCAAAATGCTCAGGATATTGTCAACAGAGGAAATAGAAATTGATCTTCTAGCACAATAGTCAAACAAAATTGACTATACAAGATTTTGGATGCTTGTTACACTGTTGACTCAAAACAATTCTAAACAACTCAATGTACTTGATGGACAGAATGTACTAAGAAACCAACAAAAGCAATTCATTTCTTACTTAGCTACATAAGCTAAGTAAGAAAATCGCAAATGCTGACATCCAAGGAAGCTTTCCAAGCATAGAAATAAACTCTGATAGATTATTTCAGATCCAGGATATTTGGAAAATAAATCAGATTGCCTTTTTGGATAATTCCTAAAGAATCACACAATTATGACTTTTGAATCCTTTATTAATGGAGGTTACAGCAGCCTAAATAACTTGAAAAGTGGGGTTGGCTCTCAAATAACATGGAGGGTTTGTTTTAGAGGAAACATGTAACACGACAGGACTCCAGAAGCACGTGCTTTAAGGTATAAGGACATGTACCCCTGGTGACAGAGGATGTATAAATATTGTGAGTCCAAATATATAGGCCACTTGTTTAAGAAAAAAAGACATTAGGAGTATAAAAAGGAATCAAATGTAAGTGCAAACTCATAATAAATCTAAACTACATGAGGCATAAATCCTAAATAAGTGCTTAAGTAGCTGAAATAGTATCACTTTATGTTGGAAACCTGAAAGGGACTAAATATATGACATAGAGTCCATATTTAAAAACTTCATGTAGGCATTAAATAGAAAGGATACAGCTCATTTGACAACCAGTAGAACAGGCAGCTATTTAAAGAAGCGTAATCCAAGTTAATGATGTACATATATGAGGTATTAGAATACGTAATTCAATGGCCATTCATGATAAAATGCTCAGAAAATGCAAATAGAGAGGAACTGCCTCAATTTGATAAAGAGCATCTGCAAAAAATCTTACAGCTAACACAGCGGTGAAAGACTGAAATTTTTCCCCCAAAGATCGGGAACAAAGCAATGATGTCCACTCTCGCCATGCTTATTCAACATGGCGTTGGAAGTTCTAGATAATGTAATGGGCGAGAAAAAAAAAAGGCGTGCAGATTTCAAAGGAAGAAATAAAAATGGATCAAAGTCTAATATGTAAAACATAAAGTCACAAAACTCTCAGGAGAAAATCTTCAGGATCTAGGATTAAGCAAAAAGCTTTTAGACTTGACACCAAAGGCATAATCCATAACAGGAAAAATTAATAACGTGCAACTACTAGTGGTTTGTCCTCACCAATTTGTATTTGAGGTTTATGGGGATACTTTGACACTTAGTTTTGTTGAAAATGTTAAGATGCTGTATTAAATTATACTTTTTATTTTGATATCATTGTTGATTCACAGACACTTTTAAGAAATGTTACAGAGATATCTCATGTACATTTTACCCAGTTTCCCCCAAGGATAACATCTTGTAAACTACAGTAAATTATCACAGTCTGGATATTGACATTGATATAATTAAAATAAAGAACACTTTCATCACTATAATATCCCTCATTTTGCCCTTTTGTAGCCACAGCCACTTCCCTCCCATTTCCACTTCTTCATTAACACAGCAATTATTAATTTCCATCTCTATAGTTTTGGCATTCCAGGAGTGTTATATAAGTGGAATCATTTAGTAGACAACATTTTGCAATTTTTTTTTTCACTCAGCCTAATTCCCTGGTGATTCATCCAGGTCGTGGTGCCTGTACCCAGTTTGTTCGTTTTTATTGCTAAGTAGTATTTCCTAGTATGGATAAACCACAGTTTGTTTCCAGTTTTTGTCTGAATAAAGCTGCTATGAGCATACATGTGCAGATTTTTCTCTGAACATAAGTCTTCATTTCTCTGGGATAAATGCTCAGGAGTGCAATTGCTGGGTTGTATGGTGGTTGCATGTTTTGCTTTTAAAGAAAAAGCCAAACTATTTTCCAGTGTGGCTGTACTATATTACATTCCCAGCAGCCAAATGTGAGTGATCTATTTTCTCTGCATCCTCACCAGGATTTGGTATTGTGCCTACTTTTTATTTTTAGCCATCATGATAGGTATATAGTAATATCTTATTGTGGTTTTAATTTGTAATTCTCTAATGGCTAATGACATTGCACATGTTTTCATGTCCTTATTTTGTATCTATGTATCCTTTTTGGTTCCATATGCATTTTAAAATAGTTTTTACTAGTTCTGTGAAGCATCTCAATTGTAGTTTAATAGGAATAACATTGAATTATAAATTGCTTTGGGCAG
Source organism: Homo sapiens (assembly GCF_000001405.40). Lineage (NCBI taxonomy): Eukaryota > Metazoa > Chordata > Mammalia > Primates > Hominidae > Homo > Homo sapiens. Next base: position 4,216,512 of record NT_113891.3, read on the forward strand.
TATGGCCATTTTGATGATATTGTTTCTTCCTATCCATGAGCATGCAATGTTTTTCCATTTGTTTGTGTCATTTCTGATTTCATTGAGCAGTGCTTTTTAGTTCTTCTTGTGGAGATCTTTCACCTCCCTGGTTAGCTGTATTCCTAGGTATTTTATTCTGTTTGTGGCAATTGTGAATAGGACTGCATTCCTGATTTTGCTCTAGGCTTGACTGTTGTTGGTGTATAGAAATATTAGTAATTTTTGCACATTGATTTTGTATCCTGAGACCTTGCTGAAGTTGTTTATCAACTTAAGAAGTTTTTGGGCTGAGACGATAGGGTTTTCTAGATAGATGATCATGTCATCTGCAAACAGGAATACTTTGACTTCCTCTTTTCCTATTTGGCTTCTCTTTATTCTTTTCTCTTGCCTGATTGCCCTGGCAAGGACTTCCAGTACTATGTTGAATAGGAGTAATGAGAGGGGGCATTCTTGTCTTCTGCCAGTTTTCAAGGGGAATGCTTCCAGCTTTTGCCCATTCAGTATGATGTTGGCTGCGGGTTTGTCATAGATGGCTCTTACTATTTTGACGTATGTTCCTTCAATAGCTAGTTTATCAAGAGTTTTTAACATGAAGGAGTGTTGAATTTTATCAGAAGACTTTTCTGCATCTATTGAGATAATCATGTGGGTTTTGTCTTTAGTTCTGTTTATGTGATGAATCACATTTACTGATTTTTATATGTTGAACAAACCTCATATCCCAGGGATAAAGCCTACTTGATCATGGTAGATTGGCTTTTGGATGTGCTGCTGGATTCGGTTTGCTGGTATTTTGTTGAGGATTTTTTGCATCAATGTTTATCAAGGATATTGGCCTGAAGTTTTCTTCTTTTGTTGTGTCTCTGCCAGGTTTTGGTATTTAGATGATGCTAGCTTCATAGAATGAGTTAGGTAGGAGGCTCTTCTCCTCAATTTTTTGAAATAGTTTCAGCAGGAATTGTACCATTTCTTCTTTGTACACCTGATAGAATTCAGCTGTGAATCCATTTGGTCCTGGGTTTTGTTTTGTTTTGTTTTGTTTTTTTTGGTAGGCTATTTACTACTGACTCAATTTCAGAGCTCATTATTAGTCTGTTCATAGATTCAATTTCTTCCTAGTTCAGTCTTAGGGGGTGTATGTGCCCAGGAATTTATCCATTTCTTCTAGATTTTCTACTTTATGTCATAGAAGTATTCATAATATTCTCTGATGGTTGTCTGTATTTCTGTGGGGTCAGTGGTAATACCTCCTTTGTCATTCCTAATTGTGTTTATTTGAATCTTCTCTCTTTTCTTCTTTATTAGTCTAGCTAGAAGTCCATCTATTTTATTAATTATTTCATAAAACCAGCTCCTGGATTCATTGATCTTTTGAATCATTTTTGTGTCTCAATCTCCTTCCATTCAGTTCTGGATTTTGGTTATTTCTTGTCTTCTGCTAGCCTTGAGATTCGTTGGCTCTTGATACTCTAGTTCTTTTAGTTATTATGTTAGGTTGTTAAATTGAGATATTTCTAACTTTTTGATGTGGGCATTTAGTGCTATAAATTTCCTTCTTAACACTGCTTTAGTTGTGTCCCAGAGCTTCTAGTGTGTTGTATCTTTGTTCTCACTCATGTCAAAGAGTTTCTTGATTTCTGCCTGAATTTCATTATTTTCCCAAAAGTCATTCAGGAGCAGGTTATTTAATTTCCATGTAATTGTACGGTTTTGAGTGAACTTTTTTGTCTTGGTTTCTAATTTGATTGTGCTGTGGTCCAAGAGATTTTTTCTTATGATCAGTTCTTTTGCATTTGCTGAGGAGTGTTTTCCTTCTAATTATGTGATCGATTTTAGAGTATGTGCCATGTGACAATGAGAAAAATGTATATTCTGTCTTTTTGGGGTGGAAAGTTCTATAAGATGTCTATCAGGTTCATTTGATCCAGAACTGAGTTCAGGTCCTGGGTATCTTTGTTAATTTTCTGTCTTGATGATCTGTCTAACATTGTCAATGGGGTGTCAAAGTCTCCCACTATCATTGTGTGGGAGTCTAAGTCTCTTTGAAGGTCGTTAATAACTTGCTTTATGAATCTGGGTGCTCCTCTTTTGGAGGTATATATTTTTAGAATACTTAGATCTTTTGTTGAATTGAACCATTTACCATTATGTAATGCTCTTCTTCATCTTTTTTGATCTTTGTTGGTTTAAAGTCTGTTTTGTCTGAAACTAGTATTACAACCCCTGCTTTTTTCTGTTTTCCATTTGCTTGGTAGATTTTTCTCCATCTGTTTATTTTGATCCTATGTGTGTCACTGCATGTGAGATGAGTCTTTTGAAGACAGCATACTAATAGGCCTTGGTTCTTTATCCAGATTACCACTCTGTGCCTTTTAATTGGGGCACTAGCCCATTTACATTTAAGATTAGTATTGATATGTGTGGATTTCATCCTGTCATCATGATGTTAGCTGGTTATTTTGCAGACTTGTTTATGTGGTTGCTTTATAGTGTCACTGGTCTGTGTACTTCAGTGTGTTTTTGTAGTGGCTAGTAAGTCTTTCCTTTCCATATTTAGTGCTTCCTTCAGGAGCTCTTGTAAGACAAGTCTAGTGGTAATGAAATTCCCTCAGCATTTCCTTCTCTGAAAAGGTTCTTATTTCTCCTTCACTTTTGAAGATTAGTTTGGCCAGATATGAAATTCTGGGTTGAAATTATTTTCTTTAAGAATAATAAATGTTGGCCCCCAGTCTCTTCTGGCTTGTAGAGATTCTTCTGACAGGTCCACTGTTAGTCTGATGGACTTTTCATTGTAGGTGACCTGGCCTTTCTATCTAGCTGCCAACTGTTTTTCTTTGATTTCAACCTTGGAGAATCTGATAATTATGTGCCTTTGGAATGATCTTCTTGTGAAGTATCTTACTGGGGTTCTCTGCATTTCCTGTATTTTAATGTTGGCCTCTCCAGCTAGGTTGGGGAGATTCTCATGGATGATACCCTGAAATATGTTTTCCAAGTTGGTTTCATTCTCCCCATCTCTCTCAGGAACACCAATGAGTCATAGATTTGGTCTGTTTACATAATCTCATATTTTTCAGAAGTTTTGTTCCTCTCTTTTCATTCTTTTTTCTCTATTCTTGTCTGACTATCTTATTTCAGAAAGCCAGTCTTGAAGTGTGGAGATTCTTTTTTCCACTGGGTCAGTTCTGCTATTAATAGTTGTGATTGCATTATGAAATTCTTATAGTATGTTTTTCAGCTCTATGAAATTGGTTATGTCCTTATCTATACTGGCTATTTTATCTATCAGCTCCTGCATTGTTTTATCATAATTTTTAGCTACCTTGGATTGGGTTTCAGTGTACTTCTGTAGCTCAATGATCTTCATTTCTATCCTTATTCTGAATTACATATCTGTCATTTCAGCCATCTCAGCCCAATTCAGAATCCTTGCTCGAGAGGTGATGTGGTCGTTTGGAGAACAGAAGACACTCTGGCTTTTTGAGTTGTCAAGGTTCTTGCCTGATTCTTTCTCATCTTTGTGGGCTTATTTTCCTTTAATCTTTGAGACTGCTGACCTTTGGACAGCAAAGATCATCCAACCTTTTTTATTTATCCTATTTATCCTATTTGATGACTTTGAGGGTTTGATTGTGGTATAAGGTGGATTCAGCCAACTGACTTCATTTCTGGACAATTTTATTTGGCCAGTATTCCACTCCCAACTCCTGGACTGCATGCTGTAATTCTTTGGGACTTGTATGGGGCCCTGACTTTGTTTCCTCAGAATTAGGAATCCGCTGTGATGGGCGGGGGGTGGGGGAGGTGGCAGGAGTGGTGCAGTCCGAAGTGCTCCCAGACCACTGGTCACTACACTCCAATGAGTGGTGTCAGCCAAAGTGTTTCATAGTACAGTGACAGCAGGATCTGTCCTTGTTTGAGTGTACCAGCAGCAGTGGTAGTTGAAGTTGCAGCAGAGTACTAGCAGGTGCCGGGGTGCCCACCTCCCTGCAGGCATCCACCACAGTGGCAGAGGCAATGCAACTGCAGGAAAGGAAGGGGGTCCCCTGCTGGCAACTGTGTGTGTGGTCACACAGGAAGTGGTGTTGGCTTAGGGGCAAGGCATTGGCAGGTGCAGGTCTGCGTGCCTTTTCTGTGCAGGAGTGGTCACTCAGGGTGGGGGAGGATCAGCTGTTCTCTGCACAGTGTTAGCACAGGGTGGGATGATGGAGGGAGTGGGGCTGGCTGGCTCTGTGCCCACCAAGGCTCTGTCTGCAATAGCTGTCAGGAGGGAATTGGTGGGGGGTGAATTACATTCCTATATGCTGGTGAGGCAAGGAAAACAAAACCCACCCAGCAGACATGTACCAGCAAAATGATGTGGGGAGTTGCTGTGGGCCCAGAGGAAGCTGCAGTGTGGGGAGGGAGCATGGAGGCTGGTGCCTGGTCATAGGGGCCTCCTCGTTGGAGCTCTCCACTTACTGGTCAGTCATGGTCTGCCAGTGTAGAAGCTATGGTGCAGGCCCACAGGGCACCTGAGGCTGCTTTGCAAGCAGATGTGGCCAGGCCGGGGCCCCAGGAGAGGCCAGAAGACCAACGGTTGCTCAGGTAGAACCAGACTCATCTGATGGGCAAGACCACCCTACAGATTTCGGGACCAACAGTTTCCCTAGGGCTAATGTCTCCTATGGGAGTAAGTTGAGCCTAGGGAAATGGCCATCCCTGGCCATGCTCCACTGCAGATGCTCCTGCACTGAATCCTCTAGGCTCCACACCTGCTGGCTTGCCGCCCCTACGGCTTCTCTAAGCAGCTCTTTCCTGCCAACTCAAGTGTCCATGGTGGTCAATGGGTCTCCTCCTGCCATGGTTGCAGAGGTCATAGTGACAGTGGGTTGTTCCTTGCCAGTTCAACTCACCCATTTTCCTGGAGCCATTGGAGGACAGGAATGAGTCTGGATGTGCTGTAGCCCCATGTAGGGCTCCCAGCTTTCTCCCACTTCAGTCCAGCTTCTGTGTCTTCCCTCTGTCCACTCTAGGTGCCTTCTGTCTGAACATTTGTTAGGAGCACGCCAGTCATCTGGGTTCCTCGTTGAGAACTGTTTCACCTGGCTGCATCTAGTCAGCGATCTTGCCCTCCCCCCAACCAAGATACATTCCAATAAAACTTGTGGATACTAAAGAAAAAGAAAATACCATCTGGATACTCAGCAAAAGTAGCAATGACTTATTAATAATTAGATTATCATCAGACTTTTTGATAACAGTTATGTGAAAATGTAGTAACTTTTTAAGATACTCAAGAGCGGAAAATGGAACCAAGATTTTTATAGCCACAAAACTGACTTTCGACTATGAAGTGCAAGAACTTCCTGGTGTGGACTGAATATGCCGTCCCAAAATTCATATGATGAAATCGTAACGCCCAAGGTGACAGTACCAGGAGGTGACGCCTTTGGAAGGTGATTAGGTCATGAGGGTGCAGCCCTTATGAATGGCATTAGGGCCCTTATAAGGGAGATTCCAGATAGCTCCCTTTCCTTCTGCCACATGAGGTCTTACTGAGAAGATGCTGCCAGCAGGCCTTCACCAGATCCCTACCAGGCTGACACACTGATCTCAGACCTCCAGCCTCCAGAACTGTGAAAAATACATTTCTGCTGTTTTTAAGCCATCCAGTCTCTGGTAGTTGGTTATAGCAGCTCATACAAACTAAGACACTTTCCTAAGTCTTCCTGAGGCACCTAGGAGAAATAGTTTCAAACAATCATGATGACTACATCAGTAGCTTATAATTCTTTTGGTATCAGGATCCCTTTTTATTCGTAAAATTGTTGAGAACACCAAGAAGCTTTAGTTTACATGGGTTATGTAAAGTGACATTTATATTAACTTATTTGTTATTAAATAACAATAACAAACCCATTACATGTTAACATAAACAACATACTTTTATGGAAAATAGCTGTCTTCTCCAGCACAAAAAAATAGTGAAAAAAAAGGAATTATTTTACATTTGTAAAAATCTCTTTAATGTCTGGCTTAATAAAGCTAGCTTGGTTATATATTCTTCTACATTCAAGCTGTAACAATATGTTGTTTTGGCTAAAGTACAAGAGGAAAATCTGGCCTCACTCTTATACACAGTTGGGAAAAGAAGGAAAGTTTCAATAACCATTTCAGCTATTGTAACTGTTCTTCCTTGATAAGACACCAAAACTCAAGAAATGGCAGATTCTTAAAGGTTAGTTGCAGTGTGGAATCTGAAACCTTATAAATTAACTTTTCATCTTCTGTTGTGTTAAAATTCACTAGTCTATCTTTAAATGGATCTTTTCCTCTATGCATGACTTTGCAATATCATGCATTGATTATTTGTAAATTATTGATTCATGGGTTTACGCAGATTTTTAAAATGTTGACATATTTTATTAAACAATATTTTTTAAACCATATTTGTTAATATCACCACCAATCTCATCAGAAACATCTTTAAGTAGTGAGAAGCTGCGGCACATGTAAGTTTTCCAAAAGTTTAATTTTCTCTTGAAATTCCAATTTCCACTGTCAATATTATTTTCTTTGATGGGATAGGCTCATTTTGTTTATTTTTGAGAAAATTTCTACCAAATACCCAAGTCTGAATAATCACAGTGTGCCTTTCAGTCATTCTTTCAAGGAAAATGATGACCCACTAAAAAAAAATGTTTAACTTCACTCACAACTCATGCAATTACATAATGGCTTTTCCACAGGACAACTGCCTTTCCATCAGTATGCACCAGAAATGCTGCCTATGTTCTTACACTGACTATTAAACAGATGTGTGCTTGAGGTTTAAAATTTAGTAAACTAATGATTTTATTGCTTCATCAAGGTCACTGGCTTTTGCTTTTTTTTTTTTTTTTTTTTACTGTAAGCTTATGGCAGTGAAGAACATGACCTACCTGTACAGCTTGGTGTCACCACCTTGATTTGTGCTCAGGCACTAACAGTTTCACGTGACCACCATAGATTTCTGTACCACTATGTAAATAATACAGTGAAAAAGGCAAATAACATCTTAGTATTAGTACAAAAATAGCTTGACTTCATAGGCCCCTTGAAGGGTCCCAGGGACCCCCAGGGATCCATGGACCACACCTTGAAAACCACCACATGACAGGGATATCAACATAAGGAATGATGGTGAGCATTAAACATATCTCTACTCACAGAACTAAGACTAACAAGGGAGCAAGTAGTCTATGCAATGGTACAGGATCAACTAATATAGACATAGTTCAACTAGAAAGCGGGGGAGAACATAGGTAAAAAGGGAGAACACAGGTAATAGGGAGAATGTAGGTAAAAAGAATTTCAACCGTTTTCAGTAGCCATTTTGGTGGTTGTAGTATTAGTGTTATTATCCTTAGACTGCTGTCTATGTTAACTCAGGAAAAGCAAATAAGTATGGACATTCTAATTGTGTCTGTCCCTGTGTCCTTGAAAACCAGAGTTCTTGGTGTAAAAGAAAGGAGATGCAGAAGTAATATAGAGAAGACTGATTTTTTTTTTTAAGATGGAGTATTGCTCTGTCACCAGGCCGCAGTGCAGTGGCACAATCTTGGCTCACTGTAACCTCCGCCTCCCAGGTTCAAGCGCTTCTCCTGCCTCAGCCTCCGGAGTAGCTGGGACTACAGGCGCACGCCACCACGCAAGGCTAATTTTTTGTGTTTTTAGTAGAGACGGGGGTCAAACACTGATCCTGCCTTTCCACTGTACCACTAAGTAGCCCACTAGTAAGTGGAGGGAAGTGTCTCTTCACTAGTAAATGAAGGGAACTGTCTCTTTGTAGCATTAATAAAGCATATAAATGAAGAAAAAATGACAGAATACCACCATTTAGCAATCCCCAATAAATTAACAAACCTAAGCAATTAGTATCAATGGTTGCTAACATCACAAAAAGAAACAGCTGGAAATTATGTCTCTCATGGTGAAAGGCCACAACACCACGTATAGATTTTCCAAAGGAAAAGATTGAACCAGAGTCTGATCCAGCCTCTGCATCCAGATGCCAATTTGCAGGAGGCACAGAAGGCAGAGGATGTGTTACACTGCACCATGTGTATGCAGCCAGCAAAATCCAGAGTGTGGGAAACTCTACAGGTCAAATGGATTGAGCTTTTCAACAGATTAATCATAAGGGGGAAAAAAAGGCTGATGGGGGAGAAACCAGTGAAGTATAAGAGACGTAAAAGACAACTAAGCTGTGGCGTCCAGGAACACATACCTGGGGGACTAGACTACAAAGACATGAAAGAGGTTACAATAAAATCAGGATATGGTCACTTTCGAGGGGAAGGAGAGGCTTTGATTGGCCTGACGTACAGAGACTTCTGCTGGAGCTGGCAAAGTCCTGTTCCTTGACTTGATTACAGGGGTTTTTCTTAAATAATTCACTAAAATGTACATTTTTTGTATCTCCATTTTATTTGACAATAAAAGGTTTTTAAAAACAGTGAAAAGGAAACAGTGACTACCTGAGCATTTGTCTTCTGAAGACTGTGGAGACTGCAGTTGGAAGACAGAAAGCTTTGGAGATCATGACTTATAGGAGTAGGGCTGGACCACAGAAAAGTAAATGATTTGGGACTGGAAGGAGTAAGGTCTCAGGGGAGTTTCTGGACAATGCCCTTGGCAATGGGGATTAATGATGTACACGTAGAAGGGAGAAGGGCAGATGGGTGGGAGATGCATGATCTCAGAACACAGAGCTCCAGAATCAGTTCGGGCTCCTCCAAGGATCAGGGAAGAGAGTTATTCCCAGAACATTGACCTCATGAATGTCCTTTACCTCACCCAGGGCCCAGACTACTCATCACTACTTCAGGCTCCAGAGAGAGAAGCTTCAGTGAGGACCTTAGCATGACTGAGGGAGCAGAACAGCTCTTGAGACCTGGAGGCACAGTGATGAAGGTCTCAGGAGGCAGCCTCACCACCCCCCACAGCCGTTCCAGAGACTCAGGGGACAGTCCCATCCAGACAGCAGCAACCTTACTCCTCCCTACCCCCATGTCATCTCCCTCTGGCCAAAGAACCGGGAGAATGATCTGCCACTCAAAGACAAGGAAAAAGAGACATTACCTCATTACCAGACATCTGCGTCCTCACATATCCTGGAAAGAAATCGAGAAAAGAATGGATTGCCCCAATTAGGACCCAATATGATTATCCCGAGGGAAGAACAAATGGCTGGCAAGGTCAGCACTCTCTCTGCTTATCCCATTTCTAGCTTCAGAAAAAAATTATCCCGGTGATCCCTGAGAGGCACAATCAGCTTTCCTTGCCTCAGATCATTGACGTTAGGGAAGGTGGGAGTGGGGAAGGTCTGGGACAGGTGGCAGGGCACTCCTCACAGGCTCATTACCTTTCTGAGCCCTTAGCTGGATGACGATTCCCACCAGAAGGAAGATTAGCCCAAGTAGGAAGGCTGCAATGCCACTCAGCATCTTTCTCCAAGAATATTCAGACTGAGCTCCTATGGGAAACAGGTCTTTAAATTAGTAAAAATATCCCAATATTTAAAGCACTTTCTTGGAATCCCAGAATCTGTACTAGACACCAAATCCAATGCTAGCTAGAGAAAAATAAATAAATTTAGAAAAGGTTCTTCGAAACCAAAGTTGGCACCCATGGAGTTACCCCCCATCGGTTACAGATTCTCACAGCCCATAAGAATGCCTCCTAAATACTAAGACCAAAGAATTAGAGGACACCAGTTCATAGGGTTGGAAGCACATAATGAGGTGATTAGATCTCCTCATTTCTTGGAAGATATGAGGATAGATATCTGCCATGTTTTCTCCCACCCTAACCCAAGGACTCTGGTTTCTGTGACTGTCCCAGATCAAGGGAAAGAATAATTCATGTTGTGACCAAGATAAACGCAGAAGTGACACAGGCTCTGTATTGAGTCAGTATAGTCCTGAGTCAGGCCCAGAGAGTACTAGAAACTAATTCTCACTCCACTCCACAGAAACAGGGCTCAGCAGGCTGGAGTGATCGACAAGGCAGGTGTAGACATGTCCAAGTTCAGGAGTCATTTCTAGCATCACCACAGTCTGAAAGGTCCAGTCTCCATTCCTGATAGGGCCAGTGGACATGACCCCAGCTCTCTCCTCCTGCCCATTCAGGAACCACTTGATCTTGATATCCCCTGGATAGAAGCCTGTCACAGAGCAGTGCAGCAGATTATGCTGGTGCAGGAGTGGGGTCCTCTCTGGGTACACTGTCACCTCTGGTTGCACTAGGAAGGGAGGAAAAATGAGACACCGTGAAAGAAAACCACCAAGCTGGGACAGGAGATTCTTTAGGGACTATCACTATGTCTAATCTCTTTCCCAGATCACCCAAGTGAACACAAAGTATAGGCAAGTCTCAGCCCCCAAGATCAGTAACAGGGTATGTCAATGCCTGTCAGGAGGATTTAGACTTTCTGAGGTACTCCCACAATTACTGCTTCTCTTTGAGGGCACAATAGCCCTCGAAGTCCCTGAGAACCTTGGGGGTCTGAGACCAAGATCACAGTGGCTGACTTGTGAGGATAATATATCACAGCTGGGGCCAGAACATCTACACAGACAACCATTTATCCTAAAGCAGAAAATTGCTTGTAAGAAAGAAGAGCCATGGCCAGGTTCACATGGGGGACATTCCTGAGCCCCGCCAGACCTCAGCTTCCAGCTCACCTTTTCTCCCCACAGTGAAGGGTGCGCCCAGCCTGTAGTTGTGTCTACAGACCCCATCCACGGCCTGTCTGCTCCTCTCCAAGAGATCCAGCCGGCTGTTCCACTGCTCAGCATCTGGCTGCCCCAGCTTGGTCAATGCCACAAACATCCCCACATCACTGTCGAAACGTACATACTCCTCCAAGTTAAAGATGAATCTGACCACAAACTGCACCTTTTCTGTCCCGTTGGTGAAGTAACAGTCAGCCTTTGCCTGAATCACAAAGTCTTCTGGAAAACCAAAACCAAAACCATGAACCAGCCCCCTCCTCTGGGAAAACCCATGCCTGGTAAATTACGTCAGACCACATGGATCTAAGAGGAGGCCTTTGACCTCAGTATGCTCAAAAAGCACAGTGTCAAGTGAGAAAAGAAACAGAATGGGATTCAACAGAGAATGACATTTATTAAATTTTAAAAACACATAAAGAGCAATAATGCTACATATTTCTAAAAGCCACTCTCATACTTAGAGACTTACCAGACACGTTTAGAATGGATTCTCTAGGGAGGGGAGAGAATGAGAACGGAGGCAAGAGAAGAGACGAGAGAGTCTTGCACTACTGCCAATAATTACAATGTGCTGTGAACTCATTGGGTAAAATTAAACCAATCCTATGCACTTAAGAACAACAACTACAATAAAAAGGAAATTCAAATGGAGTTAATAATGTAGGTAAGTCAGGAAGGACGTCCTGAAGACATTGCATCTAAGTCAAGACTTGAAAGATAATTGCTATTAATGTTGGGTTGTAATTTACTTTCCTTTCTAAGTTCAGAAGCCTCCTCCAACTCTGAACTGAGCCATAAGAATGACCTTCCTGGGTGAACCCCACTTATCCCTCACTCAGTAGCTAATTTCAGATGAAGTTCCAGCCTGTAATTTCTCAGCATGTATACTCTTCTCTATTTCCTCTAGTAGTCTAAACCAGGGGGGAAATCTGAATTTTTCATCATCATTTAACATCTGTGCTGATTTTTTTTTCAGTTGTATTGTTTAATGGACATTATAAACTCAGGGCGGTTTCTATTCTCTGAGAATAATGATCTCTCCTGGCCAGGTTTGTTCCTCTTTTGTATTTAATGAAACTAACATGCAAAGGGGATTCTGTTCTTAGCACATTACATCCTGTTTCTGCTCATTAATATGTGCTTTCATCTCACATTGCTTCATGGCTGCATATTCTGTCACCTGTGCTAGAAAAATAACAGTGACAAGTAACTTGTACCTGGTAGCCGGAGGACAAGGACAATGTATTCTATTCAACTTCTCTTACTTCTCAAAACTGTTTAGTACAATTCTGACAATATAATAGTGGCTTAATAAATGACAGAAGGAGCAACCTTTGTTTCCAGTTTCATTTGTCCACATATACCCCAACTGAGATTTGTTTCCGTGTCCTGACCAAAAAATCACAGATTGCCTCTGTGACCCAGCCTACTGCAGGTTGTTTCTCCCAGCAGGCTCGAACCCAAGCCAAGGCCTTCAACACGCCCAGGCACTGACTGAGGTTGATACACACAATAAGGATCCTAAACAAGACACAATGTTTCCCTCTTCCTGCCTCCCTACCCCTTGAATAGGTGGCTCTGGTATATGAAGTCCATCCCATGTAAAGAGGCAAGGCGTACCTTTCTGCCAAAGGGAAGAACACTGTTCTTTGAAACCAAAAGCCACTTCCAGTCTGGTCTGTGGCCTGGACTTACAAAGAAAGGCATCACTCCCCCATGCCAATTCTTGCATACACACTGGAAAAAAACAATTGCTCTGTTCTTACCTGGAGAGTCTGTGCCTTGAGTCATGGAGGAATCCAGTCGGGTCAGATTCACTAGCAGAGCCACCACCCAGGGGACCCACCCAGAACCCATTCTGGAGAAAGGAAAAAAATGAGATAGTAAAATCGTCAGCCTCTTCAGAATGAGCTCATAAAATTCAGTCAGAAAGTACCCATTAAGAGTATAAATCGCTGTTTTTCTGGCTTCCCCAGGATTGGAAACTCCTCAGATTGACAACCAATCAAGATAGAAGAGTTTTGCATCATCAGGTACTGGGTAGGATACTTTCACAAAGTTGTGTCATACAACTCAACCATTGTTTGCCTGCAGAATCACTGACAGTAATTTAGGTATACTAAAAATGGGCTGGGAGAAGAAGTAAAAATATATGTTTGACATATTATGGGGCCCTAGAAGAACTAGGCAGACTGTTTATTATGTATTCTTCTATTCCCTGGCCTGTTCTGACCAATAGGTCTCCCTTCTTATTGGGTGTTGACATTGCCGACAGGCAGTGTGTAAATTAAGAAGGAATTAAGAGTATGTAAATTAAGCATTCTGAAGCATATGCCTCAAGAAGATTTAGTAAAGGGATTATCAGAGAAGAAATAGAAGACATAGAGAACATTTGGAGAGTACGATTTCCTATAAGCCAAAATGACCACAAAAAAAGAAAAGAAAAGAAAACATGGAAAGAGAATTCTCAAAGAATAAAATTTTGCAAAAAGGCTCACCAGGATACAATCTAAGAGAGCATTATTGTGTTTTATGGTTAGTAGGGCACCAATAACCTTCAAGAGGACAGCAGAGTGTTAAAGGTAGAAGCCATATTTCAAAAGAATGAATTGGAAACAAGAAAACAAAGGCCGCAGATTAAAACAGTCTTTCAAGAATTTTGAAAGTGAAAACAAAGGAAAAAATGGGATACACTTTAGAAAAAAACAACACTAAGAAAAAATACTTTTCTTGGGTTTTTTAAATTGACACGTAATAATTGTACATATTTATGGGGTACAGCATGATGTTCCAACACACCTATACATTGTGTATTGATCAAATCAGGGTAATTAGTATGTGATATATATACATGATGGAATACTATTCCGCCATAAAAAAGCATGAAATCCTGTCATTTTCAACAACATGGGTGAACCTGGAGGGCTCTATGTTAAGTGAAATAAGCCAAGAACAGAAGGACTATATTACGTGATTTCACTCATATGTGGAATCTAAAAAAGTTGACCTCATCGAAGTAAAGAGTACGTTAGGAGTTACCAGAGGCTGGGGAGTCAGGGGTAGAAATGGGTAGAGGTTGGTAACAAGTACAAAGTTACAGTTAGACAGAAGGAATGAGTTCTGGTGTTTTGGGAAAAGAAACTTTTAAGACAGGAGAGACTTCAACAAGGTTGCAAGTGAAGTGCAAGGTATCTGTAGAAAGGAGAAACTGAAGAGAAAAAAGAGAAGAAAGGGGACATTTTCTCCAAAATGCTGTGGTCTGAATGTCACTCAAAATTCAAGTGTTGCAATTTAATCACCAATGTGATAGTATCAAAAGGTGGGCCCTTTAGGAGGTGATTAAGTCATGAATGCAGAGGCCTCCTGAATGGGATTAGAGACTTTAAAAAGGGCTAGAGAGAGCAGGGATGATGGCTCATGCCTGTAATCCCAGCACTTTGGGAGGCTGAGGAGGAAGATTGCTTGAGGCTAGGAGTTAGAGACCTGCCTGGAAAACATAGTGAGACCCCCATGTCCAAATAAAATTTAAAAAATTAAAGAAATAAACATGGTGGCATGCACCTGTGGTCTTAGTTACTTTGGAGGCTGAGGTGGGAAGACTACTTGAGCCCAGAAGTTCAAAGTTGCAGTGAACCATGAATGCACCACTGTACTCCAGCATGGGTAACAGAACGAGGCCCTGTCTCAATCAATCAATCAGTCAATCAATAAAAATAGAAGGGCTGGAGGCAATAGCTTGGCACTTTTGCCCTTCTGCCTTCCTCCTTGTGAGGACTGTTACACTGGAATGATTTGACTCAAGTGTTTAGTTAAGTATTCTTTCAGTAAAACCTAGACAGTAAAACACTATCTTTAAGCAAATAAAACCAAAAGTGCAAATTGTAATTCACCATCTATGTTATTATTATTTAAAGGGCAATGTTTACTCATCATTTCACATCATCTTTCAGCATGAAATGTGCCCCTGATTTGCCTATACTGTGCATGTTAAGAATGAACCCAGGGTATCATGGTAACCACAAGTTCACTTCAGTGACTTTTTTCAAGTCGATGGCCAAGGCATCAAATCTTCCAGGGCCATGACCTTGAACTTCTAGCTTCCAGAACTGTGAGAAATAAATTTCTGTTCTTCATAAATTACCCTATCTCGTGTATCTTGTTACACTAACACAAATGGACTAAGACAGAGAGCATAAGGCTTGGGGGAAGAAGGGTACACTTCTTCAGATAAAAGAATAAAGACAGGACGATTAGCAGGGGATAAAGGGGAATGAGGAAGTTCCATTTAGATGGTTGCAAGGGAGTCAGCTGAGAACAAGGCAAGATCTGTCAAAAAGGAGTTGGAAGAAAATATATTTGATAACTAAGAAGAGCAAGAAGTGGTCTGTAAGTGAGTTTTTAAAGTTTTAATTAAGCAGGATTCAGAAAAGAGAGGTGAGATGCAATTGTGCAACCTTTTACTGTTCTATGACCCTTAGTAAATGCCCTTGGTTAGAGGCCTGGATCAGACCAATCAGAAAAATAATTTCTTCTCCATGGGAGATTATAACAGGTAAAGAAAAAGAGAGCAAGACGTGGAAGACATCGCTAGTGTTCATCCTCTAATTCCTAGGCCCATGGAAAACGAGAAACTAGACTTCCTACTCTCCTGGAGCTGTGTGACTCGTTCTCACCAATGGAAAGTGAACAAAAGGTTCCTGGTCAAAGAATTTAACTCCTCGTGCATGACTCTTCTCCTCCTCCCCTACCAAGTCAACCAAGACAGCCTTGTGTTGAGATGGCACAATCCCAGTAGAAAAGCAGTCTAATTAGCTGAGTCACCATGAAGAGCAGCTGCCCCAGGGAATCACTCACACCTACAACACACTCTGTATGAATGAGAAACAACTGTTCTTTAAAGAAGGTACTGGCTTGGTTACCACAGCCTGGCCTGACTTGACTTAACTGCTACAGGACAGGAGCTAGGAGGCTGACCCCTCTCCCTCCACATCTCTCATGTAAATGTGACGATTCATGAAGTGGAAGGCTGGCCACAGGCTTACTGGTAGACCCCCGAGTACAAGGCATTTGACCCTGGTTTTGAGTACTCCTCCTCCAGGTGGATGGCTGTGGAGCTCACACTGGCGAGGGCTTGTGTGGAGCCGAGGATAAGGAGGCATCAGAGGGCACTCAAGCCACTGGGTCTAACTTCCTCCCTTCTTCCTGCCCACACCTACCTTAGTCTTTCCCAGATGTTTTATTGCATTTGGAAATGGAGACAAACACTCAACACAGGCTAAGTGAACAAGGACACGGCACGGAGATGATCAGATGCAGTAACAGCATGAGCGGGTGGAAGAGGCGTGTGTCCCCTTCTTTGTAGACAGCACCATGGCTGGCTTCTGCAGCTTCCCTCAGAGCTGAAGGAAGGGCCATGTGGAGAGGAGAGGAAGGGCCTAGACAATATGGATCAAACGGGGGCCTGTATTTAGATTTAGAGGAGAGAGGGGGTTGATAAATGGCAAGGGATGTGGGGATGGGGAGGAAGTGGAGGATATGGCGCTGGACCAGAAAGTTAGGAGGGCTGCTCTTTCTTCTCTGTAAATGTGTCTAAGGCTCACAAACTCTAAAATCTGACTTGCCTACATAATAATAGCTAATGTTTGTCAATTGCTTATTATGAGTTCATTTTCTAAGCATTATATAAATGTGTGCGTGTGTGTGTATGAGAGAGAGAGAAAGAGAGAGAATCATCACACAAAACCCTTTGCAGTAGATACTATCATGATCTCCCTTTTACAGATGAGGTAAGGATGGAATGAACCAAAGTTCACATAACTAGTAAGTCCCTAGGCTATACTTTTTCTGTCACACTGTATTTCTTGGGAAGCCAGGGAAACTTTATTCCTACAGCTTTAGCATTCCGGTAATGATAAGGTACACAAAAAGGGAAAATAACCAAGGAATTTCATCATAGCTGTTTGGTGTCAGGACAGATCTCTGTAAGGAAATCATATCCTACCTAACCAAAGGAAATCAGTGATCTCACATGACAAGCAAGGAATGGCATAGAGCCTGGCATGGGAACTAAGAAGAGAAAGCAATAAGCTTCAGTTAGCAAGCTATGGATCTCCTTAGATGGCCTCTGGTACATCTTAAATAAACTGAAGCATCAGATTCACCCCCATTAGAAGCGTTTTTGAGTCATTTTCTGTGCATAGTGTCAGTGTCTACGATAGAAGGGCCTGGGCTTATCAGAGACACTGTTCAGTTCTGGGGAGACAAGAGGAAAAAGATGTGGTTTTCTTCCTTTCTCCTGTATTTATGTTTTTGTCTTCTACTTGAACGAGCCTGAAAAATAGGGCAGGGTGTTTTGATCTTTTTTTCCTGCCTGACTTCAGCCAGCAGCCCTCCCTAAATAGCTACAGGCTCCTCTGTGATTTTTCACTCAAGCTCATATTTTGCTTCTCTCTTTTCTTTCCTTCCCCTTTCTCTGAGGAGTGAGAGAATTTGGGTGTATGTGTGGTTGTTTTTTGAGGGTGGCATAAAATTATTATTCTCCCTATTGCCTGACACAAATATCCCTTCAACTGCTATTTTGGTGACTTTGACATGGAAGTAAAACGTACATCTCAATTCATTTTCTTCCTTCTACTTCCTCCTAACACATCAACATAATCCACACTGCCCTGGAGGAGTTATGAAAAATATTCTGAGTTTCTAGGTAGAATATTAAATCATACTTTTAGAGAACACATTGTTGAGCTACAGTTTAATTGAAGGAATTGTACTAGGCTAAGAATTTTGCCAGCTCAAAATACTGGTTTAATTCTTTCTCAGTGGTGATTGACGTCTCAAACCAGCAAGAGGTGTAACATGAGGGGAAGGGGCTGGGGAAGAGGGAAAGGATGTAAGAAACAAAAGAAATAGTTAGAATTTGGGGTGTCCAAAGCAAACTCATGATCCCACCTAGTGAGAATCCATTTGGAAACTGAGGAACCAAAGGCTTTGGGCTCCAATCTGCAGCCACTTCTTTGATACGACTTTGGGATAGGTGGACTCACCCGAAGTATTGTTTTACATGTACTATTTGCCTCAATTTCCCTGTGATGGTTTTGTCCATCACCTCATCCTGAAAAAATAAATGTTGGTGATGCTTTGTTCCACATATTCGTTCATTTGAACTCATTATTCCCAGGAAATATCCATTGAAATTCAAAATATCATGAACTTCCAAAGGGTTTTCTAGAAAAAAAAAACAAAAAAAACCCCTTGATCTTAATGGGTGTTTTTTAATCTGTGCTAGAATCTGTTTGCAATGTTTTATTTAGGATTTTTGTGTCAGTATAATAAGTAAATTCATCTACAATTTTTATATTTGTGCATTGTCATAGTTTAACATCAATATTATACTTGCTTCATAAAAAAATTTTCTTCTATGCCATTGAGCCATTTAATTTTTGTTTGTTTGTTTGTTTGTTTTAGAGACAAGGCCTCACTCTGTTGCCCAGGCTGGAGTGCAGTGGCACAATCATAGCTCACTGCAGCCTTGAACTGGGCCCAAGCGATCCTCCCACCTCAGCCAAGTAGTTGAAACCACAGGCACGAGCCACCACATCTGGCTAATTTTTGTATTTTTTGTAGAGACGGGTTTTCGCTGTTGCCCACACTGGTCTTGAGCTCCTGAGTTCAAGCAATCCGACTGCTTAGGCCTCCCAAAGTGCTGGGATTATAGGTGTGAGCCACTGCACCCGGCCTCTATTTTCAATTTTAAAAGTTTGATATAGATGTAGCATATCTATTTTTTTATTGATAGTAATATCTTCTATCTTCTGTGTTCATACTTTTTTTTTTTTTTTTTTTTGAGGCAGAGTCTCACTGTGCCGCCCAGGCTGGAGTGCAGTGGTGCGATCTTGGCTCGCTACAACCTTTGCCTCCCAGATTCAAGCAATTCTCCTGCCTCGGCCTCCCAAGTAGCTGGGATTACAGGCGCCCACCACCACACCCAGCTAATTTTTGTATTTTTGGTAGAGACAGGGTTTCACCATGTTGGCCAGGCTGCCCTCGAAATCCTGACCTCAGGTGATCCGCCCGCCTTGGCCTACCAAAGTGCTGAGATTACAGGCATGAATCACCAGGCCCAGCCTATTTTTTTGTCCACTTAACTGGTCTAGTCCAGGGAAAGGGAATTAAAGTGTTCTATTGGTAGTACATTTCTGAATATTTTCCTTGTATCTACCTTAATTTCTGCTTTATAAGAGCTACCTATTTGGTATTTAGAACTTAAACACATGTCTCATATATTCATATGAATTTTATACTTTACATTATAAAGTGCCCTTCTTGTCACACTCAATTTTTTTTTTTTTTTTTTTTTTTGGTGAGGAGTGTCTGAATTTCATCTTGTTTGGTAAGACGAATGTGACCTCTGCTTCCCTTTTGTTTGCCTTCTCTTGTTATGTCTTTGCCCATCATCTTATTTGTTGAAAATAATGAATACATCTTTCTGAGTGGCTTTATGTTAGGTGTCTTTTGCATATTGCAAATAATAGAGTTTTTATCTTAATCTAATTTAAAAATATTTTCATTTATTTAGTTCAGTTAAGAAGCCCATTTATAATTATTCATACAGCAAATAGATTCAGTCTAATTCAGAGATATTAACTTCTGTTAAGTATAATGTTTACATGAGTATTTTTAAAAATCTTTCACTATGTCTTTATTGTGCATTTTAAAAATTTTACCTTTTCAGATATTAAGGAAGGTGTATATTTCAAGGTTGCTTTGATAAGTTTATTTGTATATAATACACTTAGTTCCCTCTTCCTTTAGATAATTCCTATTAGTTTTAAATAATGAACAATCACAAAACTAGCTCATATCCTCTCCCTTCCTCTTTCTGTGTGTGTGTCTACCTTTGTAGTCTTAAATGTGTAAATACGAGCACTTGATTTATTAGTTTTAAAGAATATATTTTGATTCCTAGATGTTACAGACAAGAACATCAACAGGCTTATTTGATATCCTTATTCATTTTTCCACTTATTCTATAATCATTGAGAAATGTGTTTCAATTTCTCAATTAATTTCTTCCTATAATTCTCCTATATTTCTTACATATTTTGTAGTTTTATTGCTAGGTGCAAACTGATTCAGTTTTAGTATAATGTTCTGGTGACTTCATTATCACTATGTAATGGCTGTCTTTGTTTTTACTAATGCCTTTGGTTTTAGACTATATGTTTAGATATTTCTGTAATTACATAAGCTGTCTTTCTGTCTTCTGTTAGTGTTTGCTTTGTGTATCTTATATCTGGTTTTGATTTAACATTTTCATGTTTTTAGGTTTCTTGTGATCTTATGAAGGGCATATAACTGGATTTTGCGATATTGTTAATCTAATCTGAGAACTTTCCTTTAACTCCCATATTTAAGCTATTTATACTTGTGATCACTGTGCTATTTACATTCGTTTCTGTTACAATATATGGTGCTCTGTATTTGCTATGTCTTACTTTGCTTCTTTTGTTTTCCTTGCATCACTTATATTAAATCAATTACATTTTTATTTAAAGTATTATTTAATTTCCCCTTACTGATTTAGGAATTTTAAATTCTAATTATATTAGTTAAAAGTCAGTCTTATATTTTTAACATGTTTACCAAATGTGGCAGCATCTGAAGGTAATCAATATCTCTACCCTCCTTTCAAACAAGACAAAGACTTTAGGTGCTTTAACTTTGTCTGCCTCATTCTCATGTCACTTGTGGTTGCTCTGCCTTATTTTTAAATTTAATAGTCATTTTTATTACTGATTTTTATCGTTACAGTCATATTTCATTTCTCATTCTGATTTTCCAATATTTTAGACAGATTTGTTATTGTTGTTTGTGTGTGTGTTTATTTTTCTCATCTTTGCTCCCTTATCCTTCTGGGTTTAGTATCTCTGTTACTTACATGATAATATTAAAAAGCAAATGATAACTACAATACAATGCTACTTTCACCCAGAAGATTGTCAAAATTTTAAAAATTAACACTGTCTGTTGGTTATATACATATATATATATATGGAGAAACAGATAAACTCATATGTTGCTGCTGGAACTATAAATTAATATAGCCTCTATGAAGGCAATTTTGCAATATCTATCAATATTTGTAATGTATATATTGGACTCAGCAACTCCCCTTTAAGATTGTATCATACTTGTATTTTTGCACATGTGCATTACAATGTCTATACAAGACTAACTAGCAACAGCAAAAGACTTCCAATAACCTAACTAGCCATCAGTAGAAGGAAACAGGATAAATGAAATATGGAACTTCCATAAAATAGAATACTACATAGCCATATATTTTTAATTTAAAAAATAAAGTTCAGAACAGTGAACTTAGACAGCTGCTGTTTGCGAAAATACTGAGCAAGAATAAAGATATACATATTTGCTTAATACACAGTAAACTTCTCTGGAAAGATAAACACAAAGCTGGAAGAACGGATTGCCTATGCAAGAGGAATTAGCAAACCTTGAGAAGGATTGAGAGTGAGGCTTTCCTCTGTATACTTCTTTGTGTCTTTTGAATTTCAAACCACATTCATATATTGCTTATTTAAATAAATAAATAATATATTTTAAAAAGAGGATAGTAGGAAGATAAGTGGAGTCAGGGAGTATAGGCAACTCTTTTGAGGAGTTTTATGCAAAGCTGGGCAAGTCCACCTCTTCCTTAGCTATGTGACCCAGGCAAGTTAGTAAATGTTTCTAAAACTCCATTTTCTCACTCTTAGAATTGAGATAGTAATACCTGCCACATAGAATTATCTTGAAAAATAAGGTAAGAAGACAGGTTTCAGATACTTGGCACAGCAATAGCACATAGTAAGCACCAGTGAATGCTTAGTAGTAGTAGTAGTCTAATTCCTAAGAGTCCATGGAACTCTAGGTTCAAAACCCAGTTTCTTCTGGGACCATTAGATGGCATCAGACTCAAGCAGGTGCTCCTCTAGCTGACAGCTCTAAAACACAAGGAAGATCTTTGTTTTCCTTATTCCCTAGTCCTTTCCCCACAAAATTCTGACAATTACGCATTTCCTGCTTGTTTCACAATTGCCATGTGGATTCCAAGTGGCTATCCCTGGGTGGAGGCATAAAGGACTTGAAACTCAATGCTGTTTCCACATAGGGCCGGGCAGACAGGCTATGGAGGTGTTTTGGCATCCAAGGAAATCTATCAGTTTCCCAAGCTTTCCCCTCTCCATTCATACTTTCCTTTAGAAAGAATAAGGCATGCCTGGGTGGGAAAGATACTGCAGGTAAGCGACAAGAAGGGGAAATTACAGGGTAAGGAGATCAATCAAATGGTGATGGGGGGTAGGAGTGAACAAAAAGAACTCTGGAGCAAACCAGGATTAGTGACATCTGTGGTTCCCAGACAAACCACACTTACAGGAATTTGTCTGTCTAGCCCGAATATTTTGACTTTCAGGGAGCATTTTTCTGTGTCCCTGACATAAAGCCTACCTGGGAGTTTCCCCTGAGATAAGAAACTTTCAGGACATCTTAAGGTCTACTGCATCTTCCTGTACTGCCCATCAAGATAAGTTTTCCACCCAGCTTTATCATGATTAGCTGCGTGATTTCATGTCAGTTTCTCTGTAAAATTAGGTTTGACTGTTGCATTATTTTTAAGATGCCTTCCAGGCTTAAAGTATTATGATGCATGGGTATAACTGTACTGAGGAAATCAAAGAATTTCTCAGATCATCTTCTTCTGTGAGGGCTGCAGCTTCCATGTAGTTGGGAGATACAGGAATTATTATTCCTGTTTTATGAATAAAGGACATTTGTGGGAGAGAAAGGAATCAGGCCAGAGTTCTTTCTCTCCAAATGCCTATTTTACCCTCTGTGAAATTTGAGAGATGGATGGGTGTGGAGCTGCAAGTCAGCCCCAGGATGAAAGAAAGGCAAATCTGCACAAGAAACTGCCCACTCTCACCCCATCCTCACTGCACCCTGCTCCCAACAGCTGCCAGGCAAGAAAAAATCCAAAACAGCAGTTCTGGGGAATTCATTGCCAGCACTGGAAACTACCTGCTGTTTCCAGGAATATGAAGGTTTCTCTTTCCTAGAATAGCAACTTTCCAAGGTAAGTCCCTCCCAACAACCAGTGATGTGTACAATGTTGCATTTTCAGTGGTGGGAGTGGGCAGGGAGGATTAAGATTAGTACGATGGTGGAGATATTTATTCATTTATTCAATTGACTATTTATTCTCCACTATGAATTAGGCCCTCGGCCAGGTAGCAGATATAAAGCTTAATAAGATATATGGCTTTCCGCCCAGGTGCTCATGGTCTAGTGGAAGGTCAAAAAAGGTGGGAAAGGGAAGATAGAACTTTAAAAGGGCTGTGAAAGAGGTAACCGCACAGTGATAGAAGCACATGGAGAGTTCCCCAGACTGACGACATAAGTAAGGCCTCCTGGAAGACCTGAACCCTGAGTTAAGTCTTGAACTTGAAAATCAGGGGCGAGTCGAGCAGAAAATGGGCAAGAAAACACCATATGCAAAGGCACAAAGGTGTTGGGGAAGGCAGAAGTTTGTCGTGGAGCTGGATACAACAGGAGAGGGTGAGACAGATGGGCTGGAACAGTGTGTGCTCTGAAAAGGATCTCTGCAGCAGGGCTTGAGAGCACCTGAAGGAATTTCCAGAAATGCCATCATCGTATGTGACACAGAATTTAGAAAAATGACTTTGTGAAGAATGGCCGGAAGAGGGAAGCTAATGGTAGAGAAACCTCTCTGGTGATGGGATCATCTTAAGTCTATGAGTGAAGACTATAACAACGGGACTGGAGAGAAGAGAATAGATTCTGAATTATTTAGAGCTAAGAGCAGCAGAGCTTTTCTTGATGGGATTATGGATTAGGGTTTATGGACCCAAGATGCAATATAATTGATTGGGTCAGGGTGTGGACTCTAGGGTCAGGCCTGTGTTCAAACTCCAACTCCACCACTACGACCACCTTGGGAAAGTCATTGAGCCTCTTTGAGCTTCAGTTTCCTCATCTGTAAAATGGGGATAATAACCAACCTCATAGGGTTGGGGATAATGATTAAAAACGATAATACATGAAAAACACTTAGCATAGCTCCTACTCCCATTAAAACTCTATAAATGGTAGCTGTTACCAATGTCGCTATTAATACTGTTAATCAGGGAACTGTTCTCTGTCCCTCCAGACCCTAGCTTCTTCAAAATAGCAGACACTGGTAGGAACAAGGAAGGATATAGGAAGGCAATCTCATGAATATTTATGTCATTTTTGGTTAATTTCTATCTCAAACAACAGATAAACGACTGATGGGACAGGCAGCAAAATAGCAACTATGGTTATCTCCAGGAAGTGAAACAATGGGTACTTTTACTTTTCTTCTTTGTACTTTTTTATATTGTCTAAATTTTCTATATGAATGTATACAGTTCATGTAAGAAGGAAAATATTTTAAAATATATGTATTATGCCACAAAATACTCCTCATCACCAGGCAAAGCTCTAGTCACCAGGGAATTAAGTTTCCTGGACACAGACAGCCCCCACCCCACCCCACCCCACCTCTCTACCCCACCAAAAGCACACAGTGTCCAAATCTCCATCGTGCCTGCAACTCAGGAACAGCTATCTGGCCGCACAGCTCTAGGGAAACTCAAAGCAGGAACAGCTCTGGGTCCTGGAGACGCCCCTGAGAAGAGGGCCCAGTATCCCTGGGGCCTCAGTCCATCAGCCGCTGCTGCACCAGGCGGGAATAGAGGTCCTGTCCCTCCTAGAGCTGGGCAAGCTTCTGCAGCTTGCCCTCCTGGAGCACCAGGATCTGGTGGGCGCGCTGAACTGTCTGCAGCCTGTGAGCAATCACCAGCACTGTGCGATCCCCACGGGAATTCCAGTCCTGCAGCTGAAGGGGTGATCACAGTGCCTCAGAAAGACAGGAATGAGATGGACACCACATCCACCTGGGCACCATCTCTTATGATTTAGGGTAAAGAAGGTGTGAAATAAAAGAAGGTAGGAAAGGGCAGTAGATAAAGGCCTGGACTGCCCTTCTCTCCCGGCTGTACTGCCACAGCTGGAGGAATGGAAGCCCAGGAGGGAACTGGGGCTGCCCTCACACCACCGGATTCCATTCCCCAACCCCAAGAAGGCACAGACTGTTTCCACTAGTAGGTCCTTCGTCCTCCCTCTGCCCAATTCTGCACAGTCTGATCCTCCCAGCATGCCCCTCCCAGGCCCCACTGTCCCCTGCCCTCTCACGGTACTCACGGCCTGCTCGCACTGCACATCTAGGGCACTAGTAGCCTCATCCAGGATGAGGACCCGCGGGTCTCGTACAAGGGCCCGGGCAATGGCCAGACGTTGTTTCTGTCCCGCAGCCAGCTGGCTTCCCTTCTCCCCTACATCTGAGGAAATCAGAGAAATTCCCTTCCTCAGATACAAGTGACACAGACAACACACAAGGAGGGACAAGTGCACAGCAGGTACTTCCAGTAGGACCTCGGGAGGTGGGAGGGCCCAGTGCGGGGAGGGCCCAGTGGGAGGAGGGCCATGGGGTGGGGACCTGACGGGGCTGCCCATGGAGGGAGCACCACTGCTGCATTGCTCTCTGCAAACAAAGACTCTTGAGCAAGAGGGAGGCTGAAGAATTCAGTGTGTGGGGAAGGAGACGTAGGAATGGAGGAAAGGGCAGAGGAACAGCAAACATCAAGTTACAGGGACACGACCTTCACCACTAAGAGTAAGTCTGATTTTCTCTTTTTTACTGAAGGAGCAGGCTTACAATTTGTAGAAGATACCTGTGTATATTCCATGCTCCATTTCCTGGATGAAGTCATCTGCGTGGGCAGCCTGGGCAGCCGCCATCACCTTATCATCTTCGCAGCTCTGCAGCCCATAAGCAATGTTGTTCCTCACAGAACCGGAGAACAGCACAGGCTCCTGCCCAACTGAAACCACCTGTGCAGCGGGGACAGGGGCAGAGGACTATGTGTAAACCCCCAAGGCAGGGGCCCTTTTGTCCTCCCCACCTACCTCCCTCAGAATGAACACCTGGTGCGCCTTCCCGTGGATCTCCCATCCTCTCTCTGTACATGCTCCCCTCTCCTGTCCCCTGTCTTCTCCCTCCTCACCCACCTGGCTGTGCAGGTAGCAGTGTTCATACTGTGAGATGGGCTTTTCATCCAGCAGCACCTGTCCCCCTGTGGGCTGGTACAGATTCTGCAGCAGGGCAGCCACTGTGCTCTTCCCAGACCCATTGGGTCCCACCAGCGCCGTCACCTCACCAGGACGTAGGGTAAACGTCAGCCCCTAGAAAACCAGAAAAAGAGTTAAGGGCCTGCCCCTTCTCCCTCAAAATCCCTCCATTTCTCTTCTTAGCAGAGGCAAGACCAGGTTCTCAGAGGCAAATGAACTATAGGCTGTGATGTCCAATTATGCATTAGCAGCAGAGAGCAAGGGTCCAGGTTTCCTCCCTCTTTCAGGCACCTTGAGCACAGGCCTGTCAGGGCGATTGGGATATGCAAAGGAGACGTCTTGGAATTTCACAACCCCCTGCAGAGTGGTGGGGGCAAGCGTGCCAGGTGAAGGCAGATTTGGCTGTCGGTCCATGTAGGAGAAAACCTTCTCTGCAGCTCCCACATTGCTGAGCATATCCCCATATATGTATACCAGGGTCTGGAAAACAGGAATGGGAGAGCCGGCTAATTAAACACACTTCTACCAGAAACCACCCTCCCAACTCCTCACACACTCCACTCACAACTGCACTGCTCCTCCTCCATACTCAAAAGAGATTCTCCACCTTTAAATGTACAATTTGGATGGAATTTAAAAGTGGCACCAATACCCCAGTGTTCCAATTTGCAATATAAAGGATATACAGTCCATTCTCCTACCATACAGCATTGCCTCTAGCCCCAGATCTTTTCAGTTACTGCTTCCTATTACTTGTGCCCAGTTCTGTCTTGCTTGATTAGACGGGGAGCTCCTTAAATGCAGGCACTGTGCCCAACTCACCTTTGTAGCCGTCAGAGTGCCCAGCGCAGTTCTCTACACAAAAAAGATGTTTATCAAGTGTCTAGGAAAATGTTTAAATAAAGCCCTGGATGAAGTAGCTGTTTTTGAGAACTGGTAAATGTAGGAAGAGATCTAAATGCTCACTCTGCCTTTCCTCATCAAACTGTACCACCGGGTAATGAAATGGTAGATGAGGGGAAGTCTCCCTTCATAGACTACTTCAGCTAATACATGAAGAATGATAGAGTATCTCCCTTTTGCAGCCCTAATTCTGTCATGGATGTAGGTACTGCTCATCAGTGGCTGATGTTGCCACAAATAGAGAACCAGACATTGTGTGCCTCTTGGAGGAAGAATGCATCACCACCTAAAAAGTACTGTTGCTGGAAAAAGACCAAAAAAAACCCCTCAATCTCACAAGCTTCTAGGTTTATCTATCAATAGACAGGAAGTACAGAGGCAGAAGAGCATATAATACCACAGGGATTCAGTCAACAAAATCCAGACCCTAAGAAACTCCACAGGACAAACAACCTATTTCTTCAACAAATAAACTGTGCAAGGGAAACTTTTAGACAGATACATGGATTGATGGGTGGATGGATGGATAGATGGATGGATAGATAGATAGACAGACAGACTTAAAAGATGTATCAACCAGTCACAATATGTGGACCATTTCTGGATCCTGATTTAAGCAAAGTATAATAAACACACTCATACACATATACTACATGGATACCACAAGTGGAAATTTGACAATTGACTATTTGATAAATTTTAAGAACTACTGTTAATTTTTTGGTGTGATAATGGCTTTGTTGTTATACACTTTTAAAGATGTTTGTATTTTTAAGAAACATACTGAAATATTTACAGATGAAAGTATACAATATCTTGGATTTGCTTCAGAATAATATGGGTGGGGGGAAGTGGCTGGGGATACAGATCCAACAAGATTGGGCATGAGTTGATCATTGTTAAAGCACAGGATGTATACATGTGAGTTTGTAATATTATTTTGTCTCATTTTTGGCATATGTTTAAAATTCTCCATAGCAAAATTACTTGCGGGTTTTGGTTTTGTATTGTATTGTTAAAAAGAACAAATAAAGCCCAAGGCCCAGGAGTCCACAAAGAAAAAGAGAGGGAAAAAAGGAGAGCAGGCTTGGCTTCTCGCTCACCTGCACATAGCTCCCCACGCTCTCCTGGTAGATCATAAAGGAAAGCAGGCTGCCCTGGGTGAGCTCCCCATCCTGCATCTGCTGCAGCCCACAGCTCAGCATCAGCATCTGCACCCCCAAGTGCAGCACCTGGAAGAGGAGAAGAAAGAGATGAGGCTGGGAATCTTCCCATTCTTTCCCCCTCTCTGCCTCTATGAGACTGAGCTGCAAAGGCCTCTAGAACCAGCTGTAGTTTCCTCTTCCCTTGCCCTCCCCCTTTCCTGGGCTCCTTTCACAACCACTCTGGTATCTTACCCTCCTTACGAGCAGGTACAAGGCGCGTTCCAGGTCTCTCCGCCAATACAGCTGCCGACATTGTTCAAGGGCCTCTTTATAGCGACAGACTTCATGCTCCTCGGCCCCAAAACTGCGAACGGTCTGCAGCCCTCCAACGGCTTCCCGCACCACCTGCCCCGCCCTGGCCACTGCATCCTGGATCTCCCGAAGCACTTCCTGGAAAAGAGGGCCAGCAAACACCAGGGCTGATGTGCAAAGACAGCAGGCCCCCACATCTTACTCCAGCCAGTGAGATGCTCCCTAGTCTACCTAAAAATACCAAACTGTTTCTCTCCCTCTTCCTTACTCTTCTTTCCAGAAGGAATAAGAGTGAAGGAGCAAGGGAACAAAATATTATTGAGCTCTCAGTGTTAGGTAGTATAGGAGATACATGCAATTTTTTTAACCTTCATTTGAGGTAATTTTCCCATCCCCAGTGTCTGAATCAGGAAAGAAGGGTAGTTTTCCCAAGGAGCCACAGATAGTTAAGAAAGGTGGAGATGTAATTCCAAATGGATCAGAGGCCTAAACATAAGAGCTAACACTATAAAACTCCTAGGAAAATGTAGAAGAAAAGCCTCATGCCACTAGATTTGGCAGTGATTTCTTGGATATAACACCAAACGCACAGGCAACAAAAAATAGATAAATCAGACTTCATCAGAATTTAAAACGTTTGTGCATCAAAGAACTCTAGCAACAGAGTGAAAAAGCAACCATGAAATACAAGAAAATATTTGTGAATCATATATCTGATAGGAAATTAATAGGCAAAACATATAGTGAACTCCCACAACTTAAAAAAAAATCAGAAAATGGGCAAAGAACTTGCAGACATTCTTTCAAGAAAGAAACATAAGTGGCCAAAATCACACGAAAAGATGCTCAATATTTACTAATCATTAGGGAAATGCAAATCAAAACCACAATGAGATAATCCTAATCACCTAATCACCATTAGAATGGCTATTAAAAAAAAGACAACAGAAAGTGGTGTTGATGAGGATGTGGAGAAATTGGAAACCTTATGCACTGCTGGTGGGAATTTAAAATGGTGCTGCCGCTATGGAAAACTGTATGGTGGTTTGATACGATCTGGCTGTGTCCCTACCCATATCTGATCTTGAATTCCCATGTGTTGTGGGAGGGACTGGGTAGGAGGTAATTGAATCATGAGGGCAAGTCTTTCCCATGCTGTTCTTGTGATATTGAATAAGTCTCACGAGATATAATGGTTTTAAAAAGGGGAATTCCCCTGCACAAGCTGTCTTTTCTCTTGTCTGCTGCCATGTGAAATGTGTCTTTCACCTTCCGCCATGATTGTGAGGTCTTCCCAGCCACATGGAACTGTAAGTCCAATAAACCTCTTTCTTTTGTAAATTGCCCAATCTTGGGTATGTCTTTATCAGCAGCGTAAAAATGGACTAATACATGGTTCCTCAAAAATTGTTAAATAGAATTGCCATATGATCCAGCAGCTCCACTTCTAAGTATATACCCAAAAGAACCAAAAGCAGGGTTTCAAACAGGTGTACACTCATGTCCACAGCAGCATAATTCACAACAGCCAAAAGGTGGAAACAACGCAAATGTCCATTGACAGATGAATGGATAATCAAAATGTGATATATGCACACAACAGAATATTATTCAGCCTTAAAAGGGAGGAAATTCTAACACATGCTACAATATGGATGAGGCCTGAAGACATTACGCTAAGTAAAATATGCCAGTCACAAAAAGACAAATACTGTATGGTTCCACTTACGTACCGCACCTGGAGTCATCACAATTCATGGAGACAGAAGGTACAATGGAGGTTGCCAGCGGCCAGGGGTTGGGGGTAGTAGGCAGTTACTATTTAGTGGGTACAGAGTTTCATTTTAGGAAGATGAAAAAAGTTCTGGAGATGGATGGTGATGATGGTTACCCAATAACAATGTGGGTTTCCTAAATGTCACTGAACTGTACACTTCAAATGGTTGAAATGGTAAATTTTATGTTATGTATGTTTTACCACAATATAAGAGAAAAAGAGAAGGTGGAGCTGACATTCAGACTTAGGACTTCCTGATGACGCCTCCTTTCCCTATGCTGCATCCAGACTTCTTCTGCTGATTTTAAAGGGAAAATCTCCCTGCCTAAAAGCCTCTAAGAAACCATTTTTAATCTTCGCAGTGGGGGCGGGGGATGTACAGACTCCTTTGAGAAGCTAATGAAAAGTTATCATCGCCTATCATCTCCCCTTCCTATTCCCTCCCCCATACCTTCACATACACTTTACATTTTTGTTTACAGTTCTGGAGAATCATGAATCTTCTGAAGTCAAATATCCATTGTTGGATGGCTGGACAAACAAAATGTAGTATATACTACAATATATCTTCTCCCCTAACGGCTGAGAAGAGAACATCTCTCTCTAGGGGATCCTCTAGCCACAAATGTGGAAGCCTCCTCACCTGTCAGTTTTATTCTCCCTTTGGGGTTCCCTTACATGCACGCTCACCTGATGGCGGGTGTTGTACACCTTCTCCGCTGCTATTGTGAAGGGCATGTGCAGCAGAGAAAGGAGGGTGAGTCGAGGCGATATGCTGAGCATGAAGCCATACAGCCCCACCACTTTCACCAGGCTTCGCAAGAGCACATTGGCATTTAAAGGAAGCCAGTTACTCATCAGGGTGGTATCCGAGCTCAGCCGTGAGTTCAGCTCCCCTAAGAAGGACAGAGCAGGTGAGGAAAAAGGAAACCATGTGTACTGCAGGGCCCCCAGAAACTCCCTCCTGACCGTTCCCTCTGACACAGCCCCCTCCTCTGAACATCCTCCTTCACTTGCAGAGGGACAGTGGAGGCTGCTTCTCCACCCTGTCCCAAACAAGAGAAAAGCATCCCCAGGTCCTGGCATACGGGTGAAGGCAGGAGGAGAGGCTGTGGGTGGAAGGTCACTGAGGGGCAAGGGATGTCCATGGGAATCTCAGACCTGGACTCCAGGCCCACCTGTCTTAGTCTCCTGGAAGAAACCGAGGTCCTGGCGCAGCAGGGAGGAGAAAAGCTGCTCCCGGATCCGCAAGTTGATTCGAGACATGGTGTAGGTGAAGCAGCCTCCTCGGCAGCCTGCAGACAGTGAGCTGTGGGGTAGGAGAATAAGAGGGGAGGGAGATGCAGAGAAGGAGCAAGCCAGCGGGTGAAACAGAGGAGCAAGCCAGGAGTGCAGAGAAGCGCAAAGTCAGGGGAAAGCATGCCAGGAGGGGCAAAAGAGAA
The DNA here is from genome assembly GCF_000001405.40 of Homo sapiens. Lineage (NCBI taxonomy): Eukaryota > Metazoa > Chordata > Mammalia > Primates > Hominidae > Homo > Homo sapiens. Next base: position 4,248,106 of record NT_113891.3, read on the forward strand.
AGAAATGAGAGACAGACACACAGAGAGAGAAGAGGTAAGGAATACACAGAGGAAGAAGAAAGAGGAGACATGGTGAGCTAGATGTGAGAACAAAATCATAACATGTACAAATTTACAAGTATTTATGGAGTGCACTCTGTACTAGACACAATAGAAGACTACAATAGAAGGGAAAAGATATTGTGAAAACAAGTATCCCAGTGCTTGCTTCTGTCCCAGCGTCCCTCAGGCTTGTCCCTCTGTGCGTCTCCTCCGCCTTGGTCTCCTTCCTGCCCCATACCCAAAGCCCTTCTCTGTCATCATAGATACTTCATCATGGGAACTGCAATAATAAATTCCCTGCCCCCACAATTCTCTGGAGCCCCAGAGTCATGTGATTCCCATCTTTCATCCTTCGAGTTGGAAAATCCCTCTTAGACCAACTACATGCTACAGTAACACTTAGAGGAAAAAATATAAAGCATAAAAGCATGTATTTTACAAAATATATGTTTCTAATACAAATTTAGTTACCATATTGAAGAGGCGTTTGGGAGAGTCAGACATGATATAATGAGGGTTTGTACTTTAATGACAGGGATGTGTTCTGAGAAATGTGTCATTAGATGGTTTCATTGTTGTATGAACATCATAGAGTGTACTTACACAAACCTAGATGTCATAGCCTACTGCACACCTAGGCCATGTAGTTTAGCCTATTGCTCCTAGGCTACAAATCTGTACAACATATGACTGCACCTAACACTGTGGGCGACTGTAACACAGAAGTAAGTATTTGTGTATCTAAACATAGAAAAGGTACAGTAAAAATATGGTATTATAATCTTGTGGGTCCACCATCTTATATGTGGCCCATCATTGACCTAAACATCGTTATGCAGTGCACGACTGTAGTTTCAGCAGAAAGCAGCCAGGATGGAATGAAGGCACAATGAAATGGTTTTCGAGGGTACTCTAAATTAAGTATGACCATAAAAATAGAGACAATCAGGCCGGCTGGGATTTGGGTAAGGTGAGTGCACACCTCCTTAAACTTTGCACCCCAGGTGCCTCGCTCACCTCATCCCAGTCCCAGCCTTATCAAACAGTTTGTTTGTTTGAGTATGTCTAGAAAGAGAAAGGAAAGCAAGTGAAGGGAAAAGAGTAATGATTCTGGAAAGAAAGGTGATAAGCCTCAGAGTAAGATCTTCAGGGACTGGCAAGATGAGCTGGGAAAGAAGAGTGAAAGGGAGAAGCATACCCATCCTGAGGGAGTGACCCTGGAGAGATACTTTGGAGACAGACTTAGGGGTAGGAGGTAGGAGGCAGAAAGAAATGGAATTTCATGGACCTAGGAATGTTGAGAGACAACTGAGAGACATTCCATCTGAGACTTAAATTCCTTTTGTACTACCTTCACTCATAACTTGTTCCTATAATAAGATCAGATAAACTTTGAAGATATTGGATGAATATGAACGAAGGAAGAAATGAATGGATAGATGAAACAGAATGGTGACTACATTCACCATATTTTAGTTTAAGTATTTTTGTGTTTTGCGCCTGAAAGGGCCTAGAAATGGAGTTAGGGAAGTGAAGACCCCTATAAAGATTTGGGGCTAGCAAATGGACCCAGCTGCCCACCACCTACCTGCCAAAGGAGAAGAGGCACATGAAGAAGATGGCACTGGCAAAGGCATGGGGGTCAAAATCACCTCCCAGGATGTCAATCACACGACCAGAATAGTGAGGGATTAATGTCTCACCTGAAAGAGGCATGAAAAATAACACAAGAATGTGCTGGTGCCCAGGCCCTTTTACCACCTCCAACTCACAACGTCCTCTCCTGACTCACCCAAAACAGCAAGGACAAGGAAGAAGAAGGCGGCAACGAGGAGAGGCAGGTCCGGCCTGGAGAGCTTCAGCAGCCTCCACATCAAGACTTTGTTGTTCACCTGGTCCTGCTCCTTCTCCTGGGCTCCAGGAGGGCTCAGAACAGCCCACAGTGACCAGCTGAGCCCCGCAGCCCCGTACCCCACCAGCAGCCAGCTCCAAGGGGCTGAAGCGACTCTGGCTGGGGGAGCACGTGAGGCCCCCGCGACCAGGGCTCTCAGGGAGACAGTCAGGGGGGTGGCCAGACAGAGCGGGAGCAGCAGTGTCCCCACAAATCCCAGCAGCCCTCTTAGCTTTAGCAGCCCCCACAGCCCTCCCAGCCGCAGGGTCCCCTCCAGCCATAGTCCTGGCAGCCCTTGAGGAAGCAAAGTCCCCAGAGGGCCCTGAAGCAGCCACAGTAAAGCCGCGTCCACCAGCAGCAGGGAGGTCCAGGGTCTCAGGTCAGGGAGCCGCATGGCTCTGTCAACGGATACGAGATGAGAAATCATGGGGGTGGAGTCCCAATCCTTGTCCCTGCCCTCCTACCCGCCCGGCTCCGCCTAACCCGTCCATCGGCTTCTCATTTTATCCTATTCAACCCTGAGAGCTCTCCTGAGTAACCGGTGCTCATCCGTACACCCCTCCTACGACAGACAGCTTTCGGCCTTCTGGGGAGCTGGAAGCATGACCATCAGGAGCCTCGTGCTTAAAAAAAAAAAAAAAAAATCCCCGGACCCCCACCCCCACCCCCGCCTGCCGCGGCGAGCTAAGTGGTCCGGGCTCCGCTCCCTCCTATCGCCGGGTGCAGAGGGACTGGGAAGCAGGAGCGTGGAGTGGGTAGTCACTTGGGCTGCGTCCCTGTTGGCGCTCCAGGTTCCCCTCCGCACCAACTCACCAGCCGCGGCGGGGAGACCGCAGCTCCGGGGACTTCTGCTTCAGCGCTGAGGTCCGCTCCGTCTCTCCCAACCTCGCTACCGGCTCTGGTCCGCCAGCTACGCTCGGCCAGGGCGGGCGTCAGGGCTCGGGCAGCTTTCGCTTTCGCTTCCCCAGCCAAGGCCTTCATTCTGGGCTGGGCCGCCGGGAGGGGGCGCGCGAGACCCGCAGACAGCGGAACTGGAGCCCGAACTCTGGTTCGCACTGTACAGGCCTGCAATGAGTCTCACTCGCCTTTAGTGGCGGTTACTCTGGGATATAAAACTGCAAAAATGTTTCTTTATCATTAAGTAAAATACAGTTGTCTCAAGGGCAACTTTATCTGTTGTCCTTGCTTTGTAATTGGAGAATGCTTTGTAATTGGAGAATCACTGAATTTTCTCAAAGTTACTACTTCAAGCTCTGAGCCTACTATTAAGAAGTGCCTTCTTTCTGGTCCGGCGCGGTGGCTCACGCCTGTAATCACAGCACTTTGGGAGGCCGAGGCGGGCGGATCGCCTGAGGTCAGGGGTTCGAGACCAGCCTGGCCAACATGGTGAAACCCTGTCTCTACTAAAAATACAAAAATTAGCCAGGGCGTGGTGGCGGACGCCTGTAATCCCAGCTACTCGGGAGGCTGAGGCAGGGGAATCGCTTGAACTCAGGAGGCAGAGGTTTCAGTGAGCCGAGATCGGGTCATTGCACTCCAGCCTGGGCGACAAGAGTGAGACTTCGTCTAAAAAAAAAAAAAGTGCCCTCTTCCATGCAAGCTCCAGTTTTAGGCGAGCGAGCCGGGCTCTCCTAAATAGAAGGTTCCAACCAATCTCACCAGGCCAAAGGGGATTTTCACGTACAGACTTTGAATTTAGTAGGCCCTGAGCGTTCATCTTCATCCGTCCTTCTCAGCCGGAGCACCTTGAGCTGGCGCGTGTTCAGGTGCCTCTGAGTCTGTACTCCAAATTATGTTGGGCGCACCTTCAGCCTATGAGGGAAATGCCCCGTACTGAGCTTTGGTTCTTGTTCTATTTTAACACTGTTTAGAACAGTAATTAGGTTTTTAAATATCCTTCCTGACCCAGAGCCTTCCTATGCAACAGAAAGATTCGTTTATTCCAGAAAGGACTCTTCAGATTGAAACCACCTCCCAAACTAAAAACAAACAAACAAACAAATTCCCCAAAGGAAGGGTCGCTTGGATTCCAGATCACCATTTTGAAATGTTACCTGTGTGACTACCAAGGAGTCACTTAAAGTTTAAAATAGTGGTGGTGGGGAGGAGGGATTTTAAGTAGGGGCTCGCTAAAGTTTTACAACTCTATTCATTCTGGCATTTTAAGAATCTCTCTCTAATGAAAAAAGCTCCATGCTCAAGCTCATGCTCCTACTTTCAAGCATTTGTTTCCTTTATTTTCTGGAAAGTGACATGGTCCATAGTTCCAGCATGATTCCGAAAATCTCATGATGTGTGTCTCTTTCTTCTAACCTGGATCTTTTACATTTTCCCCACACTCCTCACTTAGGGGAGTCCTCCTGATCTCTTCTTCCTCTAAAATTATAGTCCTGCCATCTTGCAATTCAGCATGACACATCATGAAATTAGACCCTTAATGTCTGTCTTTATATTCAATATCCAATATCTCCAAAGTGTTATTTGGGATAAATGGTATGGTGTTTATATGATTACCATATTAAAGTGAAGTGGAAGCTTTTTCATCCTACTCTATAAAGTCAAAAACAGTTATCCTAGGTGCCCTACTCCCTGTTCCTCAAACCATTAACAATGGAACACACAGGAGTCCCCAGGTGCCTCTCTATGGAAAGGACCCTAACCTATGTGAAATTGCAAACAAGTGTCCATGGACAGCAATGAGCAGCCTTCCTGAGGTCTTGGAGAGATGAGTGTGGAAGGAAACCCCAGGAAGAACTATGTGGTGAGGCCACATTTCTTAGATAGGGGTCTGAGCCCCTTCTCCAGAAAAAGCGTCTCTTTACTTTCTGCCCCACCCAACAACCACAGGCCCAACCCCATTCAGCCACAAGACAGAGGTATTTATAACCGTTTTTCTTTATTCTACTTAGTGGGGCACCCAGAAACTTCCCTGGGGGAAATGCTTGTTCAAATAGAGAACACGCAGAAGATGCACTTCACCGGCCTCCTCTGGCTGCTGAGCCCGTACTCTCTCTTTGGCTCAGGCTAGGCCTCTTCTTCTCCTTGGACTTAACGTGGCTTAGGTCCCTGAGTCGGCCAAGACCTCCCAGAGGAGACCTGCCCAGCTGCCACCACCACCATTATTGATTGGCTTCCCGGTACTGGTGCAGCAGGTCACTGACATCTGTACTTTCTACTTTCACCCAACCATCTTCCTTCATGTGGTACACTGTGGACAAATGAGAAAAGAACATGGAGTCACCTTTCACCTCAGCAAGTTCCTGTCACTGATGTTATGTTGAAGGCAGCAACAAGACACATGCGCAAGCTTAAAACCATATGACTGGGCCTTTAATGCCCTTCTTCTGACTCTGAAAATTTCCTCCCTACTACTCTCCCTCCTTTGAGTCTCTCAATCATTTTCTTTTTTTTCTTTTGAGAAGGAGTCTCACTCTGTGGCCCAGACTGGAATGCAGTGGCGCCATCTTGGCTCACTGCAAGCTCCACCTCCCAGGTTCAAGTGATTCTCCTGCCTCAGCCTCCCAAGTAGCTGGGACTACAGGCACCCGTCACCACGTCCGGCTAATTTTTGTAGTTTTAGTAGAGACGGGGTTTCGCCATGTTGGCCAGGCTGGTTTCTCAATCTTAAATCACCCCCCCCACCACCCGCCGACTCCTCCCAGGCATGGTGGTGGGAGCATTGGTCTCTTACTATTGACAACGCCTCCAGAATAGCTGTCTCTGTGAGTGGCATAAGCAATAGCCCTGCGGCCAAGGTCATAGGCCTCTTCAGGGCTAAGATTAGGCCGATAGCCACTGTCCATGACCCCGTAGGCATAAGTGTTCCCACTACCCGTGGAGAACATATTTCCTGAGAGCCGAGTCCCATGTTCATCCACGTAGTAGAGTCCAGGACCCTATAAGATGAAAGATTTCAGGCTGAAATTGGAGAGGAAGATGTTGGTAACATGGGGGTTCAAATATGAGACATAAAAAGTGAACAAAAGAATTAATATTACCACAAGAACATTGGAATTAGGAAACCACTTTGGTAAAGTCATCGAACTTTAGAAATGAAAAAGGAAAAACAAACTTGAAATCAACTGTTTAACAAAAGGGACAAGCTTACAAAACACATGCAATGATTCATATCTGGGCCAATAAATAGTCCATGGATATACTGAAACAGTTCTATAACCAAGCACTCTATATGCCATGCATCTTGTCAGGGAGGGAGTAGGAGTATATGATGGGAAACAGATCTGTCATCCATAGGGAACATGGTGGGGGAACATGAAGAATGGAGAGCACCCACCTTCTTATCCCAGCCACAGATCATACTGCCCATAGAGAGGCCCATGCCCCGGTACTGGCACATCATGTTGGACAGCAGCTTGGAGGCTGCCGACACTGAAATACGTTCTCCATTTCGCAGATAGTACAGCCTGGGTGAGGACAAGGTGGAGTGAGGAAAGAGAGGTTAGCTCTTTCCAACTTGATGGGGCAGGAAATGATTAAAGAGATAAGCATTGGAAAGGAATTATTTTGTAGGATCTAAAGATCAGAGAAAGATTTGGAATTTAAAGTATCTGAAACATACAAAGGCAGCCTAGTAAATGATACTGTCCCGCCAGGGTGGATGTGTCAGTGCTAAATACCTGACGTACTATCTGGCTTATGAGTGGAGCACAGGCTGAGATTTGGGAGAAGGGTCTTATCACCAAAAAGCTGTTTTGTGAAATATACTATTAGCACTAAGATGGACCACATAGGACAAGAGTAAGGAGCAATGATCTGAGAGATCCAGGGATTAACCACTAGGCTAAGAAAGGAAGATGAGAGGCCTCGCTTACCTGCATTCCTTGGCCAGCAGGCGCTCCCAGTACTGACAGTCTGCTGCACAGCCAGACATGGTGCCAAGCAGGTAAGGGTTAATCTCAATCACCTTGTTCACCCGTAAGGCACCTGGAAGAAGATGGAGCTTTGGGAGAGAAGGGATGACCCCATAGATCCCCCAGTGTGTCCTAAATCAATATCCACTTCCACTTTGTTGCAGAGTTGGCCTCCTGTGGAAAGGAGAGCCCAGCTCCCCAGATTCTGCCTGCTGGAGCGTATACACTCACTAATGTAGGACCCAGCTGAGGCCCGAGAATCCACTGCTGCAATCACTCCATGCTGGAACTTGAAGGCGAGCGTGGTGGTGCCATGGGCCATCTCAATCTGAACGTTCCTTTCTCCGTCCCCACCCAGGGACTGGAAGAATTCTGTGGGCTGATAAGAGAAAAGAGGTTGAGAAAGGCAATGAAAAATTCTGTAGTAAGAGGCTCCAGGAAAAGGTTTTAGGGAGTATGAGGGTGAGGAGATATGCAGAAATGATCTAACCATCAATAAATGAAACAGTTAATAACCAATCTCTAGAAGGAAATGGCTTGGGAGAAGGAAAAGAAGAGGCATGCCAGTATCAACCTTTTCCATTTTCCAGCACAACAGAAATGAAAGCAAGCACATGTTACCATTACTAAAAAATTTTGAGAGTGACTTAAAGGGTTTCTTCCATGCATAAAGCATTCAACCCTCACAAAACACGTTTAGTAACAGTATCCTCACTTTACAGAAGAGGGGCTTGGGACCTAGACTAAGTGACTTGTTCTAAGTCGCGCAACAGTGAGTTGCTGAGAGGAGGCCAGCAGGCAAATTTCATAGGTTTCCCAAGACACCACACACCTCCTATATCATGTGATAACCCCATGAAAAAGGCTCCACCATTTGTGTGTGGACAAGGGCAGGAAAGTTCTCTTGTCTTCCTTTGGGAGCCCCCACCTCACCTGTAACTCTTTGTCCTAACTTGCACTTCCTCCTCTCAGGCCCCATCCCCATGTGGCCTCTTCTTTGGGTCTGGCGCTCTCCGGGACTGAAGGCTACCCCCGACCCTGTACCCCGCGCTCCCGCTCTCGCCTCCTCCTCTCAGGCGACCCTCCACTCCTCAGCGCCCGCCTCCCTGCATCCCTAGGGGCTTCCCTACTGCCCCGACCTGCATTCCCCGGGGTAAAGCGAGCTCTGGAGATCGCATAGAGAAACTGTAGTGTCCTGGGTCCGAGCGACGCCCGCTTCCCGCAACCGGGAGAGCCGATTCCGGCCGCTGCCCTCGGGGGGCTCCGCATACATCTAGTAGCGCCATGACCGCCCAGCACCCAGAGATCTGTCCGCTCTCGGAGGAGGAAGTGAAAGCGAAAGCCACAGATCGAAGGGGAGGGAACAAGACTCTTTTCCACATCCCCCTGCCTTTTCCGAGAAAAGGACAGTTAGTGCCTGGACCAGGACCATCACACTGGGGACCGGCTTCTCTGCTCTCCCGTTATGGGGGTCGGGGGAATGATGGGTCAAGGGTCTTCCGAAGAAAGCGAGAAAGGAACAGGCGCCTTCAAAAGCCCACTTGGCGATGGGTTACAGTAAGAGGTACCTCCAGGCCCGGGCATCCGCTGGAAACAGGGGTGGGTAGGGTCGTGTCATCTAAAGGCGCAGCTTCAACCAGAAGACTAGAAGTCAGCCAGGAGCTGGGAGTAGTGTCACGCGGGGTGGGGGTTCCTATGAGCATCACTTTACAAAACCAGGAGGGACGGAAGTGCGAGGGGGCAGAGTCTTGGAAACAGGTCCTGGGCCAACTGCAACAGAATATACCCGCCGCGTGTAGGGGAAGGCGGCGCCAGGGAGAGGGCGCAGTCTCTGAATCTTTCCACGGGGTCCATCCTAGGGCCCCTCCAGGTTCAACGGTCTCCTAACCTGTAGTCACCCACAAGAGCGTGCCCTTTCTGCCCGCCCTTCCTAGCGTTGCTCCCTGCTTGGCTGAGCACTGCGGAGTTTCACGCCTCTAAACCCCGCCTCTTCTTGCAACCTGTGTTGGCCTCATCTACCCAGCAACTGTCGACGTCACACGACCTGGGCCTCCCTGAATGGGAGATATTTACTAGGCAATCCCGCCTACTGTTCTGAGGTTTCCCCTCCAGGTGCAGCTTCAGAGCCAGGCGAGCCAGGAAGGACCAGCGGGCGAGGTGGTGAGTTGTGAGGCGCGCCCAGTCCCTCTGTTCCCGCCTGGCACTTGCTCTGGCCGCGCCCGCCCCATCTGCCACTTCGGAGAGGCCACGGCTCTGAGCTGCGGCCGCTAGTGCCCTGATGGGCCCTGTGGCTGGGGTCTTGCACATTCTTGGGGGTGGGCCTAAGGGGATAGGGGAAGTGGAAGGGGCCTCATAGGAATTAAAAAGCTTAAGGGAAAAGGTGATGCAGTTAGGGGGTAAAACATTGAGGATGATAAAAGAGGAGACATCCGCAGCTGAAAAGTGCGCTGCAAAAGGCAGTGGGCCGTTTGGTGTGCCGGAAACATAAGAAACCACAGTACAAAACACCAATTTTATTATAAATATCAAGAACCTACAGGGTGTTTATGGGCCAGCATATGCCTTCAGTTATGTTGAAAATAGCTGATCATCTTTCCGTACATTCTGAACATTTCTCAGTTTCAGAGTGCTGGCCACACCAAAGCATCAGCCCTGGCTCTAAACTCCGTTACAGTAAGGAATTACAAATCCTGTGTTTGTACTCCAGGAAGTCTGCATTATCACGAGGAGCTTGGAAAGGAGGTAACACACTCAAGGCAAATTTCAAGTAACTCATCCTGGAGGCAGCTGCCTACTCTGCAGCTGTGGTTCTCCACCACAGAGAGAAGAAAAGGGAGGGAGATGGAGTGCGCAGGTCTGAGAAGGCTTTCATTCTGGAGCATCTGCAGGAGCCTGCACCATGGCCCAGTAGCACCCCTTTTTCTCCATGAGCTGCTGGTGGGTTCCCCCCTCCCGGATAGCGCCTCCTTCCAGAAAGAGGATGTGGTCAGCCTGCTCCACCAGGCTGAGGTGCTGGGTGATGAGAAGCACTGAGCGGGAGTACCGCTCAGGGCTTTCGTACAGGAGCTGCTCCACCTGAGGAAAGACATCGGACCGTCAGAGCCGGGGACTACCCTCAGCCCAGGGAGACACCTGTGTTTCCAGGGCTGGGACTGACCTCACAGGATCACTGCTGGCTCTGCTAACAACCCCAAGGACACCAACGTTTCCCATTCTGAGTACTTCTCCGCAAACCCTTTGTTTCATTAAGGACTGTTTTACATGAAGGGTGCAAAAGTAGGATAAAAATGAGAACCCTAGGGTGAAACACGTGACAGAAGAATAAAGACTATTGAATAGTCCTCTTCTCTACCCATGGACTTGGCATTTTTATATTCGATTTTAAGGAAATATAACTTAGTAGTAAAGAGATGAGCATTCAAGTCAGGCAGACCTGAATTTGGGTCAAGGCTGCGCCACTCAAAAGCTATATGACCTCTATATGAGCAGCTTATTCAACCTCTTTTAACCTCCATTTTGTCATCTGTAGAATGATGATAAATGCCTAGCTCAGAAGGATTCCTAATGAATAAATGAGTGACAGTGCATGTAAACAGACTAGCTTAATTAATATTAATATGATTAGGATGGGCTGGGCCCGGTGGCTCATGCCTATAATCCTAGCACTTTGGGAGGTCAAGGAGGGAGGATCACTTGGGCCCAGGAGTTCAAGGCCAGCCTGGGCAACATAGCGGGACGCTGTCTGTACAAAAAATAATTTTTTTAAATAAACGATATTATGAGGATGGTCTTTTCCTTATGTTTCGCTTTAGAAATTCAGTCTATAGGACTGGGCGCAGTGGCTCACACCTATAACCCCAGCCCTTTGGGAGGCTGAGGGGGGCAGATTACCTGAGCTCAGGAATTCAAGGCCAGCCTGGGCAACATGGTGAAACCCATCTCTACTAAAAATATAAAAGTCAACCAGGCATAGTGGTGTACACCTGTAGTCCCAGCTACTCGGGAGGCTGAGGGGAGAATCGCTTGAGCCCAGCAGGTTGAAGCTGCAGTGAGCCAAGATTGTGCCACTGCGCTCCAGCCTGGGCAACTGAGTGAGACACTGTCTTAAAAAAAAAAAAGGAAAGAAAGAAAGAAATTCAGTCTGTAGTTTGTAGATAGTCTCTTTTAACTGATTCTAGGTGTCTTTGCCTCGTCTTCTATCTCTACTCCTTGGGGAGGCATCCAATGGAACTGGATTTGGGAACTGAGAACTGCAAGGACTGGTTTGTATAATTATGATGTTAGTAAAACTAACAGAAGATGTATAAAAGAAGCAAGATTGGGTGGGATATAGCCATTAAGAAGATGACTGCCTCACCTGTAACTGGCTGTTTGCATCCAGGGCACTGGTGGCATCATCCAGGATAAGTACACACGGTTTCCGGATCAATGCTCGGGCCAACGCCACTGCCTGTCGCTGACCCCCTGACAGCTGGCTCCCAGCCTCGTCTACCTCTGCAGAGCAAAGGGCCAAGATGAGAACGGTATAGCCACATGTGTGCACGCATGTACATGCACACAGACACACTCATGCATTCACGCACTCACACACACCAAGATCTGACGGTTGTAGCTGGATAGGGGAGATTCTGGGAAGATGAACAGAATCCTGAGGATGTCAGGATGAAGAAGCCATAGGAGCATGATCTTACAACTTCAAATTGATGTCCATGAGTAAGGAGGAACTGAAGGATAAAGGCAAGACTACTGGGGTTTCAGCAAAGGTAAAGATGGCTGGGTGGTGAGATGAGTGGAGAGAGTACCTGTGTCATAGCCCTGAGGGAGTCCAGAGATGAAACTATGGGCCCCAGACTTTACTGCAGCAGCTGTGATTTCCTCCATAGTTGGCTTCTGGGTCAGGCCATAGGCAATATTTTCTTGAAGACTTCTTCCAAATACCTGTGGCTCTTGTCCCACTGCAGCCACCTGAGATGAAATATGATGAAGAGTCATAGAACAAGGCACATGGGAGTATGGTTATCTAGAGATCGAAGACTCAAAATCTTTATTGAGAACATGTCACAAAATCATACTACCTCCCTCCTGACTACACCACCATCTCCACCCAAGGTCTCTTATCATTCCCTAACCCCTCTTTCAGAGTGCTCAGTAAGAATGCTCTTCGTATTTGATGCTCCCTGCCCTCCTTCAAGCCACCTGCTTCCATACCTGCCTGTGCAGGTAGCGGTGCTCATATTGGGGAAGGGGCTTCCCATCCAACAGCAGCTGTCCCCCGGTGGGCTGGTACAGATTCTGCAGCAGGGCAGCCACTGTGCTCTTCCCAGACCCATTGGGTCCCACCAGCGCCGTCACCTCGCCAGGGCGTAGGGTGAATGTCAGCCCCTAGAGGCCAGAGAAGCACACGATAAGAGGCTACCAAGGCCTCTAACCTTGAGAGTGTCATTGCCTTGTTACATAGCATGATGTCTTACCCCAGAAGAAAAACAGGGAAATATAGAAACTCCTACCCTCCCACATGCACAGATTTCTGGGTGATGCCTCCCCAAGGAGTAGAGATAGAAGAAGCGGCAAAGACAAGGGCAGAGACCCAGCACCACTATGCCACACACTTGATGTCAGATACCACCAGGAAAGGGAAAAATCACATTCCAAATTACAAAGGAAAAGGAAAGATGGAAGACCGAAGACACAGATTTTGCTGCAGCAATTCCTTGGAACGTGAGAGCACTCTCTTCGAAACCTCTTCTCTCATTCTCTTTGGAAGCCCAAACTGGGTTCTTGAGTTTGGGGAAGATTTATGGAACAGATGATGCCTACCATTGCCTTTAAAGGGTTAGGGAGGATATATGCTTGGCAGTAAGCAGGCTGAAGGCAGGAAGAAAATTTAGGATGGCAGAATTGCAGTTGGGGCCAGTGGAATACAGGGAGTGGTAGGTTGTACCTGTAGCACTAAGACATCTGGGCGGTTTGGGTAGGCAAAGGAGACATCTTGGAACTGGACAAGGCCCTCCAAGTGTAAGGGAGTCAACAGACCACTGGGTGGGCAGCGAGGGGTGCGGTCCAGGTACTCAAATATTTTCTCTGAGGAGCCCACAGCCTTCTGTACTCTGGGGTAGATGGAGAGCAGTACCTAGAGGGAGGTAAGAATAGTGAAAGTGAGGTAGTCTGCTTGCCAGCATTATGTGAAGCAAGAAGGGTAAAGAATGGAAGGACATCACACAGATGGTGCTGGGCCAGAGGAAGGAATCACACTGGGGAGTGAAGGTGGAGGGACCTCACCTCCACAGCCTGGGTGAACTGCATCTGGTAGAGAACAAATGTGACAAGGTTCCCACTGCTTACAGCCCCACTGGTCACCAGCTGCCCACCAATGTAGAGGATTCCCACTTTCAGCAGCATACCTGAAATCTATAAAGAGACCACAAAAAAAGGGACTGAGGTAGAGAAATCTGGAGGGGACACAAAGAACCGCAGTCATTAACCTGAAGGAAATATCAAGTCCCTGTCTCCTAAGTGACATCGGCAGGCTCAATAGGCAGACAGGAGAATGAACCAGAGACCCCATGGAGTCTGACTCAATGCACATCATGCAAGTCACAGTTATCTTCACCACCATCACCACTATCACCTTGTCTGGGGAGCATTTTACTCTTCACAAAAGGCTTTCATTCATGTGATGTCAGCTAATACATGAAGAGCCTTATAAAGAAGGTTATATCACTCCATTTTTGAAAAATGAGGAAACAACCAGTCGGGCGCAGTGGCTCATGCCTGCAATTCCAGCACTTTGGGAGGCCGAAGTGGGCGGATCACAAGGTCAGGAGATTGAGACCATCCTGGCTAACACGGAGAAACCTCGTCTCTACTAAAAATACAAAAAAAAAAAAAAAATTAGCCGGGCGTGGTGGCGGGTGCCTGTAGTCCCAGCTACTCAGGAGGCTGAGGCGGGAGAACGGCGTGAACCCGGGAGGCGGAGCTTGCAGTGAGCCCAGATCGCGCCACTGCACTCCAGCCTGGGCGACAAAGCGAGACTCCAGCTCAAAAATAATAATAATAAGTAAAAATAAACAAACAAACAAACAAATAAATAAATAAAGAGGAAACAGTCTCAGAGAAGGTAAATTTGTTGTCATGATCACAAGACAAGTAAATTGCATCATCAAGCCAGGATCTTCGGATCACTGGCGTAGCTCTCTTTCCAGTGCATCACAGATGTCCCTCATCCCTGGCTTCCACTATTCCCATCACTCTCACTAACAAATCTACAAGGTACCAGCATGAAGCAGTCCCAGGTGCAAGAATTTATGGCGCCCTGCACTTCCCCTGAGAGGCAAAGGAAGGCCCTAGGACTGGAAGACACGCATCTCTCCAATCCACATGGTTGGGTGGATTTTATGTACCATACTGAAAGGAAGCCACCTAGCATCTTTAAAGAGAGGGAGGGGGCTAGGGACACTGAGTAGAGTCATTGAGCCTCAGGTTGCTAGGACGAAAATACTGAACCAACCATTTCCCAGTAAAGGAGGAGTGGGAGCAGGGTCATAGGAATGGGAATGGAGTCACGGCATCTTAAGGACAAGGGAATGGGTATTCATCTTCAGGTGCTCACACTAGTGGTCCAGGAGTTGACTGCATAGGCCACAGCCTCCTTCTGGTTGAGTGTCTTTATTTCTTGCAGCTTTTCCCTAAACTTCTGGGCTTCGCCCTCCTCGTTGGCAAAGCTTCGAACTGTAGGCATGGCCGACAGAGCCTCAATGGCCACCTGGCTGGACTTTGCCAGAGATTCCCGCACCTGCACTTCCAGCAACTGTGGATACATGGACAAGAGATGTCACACGGGTTGGCAAACCATCAGGGACACTAATACCTGAGTTACCTATTTGGAAATTAAAGGTGAGAAGAGACAGAGGAAAAGGAGAAAAGAGAAAGAGACACAGCTATGCCCCTTGGATGCTAAAGAAATACGAGGAAGAGGAAAATGACTCAGAACGGGTTGGGGATCAAATTCTTAAAGACAGATTGTGGGGAGAAGCTAGAAAAGAAGACCCAGAGAGTATGGAGGTTAATGTTGAGCAACCTGGGAACATGGACCACAGGGACAGGGTGTTCCATGAAGATGGAGAATCAGTAAGGGTGCCAGGAAAGCTGGACTGAAAGCAATGTGAGAGGAACTGAGTCTGCCAAGTCTGGAAGATGAGGGTCTGTGTAGAGCGGGCCAACTCCATGAACATACCTGGTACCATTTTCCCACCTTCTTGGGCAGAAGGAAAAGCAGAGGCAGGGTGATCAGGGTGACCATGGTGAGGGACACTGATCCCCAGAGCATGATCCCCAAGAGACATAGGCCTCGCACCAGGTACCACAGAAATAAGCTCAGATTCTCACTCAGAGAATCACTCAGGGTGGACGTGTCCTCTGTTACCCGAGACATGATGTTACCTGCAGGGTTGGGGAGAAGAGAGTGAGGTGAATCAGACAGGTTCCAAGTGATGAGACGAACTAACAATGAGCCAGGATGCCAGGGTCAGGGGTGTCAACATGGGGTTCTAAGGAGGCTGCAGGAAACAAGGTTAGGGTTCTCCAGAGGTCTGCAAATCTCAGTGCAGGGAAGATGAGTGTTAAAGAGGAAAGGCCTGACCTTCATTTTAATTATAAAGTCATTAATGCACATGTGAATTTCCATTTTCCTGAAAGCTTTCTGTTCCCTAGAGAACCTGTATGTCCCATGCTATACACACAGGCAGGAAGAGCTTAAACTGGTCACATAACAGAGATGGAGGAGGAGGGTGCTGCTAGGAAGCATGCCAAAGTCTGTGGAGCACTCACTGGGACTAGGGTTCTAACCCCAGGTCTATCTCTAGCCATATGTAACTGTACAGCTTCTAGTGCTGCTAGAAAGCATGCCGAAGTCTGTGGAGCACTCAAGAGACCAGGGTTCTAACCCCAAGTGTGTCTCTAGCCATATGTAACTGTGCAGTTTCAGCATTTAGGGTCTTGGCCTCAGTTTCCTTCTCTGTCAGATGAGGCAGTTGGTCTCTATGAGCTCAAAATTTCCAGGTTTGAAATTCTATGGTTTCTATCTAAGGATACATAGGAATAGATTTATAAGAAAATGCTAGATGAAAACTCTAGGTTTTTCTTAAGGTAAGGAGGACAATATTTTGCTCCTGAGGTATATCAAGAATGAGAAAAACAATTGTGTGTGTGTGTGTGTGAGAGAGAGAGAGAGAGAGACAGAGACAGAGAGAGAGAGACAGGGAGAGGGTATATCAAGAATGAGAAGGAACAATGTGTGTATGTGTGTGTGAGAGAGAGAGAGCGGGGAGGGGGGAGATCAAAGCAGATGTATGAGGATATGAACAGTACATGGCGTATAATGAAAGAGTTTCAGGAGAAACCTGTCTGGTTCTGTTGGAAAAACTCCGTCTCCTGGCGCAGGACAGCCCCAAACACCTCTCCCTGCAAGTGGCTGTGCACGTGGCCCATGGTGTTGTTATAGATCCCGTCACCCACGAACTCCAGCACTGCACTATAAAGAACCCGGAAAAAAAGGGGATCAGGGTGTGTTCAGGGAACAGACTGAAGGTCCCAGGTATCCCCATATAAGTGCATTTCGGACAGCAGCCCCAACTTCCAACTCCCTCATTTGCAGGGTGCCCCATTTTCAGCCCCCAGACCTGGCTATGGTGAGAATGGACATGAGAGTTAAGTTTCGAGTGAAGGTATCGGCTGAGCCATCTTGTAGAATCCAGTCAGTGAGGCGGCCCGTAAAGAATGGAATGGCCATCTCCCCTGGAGAAAGAGAAGAGAGGTCACGCACAAATATTAAGTCTAAGTAGGTCAGTTCCAGTCAGACTGGCCCCACCACGCCTCCTCCCCCTCACCATTATCCTGGAGGGCATCAGCAGAAAGGAAACACTGACGTCTCAATCCCGAACCTAAATAGGCTGCCCTGGAACTCACTACCCTGTGGTTGCTCTACCAGAACTTTCAGGATTTTATTAGGAAGGCTGGAGATCATGAAGTAGAAAAGCCTCCTGTTAGAGATGAGGATGCCCCGCCCTTCGGCCCCAGAGCAAAGGATTTCCCCGCTTCCGGCGTGGCCCAAAGAATCAAGACCCGGTCAGCAATGGAGCCCAGAACCTCTGGCCCCCGCCAGTCCAGTGCCGTTTCTTCTACACCGAAGTGGTGTTCCAAGACCCACGCTAGGAGTCCTTCTCCTGCTCCACATTTCCCAGAACCCACGCTACTCTACCTTACTGACAATTACCTTTGATTCCTGTCCCAGTCCCCTTGTGTCCTCCCCTCTTGCCCTGCGTTCCCCTTACCAAGAGAGGAGAGGACCACCAGGACCAGGAACAGCGAGAGGCGGCGCGTCTCCGAGCCCAGGCAGCCTAGAAGCCGACGCACAGGGTTTCCAGAGCCGCCCTGACCGCCGGGCACCCAGAGGCTCCCGAGTTTGTGCCACAGGGCTGCTGCGGGCAGTGCCGCTGCATAACTGACAACGAAGGCGGTAGGGTGACTTCCCCAGTGCAGTAGCCTGGTGCTATCCGCGGACCCGGGGGCTCCCCATGAGATCAGCTCTCGGAACAAGGCAAGTCCCGGCAGGGCCAAGCCCAGTGCCGCAGCTAATGGCTTCAAAGCAGCCAGCCAGCCCTGGGCACCTGCGTTTTCGCTCTTGGAGCCAACCGTTGCCCTGAGGACCCCGCAGGCCCCCAGCCAGAGCACGGCCCAGCGGCTCAGGCCCACCGCCCAGACCCGGAGCAGTGGCAGCGCGGTGGGCACCAGCAGGGAGAATATGCGGGGCAGCGCGGTCCGGAGCAGCACCCAGTCGGCGAGAAGTAGCAGTACTGTCCCCAGCCATGCGAGAGAAGCTCCGGGGAGGCAGCGGCACCCGCGGGGAGCGGGACACCTAGAGCTAGCCATTGGCACTCGGACGCCGTCCCGGTCCCGGCCGGGCCTGGGACTCTCCGCGCCCCGGTGGGGCCTGAAGCTCCGGGTACCGCCGAGTCCTCCCCTACTGGCGGCTGGGGGAGGGAACGAGGGCGGGGCTCTCGGAAAGTCCCAGGAACAGGCTGATCCTGCGCTGGCGAGAAGCTCAGCCATTTAGGGGAAAGCGAAATCGAAAGCGGCCGCCTGCTCACTAGATAACGCCTACTTCCAAAAGTGGCCTGCCCAGACTATTTTGGTAGCAAGCGTGGAAATCAGATCTGAGAATCTCGGGAGCAGCCCTGGTGCCCAATTTTCTCCATCACGCACACCCTTCTCGCCTCTCCCTGCCTCCTGCCTTTCCACTTGCACCAGTTTTCCCACCCCAGCCTCAGGGCGGGGCTGCCTCGTCACTTGTCTCGGGGCAGATCTGCCCTACACACGTTAGCGCCGCGCGCAAAGCAGCCCCGCAGCACCCAGGCGCCTCCTGGCGGCGCCGCGAAGGGGCGGGGCTGTCGGCTGCGCGTTGTGCGCTGTCCCAGGTTGGAAACCAGTGCCCCAGGCGGCGAGGAGAGCGGTGCCTTGCAGGGATGCTGCGGGCGGGAGCACCAACCGGGGACTTACCCCGGGCGGGAGAAGTCCACACCGGGGTAATGGGTCTGGGCTTGAGGGTTGGCAGAGGGGTGGAGGAGATGCAGCGGCCAGGGGACCCTGGAAGCGCGCGCGGAGAAGTGAATGCAGAGACCAACGGGAGCGCAGGGAGGTCGCCTGTAGCAGCCAGCGCTTGCAACCCGCAATGAGCATAGAGTATTTCTTTTCTGAGGGGGGTCGTCTAGAGTGTCCGTGAAGGGAACAGGCACGCGAGGCTGGTGGAAAAAGCGGGTGCTTTGACTCTTAGCTGGAAGCGTCAACGGGAAGCTACTCTAAAGCGCTTTCGCTTTCACTCTGGTCCCGGACAGTGGGGGCTGGTTAAATCAAGAAAGGGGGTTGGGGATGGTGCAAAGAGATGAGGAAATGGTGCCCTGGGTGAAGTAGAACAGCACTTGGGAGAAGGAAATATAGGCACTTATTGAGAAGGACCAACTCATCACACAGACTTTTGATAAACTTGCCACTGGGCAACTCTTAGCCCAAGCACTGATAATGGGCGTTCTGTGTTAACTAGTGATGCCCTTCCCTAGCTTGACCCAGGAAGGCCTCTCCTTGGCCCAGATGCTGCCTTACTCCCTTCCCTGTGTCTTCCCTGCCCACTCCCATGTGCCCACTGGGGGGACTTTGCTTAGGATGGGCGCCTGGGGCAGATGGCAGCCCCAAGACTGGCTGGCTGGCTTCTGCTCTGGACTACTGCCACCACTCGTGGCTTGGGGGCGGCTTTGTTAGAGAGGAATAGCCTCTAACTTGAAGTTAACCCTGTTCTTTGACCCTCTATTCATGATAAGTCGGTCCGTCGGAAAGCATACTCAGAGGAGCGTCCTTTGGGGCCAGAGTAACTTACGGCCTGGTAAGAAAGACACAGTGAAACCACTTATAATTTGGGAAATCTCCCCTCACTGCCAAATGAGCAGTGGCAAGTAGGAAGTAGAAGTGGAAACAAGGGATAAGAGTTAGACCTGAATTTTAGTCCCAGGTCTACTATTAACTCTGTGTGACTTTGCATAAGTCGTTTGCATTTTCTGTGACTTGGTTTCCTCATTTGAACCGAGGATCTTTAAGGCTCCTTCCAACTCAATAGTAGAATAAATGTAGCTTTATCTTCCCTCACTTCTTCTTGATTCTTTTCTTGACCTGGAAAAGTCAGCTTAAACTTCTCAGTCAAATTATCTCTTGGTACAAATTTACCTCCCTGGCTGCTGAGATATGTATTTACCTCTTGATCGGAAATTCCATAACTGAAACTTTTATTTTCAACCATCTGTATGTGTTCCTTGCTGCTTCTCTCCTGCCTTGCCCCTGGCCATGCTAACCACTGCCCTCCTCGATTTTTTCCAATGTTCAGTAAATTGGAAGAGCTCACTTCTGATGAAATGGGGGGTGAGAGTGGAGGATTGTGGACCAAAAAAAAAAAAATAGACTGACCTTGTTTCCCAAGATCATAGTCAATTACTCTGTGTTGGGTCTACACCACATCTGCACATACTATGAGCCCTTCCGTTGGAGATAATTTTCACTTGCGGAGCTGCTTCACTTCTACCTGTAGGAGCCTCATCTCCACCTCTCTACAGTGGAGAGGATTCCACTAGGCAAGTTGGAACTTAGGGACACAGTTCTTTCTGTGTTGTATCACAGCTGGGCTGTGGCATTCCCCTGCAGCCGGATGAAGCAATAGAGAAAGTGGAAAGATGAAGGGAAAAAAAGCCTGTACTGACAGTCAGCTCTGGCCTGTTACTGTGTAATCTTTGAGCCAGTCACTTCGCCTCTCTGGGAATGTTTCTTCTTCTCTAACATGAGGGCATCAAGGCTGTTCTTGCCCTGACATTCCATATTCTGTGTCTCTGCAGACCACCATCATGGCAGTGGAGTTTGACGGGGGCGTTGTGATGGGTTCTGATTCCCGAGTGTCTGCAGGGTGAGTAAAAGTGAAGATGTATGCATTTGGAAAGAAGCTAATGGCCTCAAATACACACTTTCCTTACCCATTCATGAAAAGACTGGCAAACTGGAGCCTTGGAGGAATGGAGTTGACCTTCCCCAAAAGCCACTATGATAAGCTATTTGGTGGGTGCTTGGGTCTCTGAATTTGTGGAGGAGGATCTGGGGTCTGAATGTGTATGTGACCTGTCCCAGTAGTGTACAGGGATGAGTAAAGGAATAGGGTCTGAGAGGGGGACAGGAGATAGATTTTTGAGGGTCTTCTTTCCATCTGTGCTTAGGGATCAAAAAGATGATTCTGTCAAGCAGATACCTGGTTTCTCATTTACCATATATTGAACTATTTTGTCTCTTCTCCCACTCCTAACCAATTTCCTCACATGCAAAATGAGTATATGGGGTTAGGTCAATATTACTGACATTATGTTCCATAGAACATAACTCTCTCAAGATTGTTAATAGCAAAGAAAATTGATGAGGCATATTTTTCTTACCTTAGCATTTTTTGCTTTGTTATAAAATCTAAGCCTGAAAAATAAGCCTAATTTTGATTAACATCTGCAGTGATTAATAATATCTGAGATGATTATTTGCCTCCTGCTTTAATCCAAGCATTAAACTTCATGCTATTCTCTTGTCAAAGAAATTTGAGAGACATTGAATGATCACCCTCAAAAATTCCTGAGTTCTGGTTGGGTGCAGTGGCTCACATCTATAATCTCAGCACTTTGGGATGCCGAGGTGGGCAGATATTTGAGGTCAGGAGTTTGAGACCAGCCTGGCCAACATGTTGGGACCTTGTCTCTACTGAAAATACAAACATTAGCTGGGCTTGGTGGTGGGTGCCTGTAATCCCAGCTATTCGGGAGGCTGAGGCAGGAGAATCACTTGAACCAGGGAGGCGAAGTTTGCAGTGAGCCCAAGATTGATCCACTGCACTCCAGCCTGGGTGACAGAGTGAGACTGTCTCAAAAAAAAAAAAAAAAAAAAAAACCTGAGTTTTAACTTGGTGACTGTTGACTCCCTCCTGACAGCGAGGCGGTGGTGAACCGAGTGTTTGACAAGCTGTCCCCGCTGCACGAGCGCATCTACTGTGCACTCTCTGGTTCAGCTGCTGATGCCCAAGCCGTGGCCGACATGGCCGCCTACCAGCTGGAGCTCCATGGGTATGAAGCTCTGGAGTTCTGACTCCCCACCCACTAGAGCTCCCCCAACCTGCATGAATCCCTGTACAGTGTGCTGTTCCAGGAGCTGGACACTGGGAAATGGAAAAGTCTTGTTTCGGCTCTTGCTGGCACTTGAATCTGTCAGTTTCTGCATCTGTAAAGTGGAGATAATATAGTACCTCATGAGACGGTTATTTTGAGAACCACATTCTATATGTGAACACAGTTTAAAAGCTGTAAATCACTATCCTGATATAAATAATCAGGAAGAAGGTGATATTGTGACCCACCATAATATCAGGCAGTTACCATACGAGAAATCAAGGTCGTTGGGACGGAAGTAACCTTATCTGCTTTTCCCCATAAGAGCAGGGTCCTTGCAGCCAAAAGAAAGTTATGTGGGTGGGGCTGAGCAAAAGAGTGAGCAATTGAAAGCTTCTTACCAGTTGGTGGTGTGGGACTCTGGTTCCCCTGTACATGTGGGAGGGAGGCTGCAGTTTGAGCTATTGCAGTTACAGTTTTCAGGGGTCGTTTAGCAGGGATGATGGTAACAGTATAGGAGAATGAGACTTAAAATTCTATCAACCTTTATTCCTAATATTTCCCTCAGGATAGAACTGGAGGAACCTCCACTTGTTTTGGCTGCTGCAAATGTGGTGAGAAATATCAGCTATAAATATCGAGAGGACTTGTCTGCACATCTCATGGTAGCTGGCTGGGACCAACGTGAAGGAGGTCAGGTGAGTTTCTCCCAAAGCACTCTCTCCTCTGGGCTTCCCCACTCTCCTGCAGAGGAAGATGGAAGTCCTATGTCATTCTAGCAATGAGTTCCAAGGACACTACCTCTGAAAGCATAGTACTTTGGGGATATGAGATACCAGGGCTTCATTGCAGGGTGCAGAGACCACTTAATGTCTCAGTGGGAAGGAAGGGCTTGATGATTCTTTAACCTGAGGATCCCTTTCCCAGGTATATGGAACCCTGGGAGGAATGCTGACTCGACAGCCTTTTGCCATTGGTGGCTCCGGCAGCACCTTTATCTATGGTTATGTGGATGCAGCATATAAGCCAGGCATGTCTCCCGAGGAGTGCAGGCGCTTCACCACAGACGGTAACCAGCCAAGTGGAAGGGTACCTGGGGAGGGCTTTGAAACATGGGAAGGAAGTAGATTATGAGGAACAGGAAGAGAAATACAGGGGTGGCCATTTAAGTTAATGCCGGGCCTGGTACACTTTTAAGAGTGAAAAGGGGCAGGACAAATGCAAAGCTCAATGGGGTTCTTGGGCAATACGGATAAACCAGGGCTGTTCTGAGTAAATCAAATGAGGATACACAGTCACTGTGAGAACCAGTGGTGTGCTAAGCACAGTGGCTCACACCTGTAATGCCAACAATTTGGGAGGCTGAGGCAGGAGGATTACTTGAGCCCAGGAGTTTGAGGCCAGCCTAGGCAAGATGGTGAAACCCTGTCTCCACAAAAAACAATAAAAAAAAGTAAAAAAAAAAATGAACTGGGCATAGTGGTGCACACCTGTAGTCCCAGCTACTCAGGAGGCTGAGGTGGAAAGATCATCTGAGCCGGGGAGATCAAGGCTGTAGTGAGCGGTGATTGCACCACTGCGCTGCAGCCTAGGTGACAGAGAGAGACCCTGTCTGGAGAAAAAAAAAAAAAAAAAGAACCAGTGGTGTGCTGAGGTGTGCTGAGGCTGGCTTGGGACCACTCATGAGAGCGGACTGTTAAATAGTCAAGGATTTGTGAACTGCTTAGCTATTTGTAACTTGCAATTCATCATAGCGGGAGCATTTACACCACGGACATCAGCAGATGCCACATATGGAAGCCTTTTTGTAAAAAAACTGATTTACCAGCACACCACTAAATATGCCTTCCTGGAAGATGAGTTTTGAGGTGAAAGTGGTAGTAGGCATATGGATGGAGGGGGAGTAAAAAGATTTTTGAAGCTAAGCCATCCTCTCTCTCCCTCTCTCCAACTTGAAACCCTCTGCAGCTATTGCTCTGGCCATGAGCCGGGATGGCTCAAGCGGGGGTGTCATCTACCTGGTCACTATTACAGCTGCCGGTGTGGACCATCGAGTCATCTTGGGCAATGAACTGCCAAAATTCTATGATGAGTGAACCTTCCCCAGACTTCTCTTTCTTATTTTGTAATAAACTCTCTAGGGCCAAAACCTATGGTATGGTCATTGGGAAATGAGTGCTCAGGGAGATGGAGCTTAGGGGAGGTGGGTGCTTCCCTCCTAGATGTCAGCATACACTCTTTCTTCTTTTGTCCCAGGTCTAAAACATCTTTCCTAGAGAAAACAAAAGGGACTAAACTAGAAATATAAAGAGCCCTATACATGACAGGTGATCACGTACTGAATGATTTTGAAGTAGTACAAACAATAAAAATTCTCATTCCGCATCATCATGCGGTCCATGATGATGAGGCCGCAAGTGAGGTGATGGGACTCTTTCCTTTAAGGCTAAGACTGACAGATAGGCAAGACACCTACACACATGAGAATTAGCTAAGACTATCAGCAAACTCGCATGTAAAAGAATTCCTTTCATAATGCATTCATTCATATTAAAGGGCAATACATGAAAAATGCTTAAATATTTTGGGGCACTTGTGAATTTCAAAGAATAATGACAATAACCAAAAGAAGCTACATTTGTGGCATTGGCTAAATGTTTTATAAATTTTATCTCTTAAAATTCAAACCAAAAAACCCCCTGTATTCACACCTGTAATCCCAGCACTTTGGGAGGTCAAGGCGGGAGGATTGCTTGAGCCCAGGAGTTAGTGACCAGCCTGGGCAACATAGTGAGAACCCCATCTCTACAAAAAAATTTAAAAATTAGTCGGGTGCGGTGGTGCATGCCTGTAGTCCCAGCTGCCTGGGAGGCTGAGTGGGAGGATCGCTTAGGCCTGGGAGTTTGAGGCTACAGTGAGCTGTGATTGCGCCACTGCACTCTAGCGTGGGTGACAGAGAAAGACCCTATCTTAAGAAAAAAAAAAGAAAAGAAAAAGAAAAAACAAACAAAAAAAACACCCAACCCTATATAGGTATTATTATTACTTCTATAGGACACATAGAGGTTTGGAAAGATTAAATCACTTGACCAAGGTCACAAAATAAGTTCTGAGGCTGGGATCTGGGATTCAGTCTTATTATATGCCCTTCCTCTACCACTCCCTAAAACTTCTCATTCCCTCAATCCCCATATATCATCTTAAAATCTGCAATAAATAGCCCCATACATTCGTTGGCACTTAGGAAACTGTTACCAGATGGCTGAGTAACTGTATTAAAACAAATTTAATTCTGCTTCTATCTTTGCCTTGCACTTCCTGAGTGACAGGAGTGAACTCTCATATCCTTTTCTGTCAAAAGATGGTGCTGAATGATTTCTAAGGTAGTTTACAGTTCCAACATTCAATGCCATTTTGCTAACAAGTGGGCAGTCAACAGGCATATTCAACAGAAATACTAGTAGGATCTCAGGCTAAACATACGAATTCAAAACTCTAAAACAATCACATCCCCCTGGAGTGTAAAGAAAAAAATCTAAAATTACAAATGCCTGGAGTTGTTTCTAGCCATGATATTTAACTTATTTGAGATTTTAAATAGCCCATTTTTCCCACTGATCACAAGTAGAAATTCTGGGCAGTATACAAAAAGCAAGTACTCAAGGACTCCAAAAAGTAAACAAAAGCAGGTGGATTGTGAAGAGGGTCAAAACTGGGAGAGGGGCCCCTCCTGGGGAGTGGGTTTTCAATGTTTTCCCCTTTTTTCCTCCCAGCTCTGCCCTGACGTCAGGCCTCAGGTGCAGAGCTGCACTGCGTGGTAGCACAAGCCCTGAGTTAACAAGAGAAATACCGGCTTTCTGGCCAGAGGAATGAAGAAAAAGGGCCCCTGCGGGCAGGAATGTGTAGGGGAATCTCCAAACTGAGAGTACAGGCGGAAATTCCCTAATTCTGAGTCTGAACCCTCAGGAGTACCAGGTTACCCCTGAGCTGCACATGCGTGTGACATGCCTTAAGGGCACAGCAAAGACTTTGAGAACTGAATGAAGATTAGATCTTTTAAAATTGGAAGACTTCGGCCAGGCGCGGTGGCTCGTGCCTGTAATTCCAGCACTTTGGGAGGCCAAGGCGGGTGGTTCACCTGAGGTCAGGAGTTCGTGACCAGTCTGGCCAACATGGTGAAACCTCATCTCTACTTAAAATACAAAAATTAGCTGGGCATGGTGCCTGTAATCCCAGCTACTCGGGAGGCTGAGGCAGGGAGAATCGCTTGAACCCGGGAGGCAAAGGTGGCAGTGAGCCAAGATTGCGCCATTGCACTCCACCTGGACGACAAGAGAGAAATTCCATCTCAAAAAAAAAAAAAAAAAAAAAATTAGAAGACTTCATTTTTCTGTATTGGCCAAATAACTGTTCTAATGCCCTTCATTCCAATAAAAGGTTTGTAGCAGCTTACAGAGATAATTTAAAACAATTTTTAAAAGAAGAAAACAACACTGGGTCAGAGAGAAAATATGGTTAAGAAAAGTAAGTGAAGCCAAGGAGTGAAACTAATGGAAACTAATGGACAACGTGAATATCTTAAAAAAAAAAAAAAGTGGTGCGCTGTCTTATACTGGCTAGCAAGAGCAGATTGCAAAGTATTCAGGATTTTTGAAGACAGTTGTTAACTATTGGTAACTTGATATTGACCACTATGGAAGTATTTATACTATAGAAATCAGCAATGCTACAAGTCAGAAGCATTGTTTTTCTTCAGAGAGCCGGTTTAACAGGACACATATTTATCAGCCAACTATAAATGGATAAAAAATAATTGGCTCCAGGCCATAGGATAGTGAAAGCAAAGAAGGAAATAAAATGAGGTACAAGATTCATAAAATTCATTTTTTAAAAGTTGCCAGAAAACCAAAAATTATATATAATAGTTCAAGCCACACAGAACATTTACTCAAATAGGACATGCATCATTCCATAAAGGTAACGCCAATAAATTCCAGAGTATCGGTATCTTAGAAACTATCTATATTCTAGGCCAGGAGCAGTGGCTCATGCCTGTAATCCCAACATTTTGGGAGGTCAAGGTGGGCAGATCCCTAGAGCCCAGGAGTTTGAGACCAGCCTGGGCAACATGGCAAAACCCCGTCTCTACAAAAAATTTAGCTGGATGGGGTGCACCTGTAATCCCAACTAGTCAGAAGGCTAGACGGGAGGATCGCTTGAACCCAGGAGGCAGAGGTTGCAGTGAGCTGAGATTGTGCCACTGCCCTCCAGCCTGGGCAACAGAGTAAGACACTGTCTTAAAAAAAAAAAAAAAAAAAAGAAAAAGAAAGAAAGAAACTATATTCTGCAACCATGCTGTAATAAAATTAGAACTTGATAACTAAAATATACTTAAAATTGTAAGTGAACAAATATATTTATCAGTAACATGGATTTAAAAGGCAGTCGTGGATGGGAGCATCGCTGGAGTCCAGAAGATGGAGGCTGCAGTGAGGCATGATTGCGTCACTGCACTCCAGCCTCAGCAATAGAGTGGGACCCTGTGTCAAATAAATAAACAGCAGTTATAAAGAAAATTAACTCTTTTAGAACCAGGTGTTAAAAATGTTACACATAAAATATACATATAAAATAATATTATAATTTCAAATACATTTATTAGAACAAGAAAAGTTAAAATAAAGGACCTAGAAATTCTACTCAAAAATTTGGAAAAAGAGAAGTTGAGCAAACCTAAAGAAATACGAAGAAAAGGAGTTATAAAGATAAGAATAGAAAGCAATGAAACAGAAATAGAGAACAAAAAACTAGGTAGTGAAAATTAACATACTTTTGATTCCAAAAGCTGCTTACTTAAAAATATTTGTAAGATATTCAGAGTTACAACAAGGCCGATTATGGATAAAGGGAGAAAAAATGAATAAACAAATACATAATGAAAAAGGGGGAACAGCTACAGATATGACACAGATATAAAGCATAGAGTGTTATGAACAAGTATATGCTAATAAATTTGAAAACCTAGGTGAGATAAGCAAATTCCTAGAAACATTTAATCTATCAAAATTAGCACAAAAAGAAATACAAAACTTGACTATACCAATGAGTATTAAAGCAATTTTTAAAGTTATCAATGGCATCTAATAAAAAAATATATTTTTGAAAATGCCCAGATGGTTTCACAGATGAGTTCTATCAAACATTCAAGGAACATGAAACTTCTATATTATATACTTTTTCCAGAAAACAGAAAAAAACTAAACCTGATTAGCTAATTTTATCAGCCGAGTGTAATCTTGACTCCAAATTGAGTTGTGGAAAACTCAAGGAAAAAAAAATAATAGACCCATTTCACCTTGAACACAGATGGGAGAAAAAAATAATTATTTATGAACCGAATTCAACAATATTACAAATAATAATACTGGGAGGCCGAGGTGGGAGGATCGCCTGAGGCCAGGAGTTCAAGACCAGCATTGTCAACATACTGAGATCCTGTGAGATCCTGTCTCTACAAAAAATTAAAAAATTAGCCAGGTGTGATGGTGAGCACCTGTAGTCTCAGCTACTAGGGAGGCTGAGGCAGGAAGATCATTTGAGCCCAGGAGTTTGAGGCTGCAGTAAGCTATGATTGCACCACTGCATTTCGGCCTGTGCAACAGAGCAAGGCCCTGTCTCTAAAAATATGTATAATAATAACAATAATAATAATGATTATGCTAATAATGATACATCAAGATCAAATAGGGAATCCTTGGAATACTAGGGTGGTTCAATATAATAAAACATATTGTTGCTATAATTTACCATATTCATAGAAAAGTCATTTCCTTTGCTCAGTCTATTAATAAAAGACATTTGGTAAAGTATATCCATTTGTGATTTTTGAAAAACAGTTAAGGAAGCAGGAATCAAAACTTTCCTATTTTGGCAAAGGTTATAATCCAAAAAATCTGTAACCACTAGTATACATAACGGAAAAACCTTGGGTATCCAAGACAAGAATGTTCACTATAATTACTAGCTTATCATAGCACTAAAGCCTATGGGCAACATAACAAGACCCCATTTACCAAAAATAAATTTAAAACATTTTAATTAGCTGGCATGGTGGCATGCACCTGTAGTCCTACCTACTTGGGAGGCCAAGGCAGGAAGATTGCTTGAGCCCAGGAGTTTGAGCTTACTGTGAGCTGTGATCACACCACTGCACTCCAGCCTGGGTGACAAAGGAAGACCGTATTTCTAAAAAATAAAAAATACAAATACAACTACAAACTAGCACTAGACCAACAGTGACTATGTACCATGAACTGAGGAATATTATTAATTCCACCATTTGCATCTGAGGTTAACAATATGTCAATGACTTAAATAACATCATATCTCTGAGAGTAATTTCTCCTATATTTCCATGACAAATGTTAGATAATTTTCCATTTTTTCCATTCAATAAAATAAACAGGAAATATAATTAAAGAGTTCAATTGAGGATTGGGATTTAGAAAGGAAGGCAGGAATTAAGAATAATCCTTAGTTCTCTTCCTAATTTGCACCTCTCTCACTGATACATATGTATTATTTTCTTTTTATGTCTTTTAGAATCTAATAAACATGTTTTATATTATATAACAAACTAGAATATATGGATTATCTTTGGTCTTCCTTACCAAGTTCTTAACTCTGCTGGCTCTGGGGCACTGGACATACCATGTAAGAAGAAAAATGTTTTAACTCCATTGAACTTATTCAGAAGCATCGGAAATTGGTTCAGCAATATTCAACTTTGCCCAGCAATGTTTATGAAAGTTTCATATATAGTATAGTATAAGTATGTGTAATACAGAATTTATGTTCTCAAAAATGAAGAGATAAAGTATGGAGATTCTAAACTCTGTTGACATAGAAGAGGGTGGATTTCTCGAAGAAACAGCCTTCTATAGAAAGTGGCTTGTATGAGTCGGGATTCTCCAGAGAAGCAGAACCAATAGGATGTTGGCAGAGAGAGATTTATTTTAAGTAATTGGCTCATACTACTGTGGGAGCTGGCACGGTCGAAATCTGCAGGTAGGCTGGAGACCCAGGAAGAGCTGATGTTGCGGCTTGAGTCTGAAGGTGGTCCAGAGGCAGAATTCCCTCTTCCTTGGAGGACCTCAGTCTTTGCCCCTAAGACCTTCAACTGATTGGAAGGGCCACTTACATTATGGAGGGTAATCTGCTTTACCCAAAATCTATTGATTTAAATGTAAATCTCATCTAAAAAATACCTTCACTGCAATATCTAGACTGGTATTCAAATGTCTAGAAACCATAGCCTAGCCAAGTTAACACATAAAATTAACTATCACTTGGCTCAAGGTGAAACTTCCAGATCAATGTGGCAGGAGTGTTGAGGAAGGAAGTGAACTCGGTTCTAACCAAGTAGGACAGCCGAATCATCACTGAAGTGTGGCACTGGCCTTTCGCCAAGGTAACATGTGGCAAGGTTTTAGGTTAGGATAGGTACCAGGCAAAAGCTGGGTGACTCGATGGAGGCTTTTGTGCCAACCTTCAGAGACTGGCTGCGTCAGACTGCCCTCAAGAGCATACAAAGGAAAAAAAGACAAATTAAAAGCCTTTAATCCAAACTCAAGACATGAATGAAAAACTGTAAATGCCTCTATAGCAGTTTTAAAGGCTATCTTTTCTCCTGCAACCCAGCACAGATATGGCTGAGGGTCAAGCCCGGGGGCTTATGATAAAGGTTATGAAGTTGTAGAAATGTTTGTTGCATCATCCAACAGCAGCTGTTGTGATAAGGCAAGACCCCTGGTTGGGATAGACCGGACCCTGAGATATGAAATAGGGACATATGAGCAGACACAGAGAAGTCTGAGTGAGAACTATGAATCACCGCACCCCCTGAGGGTCCTTGCTGGAAGAAGCAGACTCACCGTATTAGTTACCTATTGCCATGTAATGAATGACACCCGCTTAAAATAACAGACATTTACTATAAGGTGTTACTGGGACAATAGGGGATTTTTTAATATGGATTGTGTGTTTGATAATATGGTATCAATTTTAAGTATCTTGGGGGTGATGACAGTATTAGGGTTTTGCAGGAGAAATGTCCTTATTCTTAAATTATACATGACAAAATATTTAGGGGTCAAGTGGCATAATTTCCACAGATTACTCTCAAATTGTTTAACAAAATGGTTCTTCAACAGTAAATGGATAAACAAAACGTAGTCTATTCGTGCAACACAGTACTATGTAAACAATGAAACTTCATCAACTACTGAAAATGTAACAACATGGACGAATCTCATAGAAACAATATTAAGTGAAGAAGCCAGACTTGCAGAAATACATACTGTATGTTTCCATTATCTATTGCTGGGCAGCACACCAACTCCAAACTTAATGGCTTAAAACAAAAATAATCATTTTATTATCTCTCATGAATCTGTGAATTACTGGACTTTAAGAGCCACTGATGTAGTCCATGAACCAAAACACATATTCACGGCAGCTACTCCACCCAGCACCTCACACCTGTGATGTTTACTGGCTGCCCATGGGATTTGAACACCTTTAGAGTACTGTGAAATTTCCCCTACCTTTTGAGTCCTGCCTCCCTAAAGTGGAAACCAGAAAGCTCACTTCCCCTAGCCTTCTTTGAAGCTAGAGCACCTAAGTTCCACCAATTAAATTCATCCACCTAAGACTTCAGTTACAAAGGGGCCACAGGAGGAACCAGGGTGTGGGGGTTGCAGAGCACCTTTTACTGTATTTATTTCTCTGGCAAAGGTGACAGAAGAAGCAACTGTCTTTTGGGGAAGCGGTGGGTTTTTTCCTTTTTTTTTTTTTTTTTTAAGTGAAGTTCCTGAAACAGAAGTGGTTTAGGAGGTGTCTTCAGTGGTGGCTGCAGCAACCTCCAGGTCCTAACAACAGAACCAACAGCAGCGTCTAGAAGCCATGGGGCAGCAGCAGTGGTGTGGCTCATCAGACCTGCTCTCTGCGTGGTCTGACCCTGTACATACATGTGCCTCTCATCCGTAGTTCCAGCATTTCCTCTCTAAAGTCTAGTTCTGAGAGAAATTTCTTTGGTAGACTTTTCAAAGTTTTATCAAACTCAAAGAGGGAACCAGCAAGAATACAAGAGCCTTGATCCAAAGAGTATTTGAAAAACAGAGCTGTATCTCTCTGTGAGGAAATAATTTCTAGGCTAGAGATTCAAAATGGCTAACGTGCTAGAGGGCAATAAAATCATAACCTTGGTGTTATCTTCTTTACCGGAGAAAAAGAGAAAGCCAGCATCCCTTATCAGCTCTCTGCTGATTAACCTCTAATCGCACAGGGCTGGCCGGGTTCGTCTTAGGCAAATTACAATCCCTGAAACACTCTGGTTTTGATCAGGCAGAATTATGAGCAAAGGTTCAAGTGTGATATAAAATAATCAAGCACGTACAATTTTGCCTTATTTATAATTTTGAAACACTTTTCCTACACAATTTCTGACCTTAAGGGGCAGAATTAACCAAATAAAACTTTTCAGAAATGCTCTAATTCAGTTCCACTCATTTTATCGTCTCTATTTGGCCTGTTTTAGGGCTAAACCCAGAAGCAAAATCTTCTTCAAAATGAATGTATTGACAGTCACCATGCCAGACTTGGAGTACGAACAAGAGCATCCTTTTACCCTTACTGAAACCTATGTGGTCACTAAAACATATATCAATAATATTTTTAACCTGGACAAAATTAATCTAGAAAATTGAGCTACTGTTTTTTATTTGTCAGCTTTTACCACATTGTGGGTTTGAGACACAGGTAGTTCTTTTGATAGTACAGCGTTAATTTAAAATATAAAAATCATGCCAAACACATCTAATTACTTTTAGCTTCCTTCACAGTAGGCGGAGGAAGGTGAAAAATTAAGCCTTTTGCGCCACCTAGTGGCCAAATGGGTAGTGGCTGTCTAGTGAGAAAAAACAAAGATTTGGGGGCGTGAAAAATAGCTTGACAGTGTTAGTATTCTGAATTCAGGGTATGAGGTTGGAAGAAGGCAACAACAAAAAAGAATTTTCAGAGAAACTGGTCACTTAAGTGCATAGGTACCTGAGAGTGAGCAATTGTTATAACTTTGATATCTCAATAACCAGAGTGACAATAAAACATTTGAAAATAAACATAAAGAAGGTAACAATTATAAGAAACTTTAGGTGTTTCAGAAGCAAATGGTTTTTTGTTGTTGTTTGTTTTTAAAATAATTTAAAAACTTGATGCTATCAGCACAAAGCACTAAAAGTTATCAAGGTATTAAGTGAGAGCATTCTGATAAGAAACCACCGCTAGCTGGGCAGATTATGCTAAAGGGAAAGAAAAAGTTTTTTCTCTGTCTTAAGTGTAGAGTGTATATTCCAAGATCAATTTTAAATTACAAATCCTCTCCTTTTTTGCTTATTAATTCGAATTCATCATTACGTGTGTGTTTTACAGAAATACATATATAGTTGAATGACAATTTTGTTTAAAACTTTCCACTTTAGTTTTAAAACGTAGTTAATCTTATCAATACAATACATGAATGTATATCCACACTAAGTTTACCACCTTAATTTGAGTTTTGCAAAAATTAAATATGGACAAAGGTATATATATAGAAAGCCACTTAGTGACCCAATAATCTTTCTCTCTATGATACACTTAAGAATTTTTTAGACAATAAAAAGTCACTTATTAACTAGCTCAGTGAAAATTAGTCCAAAGTAACAAAATCATTTGAGGCTGCAAAACAACAATATCACTATTGATATTAGGAGTTTTTCAAAGAGGTAAAATTCTAAAATTTTTACATAGAGTGCAAGCTAAGTAGCTAAGTCAAATGACTTGCAATATTTTTCTGAAATTCACAAGAGCCAATAGTTTAAAAAAAGCATCTCATAACATTTAATTAAAAATATACATTTTCATTTAAGTTTGCTTCCCACAAACCACTGACACACTCATTGACACAGTGAATGAGTCTAGTGACAAGAAACAAATCCTTTTTGTTAGGTCACTTCTAACACTCTGCCTCCAACAAAATAAAGAGGACCTATTCAAGCTGTCAGCTATTATATCATTTAAAGTAATTTTGGGAAGGAGGCCAGGCAGGAGGATCGCTTGAGGCCAGGAGTTCAAGACCAGCCCTGGGCAACATAATGAGACCCTGTCTCTATGAATAATAATAATAAAATTAGTCAGGCATAGTTCGATGTGTCATAGTCCTAGATACTCTGAAGGCTGAGGCAGGAGGATCACTTGAGCCCAGGAGTTCGAGGTTACAGTGAGCTATGATCGCACCACTACACTCCATCTTGGGTAATGGGGCCAGCCAAACACCACAGAAAAAACTGCGACTCCACCCCCACCAGCTAAGGTCAAATGAGGAGCCTAGACTTTCACCCTCACCAGGCTGTCATAAGGAACCCAACACTTCAACACACACATGCACACACACCAGGATGGTGTCAGAGAAAGTGAATAGGGAGTCAGGATGGTCATGCCCTCTTGGTGAAAATGTACTCCTTTCCCCAAGCCCCTGAAATGTCAATGGAAACCTAGACTTCCATTCCTCACCCAACAGTAATGAAGCATCTCTTCCCCTCTCCTCTAGGGTGATGTCAGACAATGCCTAATGGAGAGTCAGGATTTTCATCACCACCCAGAGTTAATCCAGCAACCACTCCCTGATACCTACCACTCACTCCTCCACTCCACTGTCCCATCTTGGTGTCAATAAAGGTCATGTGAGGGATAGTAAGTGGCACTCCTCTCCCAACCAACCAGGGAGGTATTAGTGGGCACCTAATAGGGAGCCAGAATTTCTGTCCCCACTCAGTAATAATGGGGACCTATCTGAGGTGTCAATGAAGGCAGAGTGAGAAGCCTGGACTCCTACCCCTACCTGGCGTCATGAAGCTCACCTGCCTACCTGCTGGAGAGGTGTTAAAAGAAGCCAGCTAAAACAGTTTAAATAAGACCAATAGCCTTATAACATAATGCCTGAAATGTCCAAGTTTCAATTGGAAATTATTTGTCATATCAGGAACCAGGAATATCTCAAATTGAATTTTTAAAAGACAATAAAATAGATGCCAAAACGGAAAGAAAAGCCTGATGAAGATTTTAAAGCCACCATTATTAAAATGCTTTGATGAGCAATTAACACTTAAAAGAATGAAAAAAATAGGATGTCCAGTTCAGTGGTTTAAAAAAAGAAAGAAGAAGAAAAGAGCAGAAAAGAAAAAAATAGGATGTTTCAGCATAAAAATAGGATATATACGGAAGAAAACGTGGAAATTTTAGAACTGAAAAGTGCAATAGCCAAAATAAAAAGCCCAGTAAATAAGCTCAGCAGCAGAAGGAGAGAACAGAGGAAAGAATTAGCTACCTTGAAGACACAGCAATAGCAATCACTTAATCTGAACAAAAGAAAGAAAGAAAATACACTGGAAAAAATGGACAAAGCCTCAGGGACCCATGGGGCTATAACAAAAGATTTAATGTTCATGTACTCAGAGTCCCAAAATGAGAGGAAAAAGAGAGTGAAGCTGAAAAAAATTATCAAATAAATATGGTTGAAAACTTCCCAAATTTGGCAGAAGACATAAACCTAGTGATTTAAGAAGGTGAGTGAACCCCAAATAGGACAAACCCAAAGAAAGCCACACCAAAATCATAGTAATTAACTAAAAATTAAAGATAAAAAGAATCTTGAAAGCAGTGAGATAAATGACATCTAACAGGTGAAAAAAATGACAGAGCAAAATTTTCATCAGAAACTGTGTAAGCCCGAAGGAGGTCACCACCTTTTTCCAGTGCTGAAAGGAAAAAAAAATATCAACTTAGAACACTATATCAGCAAAAATATCCAGGGAAATTAAGACATACAGAGATGAGGGAAAACTAACAGAATTTGTCACTAACAGGTCTACCCTAAAAAAACAAAAAGTTAAATTGAGGACAGTTGGAACATCAGGAAGGAAGAAAGAACATGGCAAGAAAAAATATGGGTTAAAAAATGGACTTTACTTCTTCTCTTGAGTTATTTAAATTATAGGATTGAAGAAAAACGTATAATACTGTATCATATGGTTATAAATGTATATAGAGAAAATATTACAGGCAATTATAAATGAGGGAGGGTAAACAAAGAGAGAAGAAATTTCTACACATCACTCAGACTGGTAATTAATGACAATAAATAAGTTACATAAATATAATGTAATACCTAGAACAACCACTAAAAGAGCTATCCAAAGAGGTACACACACATACACACACACAGCTATAGATAAATTAAAATGGAATTTTAAAATTATTTAGGAAGCAATGAAAAAGAAAACAAAGAAATGAAAAACAGAGAGAACAAACAGAAAACAGAAAATAAAATGTCAGACTTAAGCCTGGACATAACAATATTATAGGAAATATAAATCGCCTAAATACATCAATTTTAAGAGACAGAGCTTGGCAGAATAGATTTAAAAATATGACTCTGTCAGGTGCGGTGGCTCACGCCTGTAATCCCAACACTTTGGGAGGCCAAGGCAGGTGGATCACAAGGTCAGGAGATGACCATCCTGGCTAACATGGTGAAACTCCATCTTTACTAAAGGTACAAAAATTAGCCAGCTGTGGTGGCACAAGCCTGTAGCCCCAGCTACTCGGGAGGCTGAAGCAGGAGAATCTCTTGAACCCGGGAGGTGGAGGTTGCAGTGAGCTGAGATCACACCACTTCACACCGCTGCACTCCAGCCTGGGCAACAGAGCGAGACTCCGTCTCAAAAAAAAAAAAAAAAAGACTCAATTATTTGCTGTTTATGATAAACTCACTTCAAATATAATGATATAGGCGGTTTATAAGTTAAAGGATAGAAAAACATATATCAGACAAAAAATAATAAAGGGAGGCTATATTAATATCAAATAAACTTAGAACAAAGAAAATTACTAGAAATGGATAGGAACACTATGTAATAATAAAAGGGTAAATCTACCAAAAAGACATAGCAATCTTAAATATGTATGCACCAAACAACAGGGCTGCAAATTATGTAAAGCAAAAACTGATAGAACTGAAAAGAAAATAGGCAAGTCAACAATGATAGTTGAAGACTTCAATAGTTTTCTCTCAACAATTGATTAAACAAATAGACAAAAATTGAGAAAAAACATAGAAGAATAAACAACATCAAACCATAAGATCTAATCAACATTTATAGAACACACCACCCAACAACAGAAGATACATTATTTTCTTTTTCGTTGCTTTTAGTAGATTCCACGAGATTTTCCTTTTTCTTTTTTCTTTTTTTTCCTTTTATTTTAAGTTCAGGGGTACATGTGCAGGTCTGTTACATAGGTAAACAGTGTCATGGAGGTTTGTTGTACAGATTATTTCATCATCCAGGAATTAAGTCTAGTACCCATTAGTTATTTTTCCTGACCCTCTGCCTCCTCCCAACCTCCACCCTCCAATAGGCCCCAGTATGTGTTTTTCCTCTTTGTGTCCATGTGTCCATCATTTAGCCCCCACTTATGAGAACATGCAGTATTTGGTTTTCTGTACCTGCAATAGTTTGCTAAGGATAATGGCCTCCAGCTCCATCCATGTCCCTGCAAAAGACGTGATCTCATTATTTTTATGGCTGCATAGTATTCCATGGCAGAATACACTTTTTTTTTTTTTTTTTTTGAGATGGAGTTTCACTCTTATTGCCCACACTGGAGTACAATGGCACAATCTCGGCTCATTGCAACCTCTGCCTCCCAGGTTCAAGCAATTCTCCTGCCTCAGCCTCCTGAGTAGCTGAGATTACAGGCACACACCACCATGCCTGGCTAATTTTTTATTTATTTATTTATTTATTTATTTATTTATTTATTTTTTGTATAGATGAGGTTTCACCATGTTGATCAGGCTGGTCTCAAACTCCTGACCTCAGGTGATCCACCCACCTCAGCCTCCCAAAGTGCTGGGATTGCAGGCATGAGCCACTGCACCCAGCCAGAATAACATTTTTTTAAGTGCCCACAGAATATATGCCAAGATAGACCATATCTAAGACAATAAAAGACCAACAAATTTTTTAAATAAAATCATAAAGAAAGTGTTCTCCTACCACAATGGAACCAAACCAGAAATCAACAACAGGAAAATATCTAAACATTTGGAGACAAAACAACACACTTAGAAATACATGGGTCAAGGAGGAAGTCTCAAGGAAATTTTTTAAAAATACACACAATAAACACAACTAAACAAAAATGAAAATATGCCATATCAGAATTTGTGGGATACAGTTATAGTAGTTATAAGAGGTAAATTTAAGTTCCAGGATACATGTACAGGATGTGCAGGTTTGTTACATAGGTAAACATGTGCCATGGTGGTTTGCTGCACATATCAACCCATCACCTAGGTATTAAGACAAGCATGCATTAGCTATTTTTCCTGATGCTCTCCCTCCCTCCAACCTCGCCCCAGACAGACCCCAGTGTGTGTTTTTCCCCTCCCTGTGTCCTTGTGTTCTCATTGTTCAGCTCCCACTTATAAGTGAGAACATGTGGTGTTTGGTTTTCTGTTCCTGCATTAGTTTGATGAGGATAATGGCTTCCAGCTTCATCCATGTCTCTGCAAATAACAGGATCTCATTCCTTTTTATGGCTGTATAGTATTCCATGGTGCATATGTACATTTTCCTTATCCAGTCTGTCATTGATGGGCAGTTGGGTTGATTCCATGTCTTTGCTATTGTGAATAGTACTGCAATGAACATACAAGTGCATGTATCTTTATAATAGAATGATTTGTATTCCTTTGGGTATATACTCAGTAATGGGATTGCTGGGTCAAATGGTATTTCTGGTTCTAGATCTTTGAGGAATTGCCACACTGTCTTCCACAATGGTTGAACTAATTTACATTCCATCAACAATGTAAAAGCATTTCTATTTCTCCACAACCTTGTCAGCATCTGTTGTTTCTTGAGTTTTAATAATCACCATTCTGACTGGCGTGAGATGGCATTTCATTGTGGTTTTGATTTGCATTTGAGAAGTAAATTTAAAGCACTAACTGCATACATTGGAAAAGAGGAAAAGTCTCAAACCAATAATCTAAACTCTCACCTCAAGAATCTAGTAAAAGAATAACAAAATAAAAAGCAAGCAGAACAATGAAACTGAAAACAGAAAAACAAAAGCAAAAAAAAATCAATGAAGCAAAGAGCTGGCTCTTTGAAAGATTAATAAAATTGGCAAACCACTAGCAAGACTCAGAAAAAAAGACGACAGAAGATAGAAGCTACCAACATCAGAAATGAAATGGGATATCATCAAAGATTCTACAGACATCAAAAGGATAACAAAAGAATACTATGAACAATTCTACACACATAAATTTGACACTTAAATTAAATGGATCATTTTCTCAAAAAATATAAAGTGCCACAACTCACTAAATATAAAATAATTCAAAAATGTCTACACCTATTGAGGAAATTGAATTCATAATTTAAAAACTCACAAAAGGAAATATTTAGGAACAAATAGTTTCAATGAAGAATTCTACCAAAGATTTAAAGAAGAATTAACACCAATTAATCTCTTCCAGAAAATAGAAGCAGAGGAAGCATTTCCCAGTTTATTTTATAAAGCTAGAATTACCTCAATACCAAAACCAAACAATGACAATGGGAAGAAAAGAAAACTGTAGACTAATATTCCTCATGATGCAGCAATCTTTAACAAAATATTAGCAAGTGGAATTTACCAACATATAAAAAGAATTATATACAATGACCACGTGAGAGTTATCCCAGGGATGCAAAGCTGGTTGGATATTCACAATTAATTAATGTAATCCATCATATTATAGGCTGAAGAGGAAAATTTACTTGTTCATATCAATTGATGAAGAAAAAGTATTTAACCCACTTTAACACCCATTCATTATTTTTTTTTAATCTCAGAAATATAGGAGTAGAGGAGATCTTTCTTTACTTGATAAAGATCGTCTACAAAAATCCTATGGTGAACATACTTGATTCTGAAAGACTGAATAGTTTCTACCTAAAATCAGGAACAAGGCAAGAATGTCCACTCTCACCACTCTTATTCACAGTGTTGGAAGTTCTAGACAGTGCAATAGGCATGAAAAAGGAGATTAAAGGCATACAGATTGTGAAGTAAGAAATAAACAGCTCCCATTTGTAAGTGACATGATTGTCTATGTAGAAAATCACAAGGAAGCTACAGAAAAACTTCTAGATATGTGATTTCAGCAAATTAACAGAATACAGGATAAACCAGTATCAATTGTATTTCTACATACTCACAATGAACAAATGATACATATATATATATTTTTTTTTTTTCTTTTTTTTTTTTTTTTTTTGAGACGGAGTCTCACTCTGTCGCCCAGGCTGGAGTGCAGTGGCACGATCTCGGCTCACCACAAGCTCCGCCTCCGGGGTTCACGCCATTCTCCTGCCTCCGGAGTAGCTGGGACTACAGACGCCTACCACCATGCCCGGCTAATTTTTTGTATTTTTAGTAGAGACGGGGTTTCACCGTGTTAGCCAGGATGGTCTCGATCTCCTGACCTTGTGATCCGCCCACCTTGGCCTCCCAAAGTGCTGGGATTACAGGCGTGAGCCACCGCGCCTGGCCCAAAAATATAAATATATTATTTACAATTACTCAAATACATGAAACACTTATGTGTAAATCTAACAAAACATGCAAGACTTGCAAGCTAAAAACTATGTAATGCTGGTGAACGATATCAAAGAAGATCTATTCAGTCTCTATCTATGTGGAGAGAAATACTGTTCATGGATTGGAAGATTCAATATAGTAAATATGTCAATTCTCCCCAAACCAATATACAAGTTTAACACAATTCCAATCAAAATCTTTGCAAGATTTGTTAATTATAGGTAGGATTACTCTAAAATTTACATGGAAAGGCAAAGGGACTAGAATATCTAAAATATTCTTTTTTCATATTATTATATTTTATTGTAGTATGTGTAGTGTATACTAACTTAAAGGGAAAAAATGTAAACAAAATGAAAGACATGGGGAAAATGGCATCTTGCTTTAATCTTCAACTTAAAGTTACCCTTAACAATTCATTTATACCATTATGCCAAATTGTAGTCATCCCTGCAGAATTTTAGACAAATGAAAATGGACAAGGTAACACCAAAGAGATTAAGCACAGAAAGTGATATTGATTAAAAAGTTGAAAGTAAAATCTACCTTGGCTGGAACTGAACATTCAGATCCATCTCTAGAGGAAAATCTAACATGAATCATATGGTTCCTATTTTGACTAGTTCATAGCATATCAATTAGCAACTTATGACTTGAAAATACTTTTTCTCAGCTGCATTTGACTACCTAAAATCCTACCGAGCACGCTGTTTGGCATGTCTTACTCCTCTGAAATCATCATCTACTTTCTAAAAACCAGAAAATTAGTTTGCTTGTGATTTAAAATTCAAAAAAGTTTGTAGAAAACACAAAAAGAATCAACTATTTAAAGTCTCATCCTTTTCTTCTCTCTAAAACAGCTACTTCTACTAAAAGAAGAGTATGTGGATACTTTCTAAGAACTCAAAAACGAGAAAACCAAAATCAGAGGGTGCATGAATATATGTGCACAGGTATGTACAGATTTAATCTCTATATTCCCTAAAACATATTTAAACAGGTAATCCCAGCATTCTAAATTCAGAAAGCAAAAATAAACAGTTTTGTTTCTAAATCAGTGGTATTACTAGCTGAAATGTTTAGTAGAATACTGCACCTATAGTTCAGCAGTACTTTGATTATGTACCATTTAAGAAATCAAAATAATAAGCACATTCTTCTAACAGCAAAGAATTGTCCCACTTTTTATTTTGACATATTGATATTTCCATAAACTTGCAAGTGGAAAATAAGCTGTTCAATAAAAGCCTTCTTACATATATAATATACAGAAATTATTTTAGAAGTCTGTTCATATAACAGATTATTTTGGCACTAACAAAAATTGTATACAATCCATCAGTTGTATGGCTAGAAATGAAACCATCACTAAACCAAGACACACAGGGCTTTCCTGCACTTAGTTTCAGGAAAAAGTTCCAAGTAATTCTTACTGTGTTAGAAGAATAAAGTACATTTGTCATAGTATACATTATCATATTCCCTTAAAGCAGGGACTAAAGTTTTTAAATTAAACAATGTCCAGGCTTACTTCTGTCTGTACATTCAGGAATAATCATATCACTGGTTACATACAATTCTCTCCTCATGCAAAAAAAAAAAAAAAAACCTCAAAAAAAAAAAACCTGTTGTTTTCTTAAGTCTAATTAAGCCAAACAAACTATTAATAGCAATTTAATTAGCAAGCTATAAATCAGAGAGGTATAAAAATTCAGCAGTTAAACTGTATTTCCCACCTATAGTACTGCTGCTACTCAATCATTTTCTTCATGTATTAGAAGAATTAATAGGCATTGATGGTCAAAATAAGAATTTCAATATTGCAGCAAATG
Source organism: Homo sapiens (assembly GCF_000001405.40). Lineage (NCBI taxonomy): Eukaryota > Metazoa > Chordata > Mammalia > Primates > Hominidae > Homo > Homo sapiens. The sequence continues at coordinate 4,290,224 of NT_113891.3, forward strand.
ACAGAAGAGTGAGCGAAAGAGTTCCTAATGTGTGACAGTCTTAATGATTCTTTAAAAGGTAAAGGATTGTATGCATGTGTGTGGAAAGGAGTAGGAAATAAAAGTAGGAGGTTAAGACAGGTATTTAAAGGGAATGCCAAGATAGCTGCATTAGAATCTTTATTTTTTAAAAAACTGAAGTCTGCCCAGAGTACCAAAAACATTAAAAAAAAAGAGCAGACATTGGTGCAAGTTTAACCTGTGAGAAAAAAGCTAGTTTTGATGAGAAAAAGTTCAGTCTTTTCCTTGTAAATACAAAGAAATGCAACAGGAATTTTAAAGGTAGTAGGCCAGAAAATGTAACAGTAACTCTTACAATCCTTTTCTTTTTTTTTTTTTTTTTTTTTTTTTTTTTTTTTTTTTTGAGACGGAGTCTCGCTCTGTCGCCCAGGCTGGAGTGCAGTGGCACAATCTCGGCTCACTGCAAGCTCCGCCTCCCGGGTTCACGCCATTCTCCCTCCTCAGCCTCCCGAGTAGCTGGAACTACAGGCGCCCGCCACCATGCCTGGCTAGTTTTTTGTATTTTTTTTAGTAGAGACGGGGTTTCACCGTGGTAGTCAGGATGGTCTCGATCTCCTGACCTCGTGATCCACCTGCCTCGGCCTCCCAAAGTGCTGGGATTACAGGCGTGAGCCACCGCGCGAGGTCACAATCCTTTTCAATTAAACAGACAAATCAAGTTGAAGACAAGTGTTAAAATACTATTCAGCCTGAATATTTATCAGCATACATATCCTGTTGTTCAACTGGCTTTTGGTTAAAAAAAAAAAAGTCAACAAACTTTATAAGAGCTATCACCACATTTAGAGTGATGAAAATAAATTAGTTCCCCCCCAAAGATATTGTTTAACCTCTAAAGCATGAAAAGCTATATAATATACAAATTAACCAGTATTTTTACAAAAGTAATACAGTTTTGGACTGATGATATTACACCGTATTTGTGGTAAAGTACTAGGCACAAGAATATATATATCAATTAGGCATTTTCAGTCTAATCAGTCTTTAAGGTTTTCATTTAATTCTTGGCAATATATAATAACTGGTATGCACTTTGGTACTTAAGTCATGACTTGTGGAGAACGAGAAGCAATGTATTATAGCAACGGGGTTCATATCTAACAAACAATAAGAGTGTTGAACAAATCCCTTCTATGAACTTCGTGATTTATTTTGCTGTTGGTCACTTGCAGTAGATCCTTGATTTGATTCTTCCGTATTCATGCTTTCTCCATGTGCAGTCTCTAACATTTCTTCAACTTTGTCATCATCGTGTAGGTCTTTTGAAATTAATTGTCTAGCTAGTTTGATATTGAGTCCTTCATTGTAGTGAAGCGTCCTTCTCATTTCAAATTGTCGCTTTTTTTCTCGTTCTTCAGGTGAGAGGTCACTATCCTCCTCTCCACTGCTTTCTTGTTCCTGAACCTGATACTTTGGCTCCAAGCCTTCAGCAGCAGCTAAGTTCTTAGCCAAGCTATCTGTTGCCATAGCTTCAGTGGTTTCTGTATCACTACATGCATCTTCATCATCACCCATCGTACTATGGTAAGGAGTGCTTGGTTCATCTATTTTCATTAAACCATAGTCTTTGTCTGCTGGACGATATGTCGCCAGGATGTTCATTTCATCCCACTTCTGGGATTTTTTGCTCAGCTGCTCGTGGACACTCCCACGGGGATGTTCGGCCGACGCCACCATAGAGGAAGTCGTAGAGGTGTTGTCCTTCAGGATCCCCTTGAGGGGCCGTTGCGAGGCCGTGGAGGCCGCCATTGCCGGGTGCTCCGCCTGTCGGCTCAGGGTCGCTGCTTGGCGTGGGGTCCGCGAACAGAAGGGTCGGCACTAGCAGAGACCAGCAGGCAGACGCGGAGCCCGCTCAAGGCTAAAGCGGCCGCACCTGCTGCCTCGGAAAGGGGTACCGGAGCGGTTGTCAAGACACAATGACCCCGACGCCAGACTCAAGCGGGGAAAAGCGGGCCTAGAGCTCCAGGGCGGGAGCGACGCCGACGCCTAAAACATTCTTGAAAAAGAAGAATAAAGTGAGTTGAAAATCAGTCTGCCCTATTTCAAGTATTGTTTTATAGCTACAGTAATCAAGACTGTGTGTTACTAGCAGAGGAATGGACACACAAATCAGTGGAACAAAATAGAGAACGTAGAAAAAGACCCACACAATCTGCCCAAATGATTTTTGAAAGAGGTGCAAAAGGAAGTCAGTGGAAGAAAAATAGCCTTTTTCACAAATAGTGAATTGAACAATGGTGAAATGGAACAATTGGGCATCCATAGGCAAGATAATAAAATAAAAATGAAACTTGACCTAAGTCTCACGCCTTATGCAAAATTTAATTCCAACTGGATTGGATTGCTTGAGTCCAGGAGTTCAAGACCAGCCTGGGTAAGATAGCAAGACCCTGTCTATACACAAAAATGAAAAATAATGTTGGTGTGGTGGCTCCTGCCTGTAGTCCCAGCTACTTGGGATGCTGAGGCAGAAGGATTGCTTGAGCCCAGGAGTTCGAGGCTGTCATAAGCTGTGACACACCACTGTACTCTAGCCTGGGTGACTGAGCAAGACTCTGTTTCAAAAAAAAAAAAAAATGTCAGAGAAATGCAATACCTTAACCTTTACCAGATACAATTAATTAAAATAAATAAACAAAATGGATTATGGAGTAAATGTAAAGCATAAAACTCTTAAATTTTAGAAAAATAGAAAATATTTGAGATATAGGTCTAGGCGAAGAATTCTTAGGCTTGACATTGAGAGCATGATCTATGAAAGGAAAAACTGATAAATTGGATTTCATCAAAATGTAAAACTGTTGCTTTGTGAAGATCTGGTAAGTGGATGAAAAAATGAGCTACACAGTAGGAGAAAATATTTGCAAACTATGCATTGAACAAAGGACTAGTATCTAGAGTATATAAAGAACTCTCAAAACTCAACAAAGAAAACACATTAAAAATCCAATTAGAAAATAGGCAAAAGACTTAAGGTAATATTTCACTAAGGAGGATATAAAAATGGCAAATTAGCACATGAAAAGTTGTTCAACATCATTAGCCATTAGGGAAATGCAAATTAAAACCACAATGAGATAATCGCTCCACACCTATCAGGATGGCTAAAATAAAAATAGTGACAATGGGCTGGGTGCGGTGGCTCACACCTGTAATCCCAGCACTTTGTGAGGCCAAGGTGGGCAGATGACCTGAGGTCGGGAGTTTGAGACCAGCCTGGCCAACATGAAGAAACCCTGTCTCTACTGAAAATACAAAAGTAGCCAGGTGTGGTGGCACATGCTTGTAGTCCCAGCTACTCGGGAGACTGAGGCAGGAGAATCACTTGAACCCGGGAGACAGAGGTTGCGGTGAGCAGAGATCGCACCATTGTACCTAGCCTGGGCAACAAGAGTGAAACTCTTTCTCAAAAAAAAAAAAAAAGGCGACAATGCTAAATGCTGGCAAGGAAGAAGAGATACTGGATCTCTCATAATTTCTGATGGGAATATAAAATGGTACAGCCACTCTGGAAGATGATTTGGCAGTTTCTTAAAAACAAAACAAAACCAACAACAACAACAAAAATCCAACAACTAAGCATACTACTACCATCCTGCCCAGCAACTGTACTCCTGGGTATTTAGCCCCAAGAAATGAAAACTTGCATACACAAATACACAAGCACAGACAATGCCTTCACACAAAACCTTGTATGCAAATGTTTGTCTAACTGCCTACTCATTGTAGCCAAAGATAACCCAGATATCCTTTAACAGGTAAATGGTTAAACCAACTATTGTACACTTATACCATGAAATAATACTCAGCAATAAAAAAGAATGACTGATACACACAACAACCTGGATGAATCTCCAGAGAGTTATACTGAGTGAAAAATGCCAGTCCCAAAAGGTTACATACTGCAGTGAGCTGTGATCACGTCACTTCACTCCAGCCTGAGCAACAGAGCAAGACCCCATCTCTAAAAATAGATAAAGAAACAAAAAAGATGGATTACAGAGTAAATGTGAAGTGTAAAACTATTAAAATTTTAGAAAAATAGGAGAAAATCTTTGAGATGTAGGGCCAGGCAAAGAATTCGTAGGCTTGACATCAAAAGCATAATCCAGGCTGGGCGTGGTGGCTCACGCCTGTAATCCCAGCACTTTGGGAGGCCGAGGCAGGCAGATCATTGAGGTCAGGAGTTCGAGACCAGCTGGCCAACATGGTGAAACCCGTCTCTACTAAAAATACAAAAATTAGCTAAGCAAGACGGCACATGCTTGTAATCCCAGCTACTCGGGAGGCTGACTCATGAACATCACTCGAACCTTGGAGGTGGAGGTTGCAGTGAGCTGAGATGGTGCCACTGCACTCCAGCCTGGGTGACAGAGTGAGACTCTATCTCAAAAAAAATAAATAAATAAATAAAATAAACTTTATTGAAAAGAAAAAAAAAGCACAATCCATTTGTATAACATTTTGTATTAAGAAGCTTGAAATGACAAAAGTACAGAAATAGAGAAAAAATTCATAGTTGCCAGTGGTTAAGGAAGTGATGGGGGTGGGAAGGAGGTGAACCGACCATAAAAGGGCAAGATAAGGGATACTTGGAGTGACAAAAATACTGTCTTGACTGTAATATTGACATTGACACAAATGTCAATATCCTGATTGCAATACTGTACTGAAGTGTTATAAGATGTTACCATCAGGGAAACTGGATTAAAGGGTAAAAGGTTCTGTCTGTATTATTTCTTACAACTGCATGTCACTCTCTAATTACCTCAAAATAAAAAGTTAAATTTAAAAAACATGTATGAGGATGTGCATAGTTTTTCAAAATACATTTAAGAAGTTCATGAGTGGAAAGTTTGAGTGAATAAAAATTATATCTGGAATTCTGGTTTGCAAATTAGCCTGGGAAATGTAGCCTGACTCAGTGTGACTCAGTTCTATACCACTGTTCTCAGCTCTGCTGTTGCTCACTGCTAACGTTGAAGCCAAATATCTCTTGAGTTGCAGGGCAACCAAGATCCCATGATCCAATGTTGCTCTCACTCACCTTGGCCTTTGAGAGAGAACAGGAAAGAAGATGGAGAAGAAGGATTTTCCCTTTGCCCCATTTTCCTCTTTTTGGGCTGAACTGTGTCCCCCTATAAGTTCATAATGTTGAATAAACCCAGTACCTCAGAACGTGAATTTTTTTTGGAGTTAGAGTCTTTAAAAAGATAATTAAGTGAAAATGAGGTTATGAAAGTAGGTCCTAATATAGCTAGTATCCATATAAAAAGAGATTAGGACATACATACACAGGGGGCAGTCCATAGGAAGATGCAGGGAAAAGACAACCATCTGCCAGCCAAGGACAGAGACCTCGGAAGAAACCAACCCTGCTGACACCTTGATCTCACATTTCTAGACTCCAGAGCCAGGCGGCAATAAGTTTATGTTGTTTAAGCCATTCAGTCTGTGGTATTTCTTATGGTAGCCCTAGCAAACTAATACATCCTCCTATATTTGGACATAGGCCTGTCCTTCTTGATTAAAGGAATGTAAAAATAAGACTGTTGTCAAAGTTTTAACAAGACTTTATGAAGGCTTGGGCAAAATTGAAAAGGAAAAGACAATAGAAAATTCTTCCATTCTGATCACAGATATTACAGATGTAAGAGATCACAGGCTCCAGTCATCTAAGGGTTCTCCAACTAGAAATAGACCTGGTATGGCTGATGCTACTAATACCTGCCATGTTCCTTGGGCCTTACCACTGTAGTGCACACTGGCTGGACATTTGCATCATTCCTGAAGGCTTCCTCAAAGCCAAGAAGGGCCACTCTGCCCGACTCACAGCAGACTAGAAGGGCCGAAGAGTTCACGTGTCAGGCAGCAGCCTTCAACCAATGGGAATTGATGTACAATTGCCCAACTCCCTCCTTCCGTGGCTGGGTTAACTCTGAGGCAAGTGCTTTCCCAGAATTTCCCCAGGGGATTAAGTTCCAGTCATTCACCCTTCGTTGGCTGTTTTCCCTTCCCAATCTTTTACTCAGCTGCTACTGAAGTTTCATGCACCTCCAAAATAAATTACTTTCATTCATGTCCCTGTGTCAGGGACTGCTTCTGGAAGAAACCAAACGAATGCACCCCGGGTTAGCTTCTAATTTGCTTCACAGCAGTAAAGGTCAACTTTTCTTTGCATTACCCAAGAGAAAACTTAGCCATTACCTCATCATGGTGCTTGGATCCCTAGAACCCTGTCTCTCATGAAACCCTGATTCCTTCCTTTCCTTGTCAAGATCTTTCCTTACCCAGCATGGATGACAGTCCATTCTATTGAGTACTAAGAAAAGAGAGTTTAGAAACTGTCAGAAATATTTTTATTTCATTCAAATTTGTAATATTCCGTAGACCAGAAACAGCACACTCTTTGATCCCATCCTTGTATGCCCAAAATATCTGAGTTGGAGGAGGCACTGACCCTCTGTCACACAGTTTAACTGGATTACAGAGTGCAAGACCCCAAAACCAGTTCCTGACACTCTTTCTGTCTTCAGCCTGTGGATTCTTATCACTTCCACAGAAGAAAATTGGCTCTAAGATTATCCGGAGTACTTCCCAAATCTATTATTTATGGAACAAGTGCTGACTTCAGATATCTAGTAATCTAAGGTTTTTCATCTCCAAAGACCTTTCTTTCATTTGGCCTCTACTGGGTTTTCTATTTTTTTTATTTATTTATTTATTTATTGAGACAAGGTCTCACTCTGTCACCCAGGCTGGAGTACAGTGACCTGAACATGGCTTGCTGTATCCCTAACCTCCTGTGCCCAAGCAATCCTCCTGCTTCAGCCTCCTGAGTAGCTGAAACCACAAGTGAGCGCCACCATGCCCAGCTAATTTTTTTTTCTTTACTTTTCTTTTTTTTTTTTTTTTTTTTTTTTGTAGAAACTGAGTCTCGTCATGTTGTCCGGGCTGGTCTTGAACTCCTGGGCTCAAGCAATCTTCCTGCCTTAGCCTCCTAAATGGTTAAAGGCATGTGACCATCACACCTGGCCTACCATGGTTTTCAAATGTAAAATTTTAAATGAAAAATCTTAATCTTTTGGTCATTGCTGTTTTGCTGTGGTCTGTCTCCCATGGCATGAGGGGAAATGCGTTATCTGCCTCTGTTGTAGAAAGATGCCTGAGGAAAATAATCCTCAGTTGATGTCTCAGGATTTTTCCTGCCATATACCTGGAATGTGTAAAAGCACAGGAAATATCCTAGTATAACACAAACTACACACAGTTACCTTTGGGACCTAGAATGGAATGGGGAGGAGGGAGAAACAAAGGAGACCTTTTACTCCGTACCCTTCTGTATGGTTTGAACTTGTTGTTTTTTTTTTATAGACGGAGTCTTGCTCTGTAGCCCAGGCTGGAGTGCAGTGGCACAATCTTGGCTCACTGCAAGCTCCGCCTCCTGGGTTCACGCCATTCTCCTGCCTCAGCCTCCCGAGTAGCTGGGACTACAGGCGCCCGCCACCACGCAAGGCTAATTTTTTGTGTTTTTAGTAGAGACGGGGGTTTCACTGTGTTAACCAGGATGGTCTCAATCTCCTGACCTTGTGATCCGCCCGCCTTGGCCTCCCAAAGTGCTGGGATTACAGGTGTGAGCCACTGCACCCGGCCGGTTTGAACCTTTTATAACAAGAGTGAATCCAGATATTTACTATGTAATTTTCTCATTTAGTCTAATCATTTAGACTAAATGATTAGAAGAAGCAGGACTTAAAAAGAAATGAATGAATTTCCACTAGGGGGTGGTAGAGAATCATAATCCATATCATAGTCTGAAACTGAAGGGCAAAAGGAAATAGTCAAGTTCAGAATCACATGCTGCAGCCCATTTGTAATTATAAATCTTTATTAACTAGCTCAGTGTGAGATCTAATTTCTTCATAAATGCCCAATAATATATAATATGCTCTTTTGAGCAACGCTTTTCAGATTATGTTCTCATACAGCCTTTTACAGCCCTTTACAGCTTTTCTGTAAACTGGGCTGAGATGTACCACTAAATGAAATTGAATGATAGGAGTCCATTGTGGTTGGAATAGATACACACAGTGATTGATTTAGGTAGATTAGAAGGTGGATGGATGGATAGATAGATAGATAGATAGATAGATAGATAGATAGATAGATATGCGCACACACATTCCTCTCCTTGAGTCCCCCTGGGTAAGCCGAGGCATGAGTACTCTGAAGGAAAAGCAACCATGAGTGAGCTGCAGCATCCTTACTTAACCTCCAAACTTAACCTTTGTTGTAATATATATAGAAAAATGAGTTCCGAATTCCCTCCTTAATCTCCAACATGCAGGCACTATGCCTCTGCCCAGTTTCTTTACCCATGCCTTTTATTATATCCCATCCCCAACTGAACCCTATCTCGACCTGGTCAATAGGTGTGAGACCCAGATATTCTTATCCGGGAGATGCTATTTCTTTTTTTCCAGAGGCCAGAGGTGGTTTTTAGTAACCACCTGTATCATTTTGCAGGGGCTTCTTAAATGCGTGGCCAGACTCACCTCACTGTGCCTAGGTGCCAATATGGCCTCTCAGCTTTATTCCCCTTGCAATCCAAAATCTGCCAGAACTGGACAGCAGTTTGATCCTTGAATTAGACCGTGGTTCATGATGCTTGCTTCTCACCCTCCCACCAGCTGTGCTTTATTTTTCTTTGATTCTAACTATTACAGAAAAGACAAGTCAGACTCCTTCATCGCTGGGCAAAGTTCCAAGTAAACTGCATTGGGAATCCTTGGCATTTTAACAATGGCTCACTGCTCCCCTTGTGACTAATGGGCAACACAGGCCTGTTTATGAGTTCAAGTCTCTGTCCCTGGATCATGTAATTTTAATTGTTCTGTTACTTCATTTCAATCCTGGTCCCCACAGCATTTTTCTCACTGTTCATTTTCAAATTTAGTGTCCAACCTATTACTGTGTGCTTTTCTTAATCCCTAGACCAAGCACTCTCTGGCTTGCTCATTTTCCCACTTGGGCACCCTGGATCCCAGCCAGAGGTGGCCCTTACCACTTGGCTCCTCCCTCAGTGCCCTTGGACCTCTTTGGCTCGTAACTGCTTCTGCTGAAGGTCATCCTTTTGGCTCCATGATCTTCATGGCTGAGGTTGCTTCATTACTTCTGGAGGGAAATCTTGCTGCTTTCTGTAAACATTTTTTTCTCATGGCATATTTATGTGGAACTGTGCCATTTCTTTTCCTACTTATTCTGAATAAATTGAGCATTCCTGGACCAGATATTAGTGGAAGACTCCTATTGGATGGGGGTGGGATGATGGGTTGGTGAGAGAAGACATGGGCAATAGTAACCTCCCAGGTTTTACAACCGAAGGACCAATCCTTTATTACTAACACGTAAACTTTATCTTAAAATACGCTGCATCCATGTTTTTTCCAACTTGGGGAATTTAATCTATTTCAGCAAGGATTCTACCACGGTGTTAGGACCCCCTGCATTCCAGAGGGAACCTTTGTTATCTGCCACCTTGGAACCTCCAAAACAAAGTCTGCTCCCCCAATATGTGGGCCTTCTTCTGCCTTCCCCAGCATCTGGGCCTCACTGTAGCTCAGGCCAACTGCCAACAGCTCCAACCTAGGCTGGCTTCTACTCTTAGAGAGAGAATATTTTCGGGCCCTTTCCGAGATCCCGCACCACTAGTTCCCTCCACGCTTTCATCTGTTGCCACAGCAACATTTTGGCTTCTTATGCCCAGTTCTGCTCTCCGTTGCTTTAAGCACAAATGACATGCAATTTGGGATGTAACCATACTTTTTGTTTCCTAGTTTCACTAAAAATGAGGTTCTTGTGTGGTTTTCTTTTTCATTCTCTTTGCTGTACTATATAGAGAAATGAATTCTGAACTGAATTCCCTCCATATTCCTAGCAAAAACATAACTCCTTTGAATTGCAATTTTGATTTCCTTTTCAACCCAAAAATTAGTGAGATGTTTTTAAGTTTCCAAGTGGAGGCTTTCTTGTTAGTACTGTTTTGGTGAGGTTTTGTTTTGTTTTATTTTAGTTTTGTTTTGTTTTTCTATGTATGTGTTTTATACCGGTGAGAGAATATAGCCCGTGTAGTTTCTAATTTCTATTTAATTTTACTTTGTGGTTTAATGCATTATGTTTGGGAAAATATGCATTCACTATTTGTTGAGTACACAATTTTATAAATATTTGATAAGATCATTATTTGCTTTAGCAAAATATCTTACATTCACATTATTTTACAATTGGATATGACAGTTTAGTTTAAAAGTATGCTAAAAGCTCTTAAATGTGTCAATTTATCTTTCCTAACAAAGCACATTTTTTTCCCTAACTTTCAAAGACTTGTTTAGGATATGAAGGCTTATAACTTATGGGTAGTTGGTGAATTGTACATTTTAGCATAATAAAGTATCCTTCTTTGACACTGAAAAATTTCTTCATCATTTATTCTACTTTGTTCAATATTAGTATTTGTAATGGTTTGAATGTGTCCCCAAAAAGCATATGTTGGAAATGTAATATTCAATGCAACAGTGTTAGTAGGTGAGGCTTAATGATGAGAGGTGTTTAGGTCATGACGACTCCATCCTCATAAATGAATTAATGCCAATTACAAAAAGGCTAAAAGCCTGTGAATTCAACCTGTTGCACTTGGGCGCTCTCTCTTTCTCTTTCTCTCTCTCAGCTCTCTTTTTATCCCTTTTGCCTTCCACCACAGTATGAGGCAGCCAGAAGATTTTTGCAAGATGCAGGCCTCTCAACCTTGGATTTCCTAGCCTCTAGGACTGTAATAAGTCAATCTCTGTTCTTTAAAAATTATCCAGTCTTGGATATTCTATTATAGCAGCACAAAATGGAGTAAGACAGTATTTCTATCCATAATTAATTTTTGTTAGCATTTGCCTGAGTTTATCATTGTCCATTGGTTTAATCACTCGGTGTCATTTTGTTTTAGGTGCTTTTTGTTTGTTTTTGTTTTTATTTTGAGACAGGGTCTCAGTCTGCCGCTCAGGCTGGAGTGCAGGGGTGCGACTACGGCTCACTGCAACCTCAACCTTCCAGGCTCAAGCGATCCTTGCACCTCAGTTTCCTCAGTAGCTGGGACTACAGGCATGCACAACCACGCCTGGCTAATTTTTTTATTTTTGTAGAGATAGGGTCTCGCTATGTTACCCAGGCTGATCTCAAACTCCTGGGCTCAAGTGATCCTCCCTCCTTGGCCTCCCAAAGTGCTGGGATTACAGGTATAAGCCATTGCCACCAGCACTTTTTGAATAGCAAATACACACACACACACACACAGACCATCTTTACTGAGCAGAAAAATTTAGATTTAATGCAATGATATAAATGGACATTACAAATGCATATATATCTGGATTACTTCTGCCATCATATTTTTATATTTACCATGTTTTTTCATTTTTTAGTCTTCTGTCTCAATAAATTTCATCAAATTGCCTTTGTTACTTCTGTCTCTATGCAAATGATTTCTTATACATCTTTTTCCTTTTTTCTTATGATCCAGTTTTTGAAATATTTTTCTACAAATAAGTAATGCATGTGATGCATATCTACAAGAATTTTAAGCATCCATTTTTTCCCACCAGTCACATGAAGGAATGGAACGTTACCCTTAACATTAAAGTTTCCTGTATTTGTCTTCCCTTAGAATCTCCCTTCCTCTCTGCAAAATGCAACTATTATTCCAAATTTGGAGTTGATCATTATCTTGCTTTTCATCATAGTAAATATTGTCTTTGTCTGACAACAAATTAACATCATAATTAATATCAAAATGTAGTTTTCTGTTGTTTTCTTCATTCAACAATATGATTTTAAGAATTATGCAAGTTTATTATTTTATCTGTATTCCACTGATCTTGATGTTGCATAGAATTCCACATTATGATTATGCCAAAATTTGTGTATCAGTTTACCTGCAAATGGACACTGGGTTGTTTCCAGCTTTTTGCAATTACAAAGAATGCTCTCATGACTTTTCCTGCACATTGCTCTTGGTGCCTTATTCAATAATTTCCCTAAGGTGCATATATATTTAAGGGTAGAGCTGCTATGCTTTAGGATATTCTCAGCTTCAACTCTACAAAATGCCAATTTTTTTCCAAGTAGATTATTTCAGTTTGAAGTCCACCATCAGAGTATGAGTTCCCCTCACCCTACATCCTCATTGATTTTTGATAATGTTAGACTTTTCAATGTTTGTCTATTTAGTGATTTTAAAATGTTATTTCAAGGACTGTTCTAATTCACAATTCTCTGATAACTATTGTGAGCTTAACTTTTGTACGTTTATTGGTCTTTTATATATCCCTTTTTGTGAACTGCCCTTTCACATCTTTTGATCATTTTCCTATGGGGCTATTCTTAGATGTTCTGGATATTGATCCTATGTAAATTATGTGTGATATAAATAAGTTTAGATTGTGGCTTTTTTTCCTTTAGAGTGTGTTTTGATTAAAGTTTCTAATTTTAATGTGGTCAAATTTATTCATCTTCTCTTAACATTTTTGTTTTTAAAATGTGTATGTGTGTCTTTTTAATAAATATTTTTCTACCTTGAAGTCATACAAATATTTCTTTCACATTTTCATTTAAAAGTTTTACAGTTTTGCCTTCAATACGTCGGTACTTAGTTCATCTGGAATTTATTATGATGTATATATATCCACTAATCCAGTGTCATAAATTCAAACTTATTGAATTATACATCCTTTACCCACTGGTCTTTAATGACCATTCTTCACATACAAGGGGTCCTGACACTCTTTCCATTCTATTCTATTGGCCCAGTTGTCTACTCCCTCTCTCACCAATAATAGCACATGGTCTTAAATCCAGTGGTGTATATAATATCTTCTCATGTAGTCAGGAAATTCCCCAACTTCCTCTTTATTTTCAATGGTATTTTGGCTCTTCTTGAACTTGTGTTCCTTCGTTTCATTTTAATATCATTGTGTCCAATTCTATAAAACATTTTGTTGAAATTTTTCTAGAAATAGCATGAAACTATAGATCACATTGGGGAAAACTGGCATTTTAATGATATTGATGCTTCCTAACCATGAATGTATCTCTCCATCTGTGCAGTACTTCTTCAACTTCTTTTAATGATTTTAATTTTCCCCACTAAGATCTTGCATGCCTTTCCTTTTTGAGAATTTATTCCTGATTACAGTGGACCCTTCAACAATGCGAGGGTTAGTAGCGCTGACCACCTGTGCAGTCAAAAATCTGCACATAATTTTTGACTCCTCCAAAACTTTACTAATAGCCTACTGTTGATCAGAAGTCTTACCAATAACATAAAGTTATTTAACATATATTTTATATTTTTATGTGTTATATACTGTACTCTTACAGTAAAGTAAGCTAGAGAAAAGAAAATGTTGGCCAGGTGCGGTGGCCCATGGCTGTAATTCCAGCAGTTTGGGAGGCTGAGGCAGAAGTGCTTGAGACAAGGAGTTGGAGACCAGCCTCAGCAACATAGCGAGACCCCATCTCTACAAAAAATTAAAAATTTAGCCAGGTAGGGTGGCGTGCACCTGTAGTCCCAGCTACTTGGGAGGCTGAGGTGGAGAATCGCTTGAGCCCAGGAGGTTGAAGCTACAGTGAGCCATGATAACACTGCACTCTAGCCTGGGCAACAGAGCAAGACCTTGTCTCAGAAAAGCAAAGAAAATGTTATTTAAAAAATCATAAAGAAGAGAAAATATATTTACTATTCATTAAGTGGAAGTGGAGCATCATAAAGGTCTTCATCCTCATGTCTTCATGGTGAATATGCTAAGAAGGAGGAAGGGGAGGAGAGGTTGGTCTCGCTGTCTCAAGGGTGGCAAAGGCAGAAGAAAATCATATATAAGTAGACCTGCACAGTTCAAGCCCATGTTGTTCAAAGGTCAACTGTACTGTAAGTTTGTTATATAAACCAGTTAATCACATTTCTACTTTTTTGTTTTTATAGAAAATGCAATAGATTTGTTTATATATTTAGCCAACCACTGTGCCAAACTCTTAATTCTTATGTTTTAGATTATTTTTCTCTGTAGACAATTGTATCATCTATGAATAATGAAAGTTTGCTTTATTTCATTCCTATCCTTCCAACTTTTTTTTTGGTCTGTTGTTAAAAGCCCCCCTATCCCATGCCTAAGTAATAAGTAATCTCAATATTACATTCCATCTCATATAATAAAATTTGACTTCCTAAAAGGGCTTGCTTCTTTTTAATTCAATGTCAATGCTGGAATTTCAGTTCTTAGCCTTGAAACCCTGGTGAAAAAATTCTCAGCAAGGTAAGAAGGAAAAAAATGTTCTCCCCTGCTCCTGAAGCTGGAGAGAACAATAAATGAAAACTGTTGTCATAAATGGTTATTTCTAACAATTTTTCAAACCCCTAGACTTCAAATATTTTGGACAGGACCTGACAAAATGACCCTTAATCTGTAAAACATCTGTACTTTTGACCACTCATCTTTCTTAATAATTCAGTTCTCTGGTGATAATGTTTGAGCTTAAAATCTCTATCTTCAGAAGGTAACGTGATTTGTGAATTTTCTGTCAAATCAGGAAAGAATCACTGGCATTGCCCTCTTCCCACACATGCATAGGATAAAATAGCTCTACTGGACTTTTTATTAATCAAAGAGCCCGAGAGACAGCTGAATGGCTGAACCAAGCAGAGAGTGGAAACTTGGGGAGGGTAATTCCTTGCTGGGCCTTAAAAGGAGTCCACAAGATAGGAAAAAAACGAAAAAGCCAAATAAGATGAACCTCTATTCAGGCCCCAATGAGAGGCTGCTTGACTCTGATCTTTCGTTAGCTGGCTCAAAATTTTGTTCTTAAAGAATTATTTTTACTCAAAATCAAGAACTGTTAGAAAACAAGAAAAATTATGGAGTTTTGTTGTTGATTTCCACCTCTCTACATATATATATGAAATACATATCTCCTCCCGATACACATGCACACACGCAAAAACATATTTAACTGAAACAACGGTTTCATGAAACTATAGTTACTCTCATTACCTGTGATGCAGGCAAGTATTTTCAATTGTATTTTATTCTATTTCATTCTACTTGGAAAAAAAGTCTTTTGGTCTCAACATAAATGGGTTCTGACCTGCAGTTTCAAGCCAATACGTTACAGTAAGAGTAAATGTAGGGTTTCTCCCAGTTTTATCTGGCAGTCCCAAAGTCAGGATCAGAGTAACCGATGGAGCATCATTTGTACGCTCCACGTCTGAGGAGGAGGTCTGGGAAAAGATCCAACGTGTAGGACTGGCGCAGAGGCTCAGGCCTGTAATCCCAGCACTTTAAGAGGTGGAGGCGGGAGGATAACTTGAGGTCAACAGTTCGAGACAAGCCTGGCAAACATGGTGAAACCCCGTCTCTACTAAAAATACAGAAATTATCCAGGCGTGGTGGTGCGCACCTGTAGATCCAGCTCCTCGGGAGGCTGAGGCACGAAAATCGCTTGAACGCGGGAGGCGGAGGTTGCAGTGAGACAAGATCACACCACTGCACTCCAGCCTGGGCGACAGAGCGAGACCCTGTCTCAAATAAAAAAAATAATAATAATAATCCAATGTGTCCCTAGTCTGGCTTTCAGGGTCTTAGATGAGGTTCGGAAGTGGACTTAGGAGCCTTAGGAGCGCAGCCAGTGCTGTGGATTCCCACATCCACGGGACCTGCGGTTTCGGGTTATTCCATTCAGGGATACATGACGTCCCTCATTTCTACCTACCAGTGGGCTGGTCAAGATTCTCATTTATCAAGTCAGTTGGAGTGGGCTTAAGTAAGTTCTCAGCCAAGGCTGTGGGGTCTGGAGGACCAGATATCCCGACCAAAAGCCCCCCCTCCCATTCCTTTCACACGCCTGCCGCAGAGGTGCACGGGTGCGAGTGGGGAACTGAGGCAAGAAGCAGATGGGGCGGCACCGAGAGAAGAGAAACTACGCTAGAGGAAAAGCTCGAGCTGTTACCCCTCCCAACTTCTTCCGCCTTCCGCCTTCCCCCTTCCCCCTCTTTCCCCTCTTGCCCCTCTCCAGCTTTTCTGGTCCAACCCTCTTCTGCGCCTAACACTGGCACCTCCTTTTCTTCCGGCTGATGAATAATTGTCCGCAAACCAGCCTCTCTGGGGCACTGAGGGGCGGGAAGGTTAGAAGGAGCCAGGGCTAGAGTCCTGGAAGGTGGCAGTCAGGTCGCAGGGCCACAGCAGTCACTCTGCGACTCTCTCTTCCGGTGTTTCTCCAGCGCCAAGCGGGAGAAGACGGAGCCTGGGAGCTGGGACTGGAGGAGCGGGAAGCGCAGTATCGGGACCACGGCTCTGGGACCAGGAAAAACGCAGACTCTCCAGAGTCAATGTCTACTTCAGCCAGCTCAAGGGCGCGACAACCTGGCGCCGAGCATCTCAGGCCGCCGCGGGGACCCCCCCTAAGGGACTCGGGAACACCTGCCTACCCTAGAAGAGGCGGAGAATAACCCCGTAGGGAGTTAAGCGGCCTCTGCCTACAGCGTTCCTCCCGCCTCCACGGCGCCGAGCCCTGATTGACGTTCAGCCAGGCCAATCATAGCCTGTGTCTGAGGCGCGCGGAGCTGGAGCGCCCAGGGCATGTCCGCCGATCCCAAGGAGGCAATCTGTCAGGCGCCGCCCGGGCGGCAGTATGCCTGAGGGGGTCCTCCGTGTTCGCGCCTCCCGCCGCCTGCACTGAAAGGTCTGTACCTGAGCCTGGATACTTGAACAGAGGCAGACACTGCGGCTCAAAACCCCAAGGGTAGGTACCTATTGTGCGGAGTCTCGGAACGCCTGCCTGGAAGAAGAGTTCCGGCGGCTCCCCGAACGCTTGGAGAAAGCGCTTGGATGCAGTTGCAGGGTGAGATTTGAGACGGTGATTGTGTTTTCCAGCAGGCGCTCAGGCGGGGTGGTGAAGGAGGGATACAGACCTCTAAAGATTCCTCTCTCGTTGGGGTGAGGTGGGGAACAGCAGTGACAGTAGTTCTCATCCCTGAGCCTCCTCCGGGCCGGCCCGTGGAGGAGAGAGAAGGGGAGGGAGAAGGGTTTGCCCAGGCCTTCAGACACTTTACTTTGTGGGAGATGTATGTGCTGAGTGTCCCTGCTCTGGAGGGATTGTTAAAGAATCCAGGTTCTTGGGGAGTGTCTCAGGAGAACACTCCAGGTGATATCCTTATTCTTCCTATTTTCACCGTGTTGGTTTTTTTTTGGATATAACTTGTTCCCTTTAACCCGAGGTGGCCTTGGTGTCTGGCAGCTGTTTTCTCTGCCAGGCACCACCCTCTGGGCCTCACGTCTTCATCCCTCAAGTCCGCTGCCTCTGAGCTGCTACTTAGATCTGGTCTGTTTCTACCTCTGCTGGACCAGAAGTTTGCATTAACGCCCCCACCCCATCCTGCAAGACCGGCGCTTCCAACCAAGGGCTCTCTCCTCTGAACCTAGAACCTGCTTGGAAATCGAGTATTTCCTCTATGCCCAGGTGGAGATTGATGTTTGGGTTTCACATCTCCCAACTCTGTTGGGTACTATGTCGTTTCTCAGCTTGGTTGTATGTGCCTCCATTGAGTGGACCGTATCTCCAGAATTTCTCCTAACCCTCCCAGTGTACTCCCCTGCAATCCTTTCTTTTTTTCTCCAAATCCCCCACCCCCCACCAGAAATGACTTTACCCCTGTGCCACTTATTTTGGCCTGGAGCACTAAGGAGCCATACTACACCCAATGCCAGAGGTGGAACAGAAATGAGGTTTGAAATGGGAACCAGAAGCTAATCTGTGGGAAATTCTTTTACTCCTCAGACGTGTAAAGATGTGTTGGAGACTCTCGTAAATATGTATTCAGTAATGCAGCATATACAGTGATCACCATGTATTCATTTTTTATGGGAATCAACAATTCAGAATGATCAAAAATCCCTGTGTGTAGAGACATGAATCTATAGGAATATCACACATAGTGAGCACAACTGTGAGTGAAATCCCATGTTTCATGCATCCCAGCAGTCCCAAAGGGAGCCTCCAAATGTGTACGGGATTCAGACTCCATGTAACCTGCATCTGTCTATGCACTAGCTATGTGAGCTGTTACCTCAGTCTTGATGAGGTTACTCAGGAAGTCTGGGATCTTGATTTTTGCCGGTCACTGATCACCTGGCTACAGGAAAGGAGACCTAAATCCAGAACTTAAATTTATGAACACCAGGTCTGTAGGCACTAGACCTCAGAAGTAGGTGAGTAGGTGGCTATTGGTTGGTCCCTTCTGGAGTGAGGCAGAGATACCTATGCCATATGCAACATAAAAGGTTGCCTGAGCCCCTCAGCCTGAGGTAGAGTAAGGAGGGAGAGGTGGAGAGGGACTTTCTTCTCAGACCAGGGAAATCAGAAGCCATCAGATGCCTTCAGTAGGGAATCCAGCACAAAGAGGATCATAAGTCATCTCCCCACTTCTCTATAGTCATCATAGACGTAATTGCTAACCTACCCTTCCTTGGTGCTCTGGTTAGTAGAGTGAAGTTGAGATAATATAAATGAAAAAACTGAGCAGAAAGGGAGTGAGGATACGGGGCCTCTTCAGTTTGCCTTATGGGCTTCCCACTCTAAATAGATGAGGTACACAACATTCTGGCAGTATCACACTAGGGCCAGAGTTGGTAGCTCACAGATGTACGATAGAGGATGGAAGGAGTATGCCTCTCAGGCAGGCAAGTT
This sequence comes from Homo sapiens, assembly GCF_000001405.40. Taxonomy (NCBI): domain Eukaryota; kingdom Metazoa; phylum Chordata; class Mammalia; order Primates; family Hominidae; genus Homo; species Homo sapiens. The sequence continues at coordinate 4,309,067 of NT_113891.3, forward strand.
TAGCCTGGTAGACAGAGGATGTGGCTTAAAAGTCACTGCCTACAAGACCAGTGCATGCAAGTGAGTCCCTGCTGCTGCTTGGATCAGAGGAGGTGAGGCAGAAGGCTGATGAAAACCCACCAACTGATGGTCAGTCCGAGAAGCAGTCAAGATGGAGAACTGCAAAATTAACAGCTTAAGTTTTCCAGGAGTCTCAGTGCCCAATGTCAGGTCTACCAGGGATGTCCAGCCCCTCTGGTCAGAGCCCCAGGAGCCTTGTCTGAATGTGGATCCCCTCTGCTTATTCAAAGAGACCTGGGAAGCTGAGCCAGGAACCTGGATAATGACCAGAAAGTCACCCAGACACCTGAGAAATGCCTCCCTTATATCCAAGAGATCCCTGTGTGTAGAACACATGAATCTATTGGAATATCACACACAGTGAGCAGACTCTTCTTACACTTACTAAACTCTCTTCGTAGATTTACTAAATTTTTCACCAGTGACTCAATGGAGCGAAACCAGGTCCCAGACTCGATTTAAAAAAAAAAACCACACACACACACACACAAAAAGTTCTTTAGGTGAGCATGTATGCATGTGTAAATGGTACTATACAATGGTATGATTGGATAGTCAAAGGAATATCTAACCCAAGTGTACATAAGGAGTAAATTTGGAGTCAGAGGAAGTTGGTCATTGTAGGAAAGTAACTGCTGCAAGAAAGATTTCTTAGAATGTAACTGTCTAATATGAGGCATTTATGCCTCTTTTCCTCCATGTTTCTAGTTTCTGCCTTGGGTTTGGCATTTATTGTTTATCCTGCTTCAAGTATAAGACTAGTGGTTTATTCGAGGGCCCACAACTTCCACTTCTACCCTGGCGTCACACAGATCATTTTCTCTTCTCAAGTCATTGTATTTTCACTGGTAGTAAAAGAGGATAATATCTTCATCTTCAAATAAATTAGTGGGAGGGATTCAAATTATGAGGGAAAAGAAAAATTGGTTCTTCTGCTGTAGGGAAGGGTTACTGAAAATTAAAGGACAACCTACTGAGCTGAAGAGAGCTTTGGGGTTTGGTAATTTGGGGTGTGAGGTGGATCTTCAGGAATGCCATGGGCTTCAAGACTAGTGTGTCTCTCCCTTAGTATGTTCCTCCTCAGTTTGAAAGGACTTCCTGGTAAAGGACTGAAAGAAATGTCCACTCCATCATGTCTCTGCTGACACCTAGCTTCTCTTCTCCAGTTATAAGTCCATTTTCCTACTGGGGTAACACAAGAAGGAGGAAGAATAGCTCAGGGGTCTTCCCTTCACATCTCTCCTACAAGGATTGTGAAATGTCATATGCCTCCTCCCATAGACTTAGATAGACCTAAAATTGTCAACATGTGTCCAGATAGTTGCAAAAAATATATAATTTCCAACATATTCTCCATATTAACACTTTAAAATAAAACTGTTAATCACTCATATGTTCAATTCAATCTAAATATCATAATGTTTTGACACCCATTATCATTAATTTAAAAAATATACAAACAACCTCTTTCTTAATGGTTGGAAATTTTACATTGCTCTTTTTTCCCACTTTGAATTCATATTTTTATTCTACCCCCCATGTAGAATTTTTCTTTTTCTTTTTTTTTTTTTTTTTGAGTTCTCAACCCTGGTTACATCCTAATGTAATTTTTTTCTTTGTTCTTGGAAATCTTTTATTGAGCCACCTATTCTGCTTCTTTGCAACAAAATATGTTCTTACATTGAATTTTTAATTTCTTGTTGTAAGTGTAAAAGTTATATGGGCTGGGTGCAGTGGCCCACACCTGTACTCCCAGCACTTTGTGAGGCTGAAGCAGGAGGATTACTTGAGCCCAGGAGTTCAAGACCAGCCTAGGCACATAGGGAAACCTCATCTCTACAAAAAAAAAAAAAATTACTGGACATGGTGGCTCCTGCCTGTAGTCTCAGCTACTTGGGAGGCTGAGGTAGGAGGATCACTTGAGCCCAGGAGGTCGAGGCTGCAGTGAGCCATGATCGTGCCACTGCATGCACTCTACCCTGGATGACAGAGTAAGATGCTGTCTCAAAAAAAAGTTATATGGATTAAGATAGGATTACCAACTGTTAGAGATCAAAATAATGTCAGTACAGATTGGATATGCCTTATTTGAAATGCTTGGGACCAAAAGTGTGTTGGATTTCAGATTATCTTGGATTTTAAAATATTTGTATATACATAATGAGATATCTTGAGGCCGGGACCCAAGTCTAAGCATGAAGTTCACTTATGTTTCTTATATACATTATGCACATAGCCTGAAGGTAATTTTATACCATATTTAAAATAATTTTATATGTGAAATGAAGTTGTGTTAAGTACAGTACTTACATGTGGCATCATATTGGTGCTCAAAAAGTTTCAGATTTTGGAGCATTTCAGATTTTCTGATGAGGGATGCTCAATCTGTAATACACATTTTGGTAAATAAAAGTGTAAGTTTGTAATGGTAAAATTTAACTAGAAATGCATCTCTTAATGAGATGGATAGGGACTTTATTTTCCCAATTTCATGTTGACAAATGTTACTTATTGTTAATGAATCTGGGCTGTATATTATTTCAATTAAAAAATTTTAACATGAAAGAACTAAGGAATCTTGATCATATAAATGAATGAGAAAATAAAGACTTGTTGAGGCAACTTCACCCAATTTTTAAAATTTCTTCTTAGTCGTATGCAAAACTCACATAATGGGCTATTATTAAATAATATTTTTAATAATCTGTCAGCTGACAACTCAAGTATAAGGTTCTTCTTCAATTTTGTTGAAAGCAAAGAATTAGAAACCAATTGACTTGCAAAACTATTTTTATACATACATTAGGTTCTTTCACTTTGTTTTTAGAACTATACCAAAGACTTCACAAAGTCTTATAAAATAACTAATAATTATACCTGCTGCTCTTTCCCTTAGAGATACCTTGTTCATGAATCTCAAATTAGATAAAACTAGGGTTAAAGAAAAACAACCCCCCACACACAAAATTGGAGATCAAAAATCAATAGGTTCTTAAAAAATATCTCTTCATTTTTTATGTCATCTGGAAGTGCCTTTTAAAACTATGACACAGAGATGGTGCTGTATAGTTTACAGTTCATGTGTGTGTGTGTTTAATTTCATTATTGTACAAAATTGTTAATTTTATAATCATGCATTTGATAGATGTAAAACAGTGTGTCAGCCTCCAAGCGGGAGAAATTAATCCAAAATAAATGAAGCTGGATTTCTAAAGTTTAGAGCATCACATCCAAGATTGCATTTGGGAACATTCTGTTTTGTATCCATACACAAATGAATTTCTGTTTTTAAGAACACAATTTAATCTACTTAGTGGAAATCAACAGCAAAATGAAGAGAAGGTATTAGATAATTAATAAATATAGGTTTACAGAAATTCTATTACTGACTGCTATTATGTGCATTAATTACAGCAGAATCCACAAAACATTTCCATCAAATTAAATCTTACTCTAGGAGGTATATGATAAAAATAAATAAATGAACAGAGAAATAACAGCATACTATAAACTGTTACCCAAATAGAAAAATATATTTACACTATCCAGAAATCTTTGGTAAAAGTTAATGAAAATATTTCCCCTATTAGTTAGAAGAAGTTCAAGAAAACATACATTAAAATACCTTCAATATGTGTTTGTTTTACTCCAAGATGTGATGTTGATCTGTGAGAAATTAATTTTGAGCGTTTTGCCTCCACTGCCTTGAAATAATGCAAAATAAGCAACTGAGCTGGGGGCAGTGGCTCATCCCTATAATCCCAGTGCTTTGGGAGGCCAAGGAGGGAGGATCGCTGGAGCCTGGGTGACAGAATAAGACTCTCTCTCTCTCTCTGTGTATATATATATATATTTGCAACTGAAGCACAGATGGGACACAGGTAAGTGGGAGAACTCACCAAGCTCTTTGTTAGTATTTAGAGTGTTTCATAGAAAGTTAATATTTCTTAACTTTTTTTTTTTTTTTTTTTTTTTTTTTACAAATTTAGAATATCCTAGCTCTGAGACAAAAATTGGGAACCTCAGCATGAGTTTGTCACCTGAATGAAATAAAAAAAATCACGTTGAAGGCTGGTGCAGTAACATGTGCCTGTAGTCCCAGCTACTCTGGAGGCTGAGTCAGGAGGATCACTTGAGACCAGAAGTTCAGGAATTCAAGACTGGCTTGAGCAACATAGCAAGACTTCATTTCAAAACAAACAGAAAAAAGCCACCACCTTCAGTATTTCTTGCCAAAGCAAAGGAGCCATTTGTTCTTTACGATGGTCAGGAAAGGAAGCATCAAGGTCATCAAATGAAAAATTTTCAGCATTTCAGCCTCTCTGCTCAGGGAAATATCTGAATCTAGAATATCACAACATGAGCCAAAACCGCCCCATTTCTCATGCCACATGTCACTCTTAACACAAGGTTACTCAACCTCGAGCATGGTTGGCATTTGGGGCTGAATAATTCTTTTTTGTAGGGGGCTGTCCTGGGCATTGTAGGATGCTCATGAGCTACCTCAGTCTCTACCACCCACTAGATGCCAGTAGCATTGACCCCTGATCTCTCTACCCAAGTTGTGACAACTAAAACCATCTCTGGATAATGGAGGAACCTTAAATGCATATTGCTAAGGAAAAGCCAATCTGAAAGGATTACATATTGTATGAGTCCAACTATATGGTAATCTGGAAAAGGCAAAACCATGGAGACAGTGAAAAGGTAGTGGTTACCAGTGGTCCATGGGAAGGGTTGGATGAATAGGTGGAGCACAGAGGATTTTTAAGGCAGTGAAACTATTCTGAATGATACTGTAATGGTGGATACATGTCATACCTTTGTCAAAACCAATAAAATATAACAACCAATAAAACTGCACAAAGAGTGAACCCTAATGTAAACTATGGACTTAATAATGTATCAATATTGGCTCACCAATTTTAACAAATGTACCACACTAATGCAAGATGTTACTAATAGTGGAAACTGGAGGGAAGAGGGCTTGAGGGGACATACGGGAACTCTCTGTAATTCCTGTTCAGTTTTTCTGTAACTGTTAAACTGTCCAAAAAAAGTCTGTTTTTATAAATGGAGGCATGGTTTTATATGGACTAAAATACTATGATTGCCTTTTTATTTTACACATGGTGAAATTAGAGCAGGACATATTTTAAACTCAAAATTCACAAAATTAATTTATGAAAATGTTTACCCAGATCAAGAATATTAAAGAAACTTAGATTAATATTGTTACCTTGAATTTATTTTACTGAGTAATCCTCTAAGACTCCTCTACACATTATTAATCTAGAAGGATTTTTAAAGTCTTTATGACAATTAATTATTGGTCTACAGTCAAATTGCGTATCCCCATTAACTAGAGTTATATTTTTCCATTTTCTGATCCAAAAACTTTAGGAACAGGAAATGTTTATTTTAGAAAACAAGAACACTTCTTAAGCATTTGCTGTTAACAGTTATTTTCACATGTGCTTGTACTTATTTTACACTTGTCAGAACATAGTATTTACCTTTGAACCAAGGTTTTATAATAAGCAAGCACTTTTTTTATTTAGAAGTCACATTTTCCAAGTAGAAAAATCATTAAAAATTCAGTCCTCTGAAGGCTAATTTCTTTAAATCATTTAACCTAATTGTTTAAGGTATAGATTGGAATTTTTCTCAGCACTCTCTTGAAAACAGGTGACAGTGGAACCCTGTTAGGTTCACAAATCCTAGACTTTGATTATATAGCCCAGGCTCAAATTTTTCTCGAATGTTACGAACATTCAAAGCATTAGGAGTCTTGGTTTCATTTCTTAATTTTTTTTCTTCTGGGTATATTTGAGACTCATCTTGGATTCAAATAAATTAATAATAGTCTCATGAAACCGATAAAAATGGGAGCTCCATTGAACATGAGAGACATTGATTCGTAGTTTCTAACATCCTCCAAATGAGGAGCCCATCCCTAATTTAGATGCTTCTTTCAAAGGAGGCTCCTTTCCTTCGTTATCCATAATATAGTCACACCAGTCCTGAAAAAACATGGAACAGACTCCAGATCTTTATATTTCATACTCTAAAGTCGTACAAGCCAATCTGCATTTCCTCTAGTGGAAACTGTATAGCTGGTCATCTTTCCAGGACCCTTTTATCAAGAAACAATGCAGCTTCTACATTTGTGCTGCTTCTACACCAAAACAGCTGGAATGTATATAGTATGGTTCTGGATGCTCTTGTATACCTCACTCTTCATTTCTCACCTAACCCATGTGCTATGATTTGAATGTTTCTCCCCTGCAAAACTCATGTTGAAATGTAATTGCCATGATAACAGTATTAATAGGTGGAATATTTAAGAGGTGATTAGGGTGGGATTGGTGATGTTATAAAAGGGTAAGTTCAGCCCCTTCTTGCTCTCTCTGTCACCCTTCCACCTTCCTCTGTGTGATGATGCAACAAAAAAGCCCTTCCCAGATGCCAGCATCTTGATTTTGGACTTCTCAGCCTACAGAACTATAAGCCAATAAATTTCTGTTATTTGTTATTAGTCTGTGATATTCTGTTACAGTAGCACAAAATGGACTATGACACCATGTGTTTACACAGAAAGAAAAAAATATCATACGGTAATTGCTCCTAAATATGCAGAGAATATGTTCTGATATCCTTAGTGGATGCCTGAAACTGCAGATAGTACCAAACCTTATATATACTATGTTTTTTTTCCCATACATATGCATGTTAAAGTTTATAAGTTAGGCAGAGTAAGATATGAACAATAACTAATAATGAAATAGAAACGTAACGATGTGCTGTAATAAAAGTTATGTGACTGACGCCTCTTTTTCTTCCTCTTTCTTTCAAAATATCTTAATATTTTCAAGCCATGGATAACTGAAACTGCAGAAAGTGAAACTGTAGATAAACTATTAACTCTATTTAAACAATAAAAGAATTATAATTATATTCTTGGGAAAATTAACAATTATCCAAAGTCCCTTTGCAAAGGGAAAAAAAATGCATGTATTGGAAAAAATCTCAACCACAGGGTTCCCTAAGCTTTGCAAACAACAAATAGCATCCACCTATCCATCCTCAGAGAGCAACAGTTTTACTGTTATTTAGAAAAAGCAACTATTTCAGGCTGCAGGTTGTGCACATCAGCACTTCCCAGCTCTCTACTAATATGGGAAAACTGACTATCCCTGACTTCAGTTTTTGTGAAGCTAAATGCCTGACTAGAGTTTAAACTGAGGCTAATTGGAGATCATAAAATTTTACAGCTTGCTAGAGGTGGACCACAATTTTGATTGGAAACTTTCCACCAACCAATTCTAAAAGGTGTTAATGGTGACTATTTTCTAAAACAAATCTGAAGAGTAACTAATATGATAAGACCAGAAATATATTTCTCTGGCAAGTCCCTATAAAAAGAAAGCTAGGTAATTAAATAATCTCTCAACAATATTGTTTTAGGAAACCCAATAGAGAGTTTCACAGGCCTGTTTCTTATGGGATTGCTCAATGTAGGTAAATATTATCAAACCAAAAAGTAATTTTGTAACAGAAATTCTACAGAGCCCCAATACCTTACAGAATGATGAGTACAACAGTAGAAACAAATAGAAGATAACCTAGAAAAATAAAGCGAATAACTTAATGGCGTGAGTTAGGTTAAGAAAAGCTTCCTGGAAAAAGACATCTGAATAGAATTTTAGTAGATATAGCTAGGAATTCCCAAGCAGGTAGAAGAAGGGGGACATTCCAGGCAAAGGAATCATGTGAATGCAAAGGTAGGGAGTCATGAATCAATATGTTCGGTTTTTTTGTTGTTTTTGTTTTATAAAGAGCTATAATAGGCTGGGCACAGTGGCTGTAATCCCAGCACTTTGGGAGGCTGAAGCAGGTGGATCACTTGAGCCCAGGAGTTCGAGACCAGCCTGGGCAACATGGCAAAACACTGTCTCTACAAAAACAAAAAAAATTATCCCTGTTCAGTGGTGTGCGCCTGTGGTCCCGGCTACCTGGGAGGCTGAGGCGAGAGGAGTGCTCAAGGTGGGAGGTGGAGATTACAGTGAGCAGAGATCACACCACTGCACTCCAGCCTGAGCGACAGAGAGACTCTGTCTAAAAAAAAAAAAAAAAAGCTATAATAAGATCAGCTTACTAGACAATACAGTGAAATGGGGGAAGCTAGAGAAGAGAGGTGGGCAGTGGCCTCTTATGCTACGTAAGAGATTTGACATCATAAAGTAAGTTGCCAGAGTTCTGAATGAGGGCATTAGAAATAGTAATGAACAGGAAAGCATACACTTAAGAGCTGTCTGCTGTCTGGGAGGTGGAATTTACACTGAGTACTGAGTAATAGAATGAAGGGGTTGAGGGAAAGGTAAGAATCTAGGGTGAGTGTAAATCTTCTGGTTCAGGGGATAAACAACAGGAAGTCATTGAAATCTATTGGCCTATCCGCATTTTGAAATTATTTTTACTCATGTAAGATTCTGTAACATTATATGGTCATTAGGAAATATCTGTTTACTGAATTATGGAGGTATTCGAAATGTTCAAACATTTCATGCAATATCAAAAACTCAAACTGGCTGCAGTGGCTTATGCCTGTAATCCCAGCACATTGGGAGACCAAGGCAGGAGTACTGTCTGAGCCCAGGAGTTCAAGACCAGCCTGGGCAACATGGCAAGACCCCATCTCTACAAAATTTTTTTAAATTTGCCAAGAGTGGAGTGCACATCTGTGGTCTCAGCTACTTGGAAAGCTGAGGCAGGAGGATCACTTGAGCCCATAAGGTTGAGAGCTGCATTCAGTGAGCCCTGTTCATGCCACTGCAATCCAGCCTTAACAACAGAGCAAGACCCTGTCTCAAAAAAATATTATATTCATTAATGTTGCTGCTGATATCAGAAAAAATTCTAAGTATCCCACAGTAGCAGATACAAGCTTTTCAAAATTCCAACTTCTACTTTTAAAAGCTTAAATTTTAGCACTGGCAACAAATACAACTAGTTGTTTTCCCTAAAGTGATAGTATCACTGTTTATTTTCAAGAAAATGTCTGCCAAATTCCCAAGTCTGAATAATCAATTTTCTGTCACTTTTTTTTTCCAAGTGAAAAGATGGTGTTTCCATGAAAGAAAAGAAAAAGTGGCTAATTCAGCTTGCAACTCAAACAAGTGTTTTTCCAAAAGACAACTATATTTCAGCATGCAGTAGAAGTGTTTTATGGGTACATCACATTGTGTCACAAAGAATTTTTTTAAATGTGCTTAAGGGTTGAGATTTAGTAGAAAATAATTTTTACAACTTCATCAAGGACATTATTTTAGTAAAACTGTTTTTTTTTTACTACGAATGTGTGGTGGTGAAGAATACAATGACTACTAATAAAATTTGGTGCCATTGCCTTAATTCGTGCTAAGACACCAGTCATTTTACCCACCATTGGATAAAATCCACCATTTTTGCACCATCAGTGCAAATGTTAACACAGTTAACACAGTTGTTGAGGATAAACCACCAGATTCAAAAAAGTCATATAACACTTTTAATGTTTCAGAACCCCTGTTGCCCAGAATTCACATAAAAGAAGATCATCAATGGTCAATTGATGCTGATACCTGATGAATGAAAGCAAAACAGGATGTATAGCCATCTGTAGATCAGTCCCTTTGTAAGGCTAAGGTACAATTCTTTAGATGATATATTAACTCAGTCTTTATGTTTGCAGTTAAATCTTTAATTTGACAAGTTATTGCATCATTGGAAAATGCCAGCACTATGCATTCTTGTGGTGATTTTTCATCCAGCAGGTATTCAGCAATGTCAACTGTTCAAGCCTTTATTAGTCTCTCTGTGATTGTGTGTGCTCCTCTAGCCAATACAATATGATGGCTTATCCTGTAAGAAGCTTTTAAAGAGTGTATTACATCTACATTTCGGTTATTTAATTCCTTTTTTTAATAAATTCTGAATGATTGGTCCCAAAATGATACTGCAACTTTGTTGGAACCATATAAGTGTTTGAAAATGTTTTACTGCACAAGACACAATATGATAAATTATTAACATCTATAAAGCTGAACAAAAGATCACTTTCAACATATTTTTGTTGTGTATAGTTGTGCTCAGTTTCTTTGGAATAGATTTCTCCTTTTTATGAGGAATCAGATAACTTGCTGATATGTCAATGTCATCCTTTTCAGCATCTCTAGACATAGGCAATCTAGACACCAGAAAATGTGTTTTCTCTTCTCCCTTTTTAAAGCCAACCATCCACCCTATTCAGATAAAATTTTTTAATTAAAAACATTTTTGAAAAATATATTATTGCAAAACAACAAAGTAAACATAATTTTTGTTATGTTTCTGTGTAAAAGGAAAAACTTTAGGATTTAAAAATGATTTCTTGGAAGATAATGAGATTACAGAGATTATAACAGGTATAACTGAAGATAGCTGGTAAGAGCATGGTAGAAAAGAAATAATTTCTGAAAACTACATACTTATACCGTAAACTCACTACCTTTGAAAACTCTAGAAAATACAATACACAGGCACACAATCTGTTAGGTATCAGAGAAATAGTCATCACTATTCATCACATGCCATTGTTGTCTTTGGCGAACCCTTCTGTACACTTATGAGAGTGAGAGTAAAAAAAAGGCAAATAACATCTTAATTTTATGAATATTTTTGACCTTGTTGACCCTCTAAAAGGATCCAAGGGATCTCTCCCTCCCAACATCCCCAGGAATCCTCTGATCACATTTTGAGAACTGTTGGATAAGTCAGTTAATATTGCAGGAACATAGGCTATCACCATGGGGAATAAATGAAACCAGATCTCTACCTCACACCATTACAAAAATAAATTTTAAATGAAATAAAAGGCTAAATGTGAAAAGGTAAAGGTTTAAAGCTTTGGGGGGGAAATGTAGAATAACTTTATTATCTCAAGGTAGATAGCCTAACAATACCACGTGCTGAAGCAGAAATGTGAAGAAATGGGAATTTGCATAGAATCTTGGTGGAAGGGTTAGTTTTCCCACTTATTTCAACTACTTATTTCACATATGCAGTGTTGTACAAATTTAAAGAGACAAGAATCCTACAGACAAGCAATTCTATGTTTATATGCCCTAGAGACCTGAAGACATTCTCAAATACAAAAACAAAGAAGTATGCATAAGGATGTTCATTGCAGGTTTGCTTATAATTGGTGGAAAGTCAGGGGATGCCCATCAGTGCATAAAAAAGTAAATAAAATTGTGTTGCCTTTCTACAATAAATTGTGCAACCATTAAAATAAACTAAATGTCCATATTTCACAAGGACAATTCTCACAACATAATAACAAATGATATGCACTAACTTTAAACTAGTAATTGCATCTGGTGAGGGAAAAGAAAGGTGGACCTGAAGTCAGGTGCAAACAGCACAACTGTATTTGAGTAGTGGTTGCATGACTGTTGTTCCATGTATTTTCTGTATGTTACAAATATTTACTATTAATTATAACAACATAAGATGTACTCTAACTCCTTCATGCTGCTAATTATAGAATATCTACTTTGTTGACTAAACCCTTTAGCATATATATATATATATATATATATATAGCCTATTTCTGTTAATGGTTCTTTGGATAAATAACAGTTGACTTTGTTCCTCTGCTTGGTATTTTAAAAAACCTATTAGTTTACAAATCTCTTACTAATTTTAGTTTTAATATTTGTATTGTTAAGTATTTTAAACACACAGAAAGGCAAATAAACCCCCATTACCCAAACACCCAGCTTTATTAAATCTTAGTATTTTGTCCTATTTGTTTCAATGGTTTTTTTAATAAATCAGTGACTACAATAAAATTGATACCTCTGAATCCTTCCATTTTCTTTTCACTGCCCCCAGATATAACCACCAATGTGAAGTCAGTTTTATCATTGCTATGCATGTTTTTAATATTTTTACTAAATGTTTATGAATTCTTAAACATTATGAAGCATTATGTTATAGAGTTTTTAAGTTTTATAAAATATTATCTAATACTGTTACTTTAAGAAAACCTGCAGTAACCCCTTCTGAAAAAGATTAATCACACGTAATTTGTTACATATTAAAATAACTGCTCCTAAATAGTGATGTGGCCTTGGGCAAGCTCTTTCAAGTTTCTGTGAGCTCCAGCTTTTCCTTATCTGTGTGGTAAAAGAATATGAGACTATGTCTGCGCTCTCTTTCAGATTATAAGTCTCTATAAATTATTCAACTCAAATGTCCCCATGGGTTTACTTAAAGGATAGTTTTGTCCACTTATGAACAACTGTGTTTCATCAAAATCAGAATTTACTGAATGTTCATTCATTTTAACTTTTTTAAGTGGTTTGTCACAGAATTCCTTTCAATGCTGAGATTTTCAAATATATTGCAACCATCGAGAGGACATTCTTGAATATTCACTATAAGCCTGATGCTATGCGAGGTGCCAGAGATACAAGAGGGAACTTGACAGGTACAGTCTGTCTCCCACAAAGCTTATGGCTGAGTTTTTAAAATGTAATTCAAGCTTTTCAGGAATACAGTCAATCCATAAAGCAATAGGGAGAAACATTTCCAATATCAAGAGGCACTGATGAATGAATGTGTGAATAACTAAATTTTGTAACTTTTTTTGTAGACATAAAAATAAGCATTCACTGTGTCATCCTTAAATAAAATCATTGGCAGAGTGTAGCCTATAAATGTCTGGAAATACCTCACCAAAGGCTAGAAGACATTTTGCCAGAAGGAAGTAATGTTTACATTTCTATATTTTGTTTCTTTTTCCTCTACATATGCATTTTGTCCTATGTCTATGTCTCCTTCTTAATAGGCTTTGACATGAACCCAAAGCAAATGTTTCCTATTATTTTATCTATTTATTGAATATACATTGTTTTCTGAATGCTATTCCTTTCATTTACCAGTTCTAGTAGTCTGGGTTTGCTCTTATTTCTCTTTACTCTAAAATGGTTTTTTTAATCTGTAACACAGAACTTAGTGCTTGGTTATATATAGGTAGGCATTGTTTTCTAAAAACACTGGTTTACAAAATGGAATGTGCACACTACAGGGAATGTGCAAATGATCCTTGAGGATACAGGAAGGAAGTGTTAAAGTTTCTATTTATTTTGGTAACTTATAAACTTTCTATTTGTTACAGTGTGAGTTCTGGTGTATATAGTCAAGCCATATGCTAGTACATGGGATAATGTATAAATAAACATGTAAGTGTCGATAAGTACTCAACTCTTTTTTACTGAGAGGGCTTTAGGCTTTTTTTTTTTTTAAGTTTCAATACCACAGTTCAAATGTGTGTGTTGGTCTTATCTATGTAATTGTTTTGTGTGCTCTTTCAGGGAGTGGTGGTGTCTTGTGTCTCTTACTCTGTCCAAAGGACCTTGTATGTATAAATGCGAATAAATATTTATTGAACTCCACTAATAAATGATTCCATTCTTCAGACCATCAAACTAAGGACTACGCTTTGAACATGCTTTGGAAACATTTTCATTAAAGCCAAAATGTCTCAGAAATGTTTAATTAAAAAATAAAATTGGCCGGGCGCAGTGGCTCACGCCTGTAATCCCAGCACTTTGGGAGACCGAGGCTGGCAGATCACAAGGTCAGGAGTTTGGGACCAGCCTGGCCAATATGGTGAAACCCCGTCTCTACTAAAAATACAAAAATTAGCCAGGCATAGTGGCAGGCGCCTGTAGTCCCAGCTACTCGAGAGGCTGAGGCAGGAGAATCGCTTGAACCCAGGAGGTGGAGGTTGCAGTGAGCCGAGATCACACCACTGCACTCCAGCCTGGGAAACAGAGTGAGGCTCTGTCTCAAACAAAATAAATAAATAAAATTAAAAGGGAAGACAAAGATATTTTTCTTTGTACCAGTAGAAGGAAGATTTAATGAAAAATAAACTGCAATAGTAAATTTAGAAGTAATACTGAAAGAGCAACTGGGAAGTCTTAGATGAAGTTGTCACCAGCTTCTTCAAAGCAATGAAATATCCAGTTGTCCCATTTAATTCTCATTTGGTATAATTTTTCATTGATAAGAATAATTCATAATTAACCAGCTTACATATGCTTCTTAAATTTTAGTGTACATAAGAATTGCTAAGAAGTAGGCTTAAATGCAAATTCTCAGGCTCCAGCCCAGGGATCCTAATTCAGCAGTTCTAGAGGTTATTCAGAAATCTGCATTTTCATGAAGTACCCTGGATGATTCTAATGGATGTTGTCTGTAACACAACTTTCAGATAAATGTCCTGTATAAGCATATTCTATCTTGCCATTAGCCATGAGAATTTGATTAAAGAAACAAATCTAAGAACCCAACTACTAGTCTATTACTCCAACCATTCCTTCTTGCCAACTGTGATCAGAAGTATGAAAAAAACAGCCCATGTTCTTCCTTAGAGGAAGACCATATCCCAACTGTGAAATGGTCCAGACATCTTGGAACTGAATATGGATTGTGATCCTGATACCCCCAACCCTCACTGCTCTTCATATACCAGCTGAGCATTTCATAATATTTATTCGATAAACCTTTCCTTGGTCCTGAGCCTCCTTGCTTCCCGACCTACTCCATGTAGCCTGGCTACTCTTATTTCCATGAGGTGGGCTGTCTTCTGGCCCTCCCATCATCCCCAACAGATGTGAACATGAGGGACCTTGGAGCAGGGGTAGATACTCCAGTGCAAAAATAGTGGACACTCACCTCTTCTAAGACCTTTTATCAATCATTCTCTAAACACCTCTCAAACATGTCCTTCCCTTGTATTTCCTCTTTCAGTGGATTAAACCACTGTCCACTCAACTGTCTGAGTGAGAAGATTGGATTCAGTGAGTTTTCAGGTCCTACCAAGTCTATTTCAAAGTGTCATTTCAATGATTTTATTTCCTTTGCTTCTAAATAGTGGCATACATGGATATCAAGTACTGTAGTGGGTTCAAAATTGGAGAAATGGATTTTGAAGTCATCTTTTTGCAGGTACAAGAGAAGCCATATTGAGTCAGTCAGAGAAGAGAAGACAGGAAAAGTAGAATAAAATCTTTAGAATATTCAAAGCATTACACAAATGTAATGTTTTATTATTAACTGTGACTTCATTTTGGTTCCAATTCTGTCCAGAGAAATTTGAATGCTGGAGTTTTGGGAATTTTAAGGCTTTGAGCAAGGAACATTTTATGATCCTCTGCTTACCACTTGTTTATTTACAACAGAATTTCAGCAATGAAGAGAAAGTTATTTTTGTAGGAAAAAAAATCCTACAATGCTTACTTCATACAAATTAGTTGTGCCTTGGGTTCAGATTAACATACACACTCAAAAGACTTGGTGGGCTGTTATACGGCAACTTATTTATTTAGCTTTGTAGAGGAATATTGGATATGGAAACATAGCTTGTCAGCCTGACAGCATTAGACATCTTCATCAGGAGTCTTTATGTATTCTAGATGCTGATTCTTAACCCTCTCATCTCATGGGAATATGCATGGTCATAGTAGACAAGACCACAGGAGTAGGGGAGAGGCACGGGGGAGCCATTCTAGGATGGAAGAATCTCTCACATGACAGGAACCACATCTTATACCAACCCATGAGTGAGGATTCCAAGAAAACAGGCATATTCGGATTCAAGAAACACACCATAACAGAGTCCAGGGCCTACATTTCCCAACAGGTTTTCATACGGGTCTGGTCATATAGGTCCACCAAGTCTAAATGCCTGCCCGCAGTCTGCCCAGCATAGATGTAGTTCACCAACCAGGGGTCATTTCCACACTTATAAATAAATAAATAAATAAATAAATGTGATTTTTTAAAATACAGCTGACATTTCACATTTATCCAAACAGTACATTTCAAAGAAACAGTAAGTATAAGGTAAACTGGAGTTCATCTTCCCATGGGAAAAAAGAGCTTAAAACTGTTGTTAACCCTTTGACCTACCAACAAACATTGCTTACTCCCACTCAAGAGCTCATTCCAGTTAGGACACAACCTGGTGACAGCCCTTCCTGGTAGCAACTACTGAGCATTGCAAGGAGAAGAAATTGGGATGGGTGCCTATAAAGAGAAAAACTCTCTTTTTAACCTTCAAATCTAAAGAAAATCAATCCAACAAGCATTTGCTGCAAACCTAGTGCCAAGCACTGCCACATAGGAAGATGCATCTGCCATCTGTCAAGACAGACTGAGGGAGGAATGGGGGTAGAGACCAATTAGAAAACAGGAAAAAACGAGACCAGCTGGGGACAGCTGCAGCAAAGCACCCTGAGGATACTAAACACCCTCAGTATTTAGCTAGGATGGCCTAAAAGAGCTAATCTGAAAGAATTCATAAATCATATGGATGCTTCTATTATAAATTAGAGGAAAGGCAGATTTATACATCATGAAGCCTATAAGGTAAATATTATCTAGTAGTATGAACATAGCTTCACCACACAGCCTCCTAAAAATCTATGGATACTTTCCTGAAAGTACCCCTGAAGGCATTCCTCCTGGATTCTGTGAAGTAAATTAGCCCTCAAGGTGTACCCAGCAAGGGCTCAATAGAGTGCACAATAAATGCTCAACACACATCTATCTTCCTCCCCTCCCACTATCCAAGCTTCATGCCTACCTCATGAATCTCCAAGTTCCTTTCTCTCCTGTCCCTGGAGCATAGATGAATCAGAATCCCTGCTTGCCACCCCATTGGACACCTTGAAAAGAGACCCTTGGAATGGCTATGACAACACATCAGTCCTGGCTACGAGTGAAAGACCCTGGGCATCAGGAAGCCTCAGGCCATGAGCTATTGAATGTCGCTTGTCACTTTGCCCTTTGAGGACCAGAAATAAAGCTTCCAGTTCCTGTGAAATGGCAAATAGGTAGGTTCAGGCTTCCAGCTCCCTCACCCAAAATTAATTTTTGTAAAGGTAGAGAAGCAAAAGGAAGCAAGGATCTGGGGAGCTGGCAACACCAGAAATAAGTATAAAGTGTTTTTATATTTGCCAGGAGAGACAGAACTGCTGTCTTGAGCTGGTGTGCGTAGAGAATGGGCAGGGCTGCATCCTGGGAGATAAGCCACAGTGGGAGAACAGGCTGCAGGAAGACTTTTTAATTTCTGCACTATGTCCTTCCCAATCGGCTTGGGACAATTGTTGCCTCCCCTTCATACATAAACAGGCTGCAACAGGCCAGGCTACTTGTATCTTCAAGGTAAATCAGTAGGGAACAGATGAAACTAGGGGTGAGCTTTTGGGTATTCTCTTCTCCACTACTCACGACCACTGCCCCAACTCCCAGCGCTGGTGAATCCCAACGTGGAGCACCTGCCTACTCCCAACTGTGCTTTTCCTAGGAGTTGCCTGAAAGAGTAGTGGCAAATGGGGAGATCCACAGTGTTTCTGGGCTCTCTACCAGGGCTGGATCTGGAGGGACACAGACCAGTATTTGACTTTATCTCTTCCCCATTACACATTACCCCACAGACTAGCTGGTGCCCTCCTGGAGACGTGAGCTCACAGATCAACATAATGATATGGCTAAGGAACAAAAAAATTGCAAAACATAGACAACAAATTAACACCATATACTATCTAATGCAGAATTGTGAAGAAGATGAACCAAGAACTTGAAACAAAATGGCAAATATACTTAAGATAATAGAAGATACCAGCAACATAAAGCAAAACCAGTAACTCACAAAAACAAAGACAGAATATTAGATGTTAAAACTATAACAGTAGAAGTTGTAAATACTATAGATTAGACAAGTACCAGGATAAATATAGCTGAAGAATAATTTGTGAGGTAAAAGATAAGATGAAAGATAATCCCAGAAGACAGTAGGAAAGAATAAAGACATCAAAAATATAAAAGAAAGTTCAGCAAAATGTATGCTAGAAATAGAAGTATCAACATCTGAATCATAAGAGAACTCACAGTGAGAGGAAAAAAATATATACGTGAGAAAATAATGACTAATAAATTTACAATTTTTTTTTAATTATGAAAGACCTCAGAGAAAAGGGTTCAAAGGATACTTAACAGGAGCTTCAGAAAAATCCACACCTATGCTCGTTATATTGAGACAAATAAATATTTTTAAAACTTAGAAAGAAGAGTTTATCAACTGGGCACAGTGGCTCACGCCTATAATCCCAGCACTTTGGGACTTTGGGAGGTAGAGGCGGGTGGATCACTTGCGGACAGGAGTTCGAGACCAGCCTGGCCAATATGGTGAAACCCTGTGTCTACTAAAAATACAAAAATTAGCCCCGCCTGGTGGCGTGTGCCTGTAGTCCCAGCTACTCGGGAGGCTGAGGCAAACCCGGGAGGTGGAGGTTCCAGTGGGTGACAGAGTGATACCCTATCAGAAAAAAAAAAAAAAAAAAGAACAGTTTACAAAGGAGTAAGATCAGATTGATGTCAGACTTTTCAACAGCAATGAATGCAAGAATAAAATAAAATAATATTTTTATAGTAGTGAAGGAAAATAAACTGGAGTTTAGAACTTTATATGTATCAAAATTGCTATTCAAGTGAGATGGCATAACAAATTTATTATCATGCAAAGAATCCAAAGGCTCATATTTAAAACACTCTTGGACGTGGTAAAAAAAAAAAAAAAAAACACTCTTAGAGGAAGTACACAAAAAGAGAATCAAATCAAGAAATTTACAACAAATATAAGGGTGATTTGTCAACAAATCCAGGACCATATTTTTAAAAGAGGGTAAATGAATGTGTGTGTGTGTAATATCTACTTGGTAGGAGAATTGGCATTAGAGGGAGGGAAGTAGAAAATCAAAAGAACATAAGAGTATGCTAAAGAACTTAGGAGGCAAGATATAAATATTAAGGTAGTTAAGACATTTTAAAAGGTAAATGCTCACTGTGTTAAATTAAAGGCAACCACCATAAGAACAGAATCAGTATGTATAACTTTTAATACAGCAGAAAAAAATCAGTCTATCAAATGGAAAGCAAGAAAAGGGAAGAAACATTGTACAATAAAAACAGAATGTGAAATGAGTTGCAAAAGTAAATCTTTACTTCAGCAGTTACCAATAAAAGAACAAAGGCTCTAATAATGGAGGAAAAAGGGAACCAAATCATGTGTGATTTATAACAAATACTCTTTTTTAACTTTTAAGTTCAGGGGTAAATGTGCAGGTTTGTTTCATAGGTAAACTTGTGTCAGGGAGGTTTGTTGTACAGATTATTTCATTACCCAGGTATTAAGCCTAGTATACATTAGTTATTTTTCCTGATCCTCTCCCTCCTCCCACCTCCACCCTCCAATAGGCCCATGTGTGCAGTTCCCCTCTGTGTGTCCATGTGTTTTCACAATTTACCTCCCACTTATAAGTCAAAACATCTGGCATTTGATTTTCTCTTCCTACATTATTTTGCCAAGGATAATGGCCTCCAGCTCCATCCATGTCCCTGCAGAGGACATGATCTCATTCTTATTTATATCTGCATAGTATTCCATGGTGTATGTGTATCACGTTTTCTTTATCCAGTCTATCATTAGTGGGCATTTAGGTTGATTCCAAGTCTTTGATATTGTGAATAGTGCTACAGTGAACATATGTGTTCATGTGTCTTTATAATAGAATGATTTATATTCCTTTGTGTATGTTCCCAGTAATGGGATTGCTGGGTCAAATGGTATTTCTGTCTTTGGGTCTTTGAGGAATTGCCACACTGTCTTCCACAATGGTTGAACTAATTTACACTCCCACCAACGGTGTAAAAACGTTCATTTTTCTCCATAACCTAGCCAGCATCTGTTATTTTTTGACTTTGTAATAGTAGCCATTCTGACTGATGTGAGATGGTATCTCATTGTGGTTTTGACTTTCATTTCTCTAATGATCAGTGATGTTGAGCTTTTTTTCATATACGTGTTGGCTGCATGTATGTCTTCTTCTGAAAAGTGTTCATGTCCTTTGCCCACTTTTTAATGGTTTTTTTTTCTTGTAAATTTATTTAAGGTCCTTATAGATGCTGGATATTATACCTTTGTTGGATGCATAGTTTGCAAAATTTTCTCCCATTCTGTAGGTTGTCTGTCCACTCTGTTGATAGTTTCCTTTTTAGTGCAGAAGCTCTTTAGTTTAACTAGATCCTGTTGGTCAGTTTTGCTTTTGTTGCAATTGTTTTTGGCATCTTTGTCATGAAATCTTTGCCAGTATATCCTGAATGGTATTGCCTAGGTTGTCTTCCAGGATTTTTATAATTTTGAGTTTTATATTTAAGTCTTTAATCCATCTTGAGTTAAGGTGGATGGTGTAAGGAAGGGATGCAGTTTCAATCTTCTGCATATGGCTACCCAGTTTTCCCAGCACCATTTATTGAATAGAAAATACTTTCCCCATTGCTTGTTTTTGTCAGATTTGTTGAAGATCAGACAGTCATAGGTGTAGTTTTATTTCTGTGTTCTTTATTCTGTTCCATTGGTCTATGTGTCTGTTCTTGTACCAGTGCCATGTTGTTTTGGTTACTATAGCCCTGTATAGTTTGAAGTTGGGTAGTGTGATACTGCTAACGTTGTTCTTTTTGCTTCAGATTGCCTTGGCTATTCTGGCCCTTTTTTGTTTCACATGCATTTTTAAATAGTTTTTCTAGCTCTGGCCGGGCACGGTGCCTCAGGCCTGTAATCCCACCACTTTGGGAGGCCGAGGCAGGGGGAATCACTTGAGGCCAGGAGTTTGAGACCAGCCTGGCCAACATGGCGAAACCATGTCTCTACTAAAAATACAAAATTAGCTGGGCATGGTGGCGCATGCCTGTAATATCCCAGCTACTCGGGAGACTGAGGCAGGAGAATCGCTTGAACCTGGGAGACAGAGGTTGTGGTAAGCCGAGATCGCACCATTGCACACTAGCCTGGGCAACAAGAGCAAAAACTCCGTCTCAAAAAAATAATAATAATAATAATAGTTTTTCTAGCTCTGTGAAGTATCTCAATGGTAGTTTAATAAGAAGAGTATTGAATCTATAAATTGTTTTGGGCAGTATGGCCATTTTAATGATATTGATTCCTCTTATCCATGAGCATGAGATGTTTTTCCATTTGTTTGTGTCATCTCTGATTTCTTTGAACGGTGGTTTGTAGTTCTCCTTGTAGATATCTTTCACCTCCCCAGTTAGCTATATTCCTAGGTATTTTATTTTTTTTGTGACAATTGTGAACGGGAGTTCATTCCTGATTTGGCTCTCAGCTTGACTGTTGTTTGGTGTATAGGAATACTAGTAATTTTTGCACATTCATTTTGTATTCTGATATTTTGCTGAAGTTGTTTATCAGCTTAAGAAGCTTTTGGGCTGAGACAATGGGGTTTTCTAGATATAGGATCATGTCATCTACAAACAGGGATAGTTTATCTTTCTCTCTTCCTATTTGGACGTCTTTATTTGTTTCTTTTGCCCAATTGCCCCAGCCAGGACTTCCAACGCTATGTTGAGTAGGAGTGGTGAGAGAGGGCATCCTTGTCTTGTGCTGGTTTTTAAGGGGAATGCTTCCACCTTTTGCTCATTCAGCAAGATGTTGGCTGTGGGTTTGTCATATATGGCTCTTATTATTTTTGAGGTATATTCCTTCAATACCTAGTTTATTGAAAGTTTTTAATATGAATGCATATGGCAAATCCTCTTAAAGCAGAAAGATATGTAAAGATTGAAATTTAAAAACAGGGAAAAAAGATTTACCTGGTGGCAAATATGACACAAAAGAAAGTTGGGCAACAGTCTCAATATGTAACAAAATAGAATTGATTTTTTTTTGGGAGGGGGACAGAGTCTTCCTCTGTCTCCCAGGCTGGAGTGCAATGGCACAATCTCGGCTCACTGCAACCTCTGCCTCCTGGGTTCAAGTGATTCGCCTGTCTCAGCCTCCCGAGTAGCTGGGATTACAGGTGTGCCACCATGCCCAGCTAATTTTTTGTATTTTTAGTAGAAACAGGGTTTCACCATGCTAGCCAGGCTGGTCTTGAACTTCTGACCTCAGGTGATATACCCGCCTCAGCCTCCCAAAGTGCTAGGATTACAGGCATGAGCTACCGTGCCCGGCCTATGCACTTTATTTATTTATTTATTTATTTATTTATTTATTTATTTTTGAGACAGAGTTTCACTCTTGTTGCCCAGGCTGGAGTGCAATGGTGCGATCCCGGTACACTGCAGCCTCTGCCTCCTGGATTCAACCGATTCTCCCTACTCAGCCTCCCGAGTAGCTGGGATTACAGGCATGTGCCACCATGCTCGGCTACTTTTGTATTTTTAGTAGAGTTGGGGTTTCATCATGTTGGTTAGGCTGGTCTTGAACTCCTGACCTCAGGTGATCCACCTGCCTCAGCCTCCCAAAGTGCTAAGATTACAAGCGTGAGCCACGACGTCCAGCCTGCACTTTATTTTTAACCTTAAATTCTATTTTGGGCCAGGTGCAGTGGTTCATGCCTGTAATCCCAGCATTTCGGGAGGCTGAGGAGGACGGATTACCTGAGGTCAGGAGTTCGAGATCAGCCTGGCTAACATGGTGAAACGCCATCTCTACTAAAAATACAAAAAGATTAGCCGGTCATGGTGGCACGCACCTGTAATCCCAGCTACTCGGGAGGCTGAGGCAGAAGAATCGCTTGAACCTGGGAGATGGAGGTTGCAGTGAGCCAAGACTGTGCCACTGCACTCCAGCCTGGGCAATAAGAACGAAACTCCATCTCAAAAAAAAATAAAAATAAAAAAAATAAAGTGCATAAAGGACAAAAGAAAAGATGTTCATATAACTTTTAAAGAAACAAGAAGATATAGTAATCATAAATATATATAAACTCAACAATACAGCCTCACAATTTATAAAGCAACAAGTGAAAGAACTACAGTTAGAAGTTGAGTTTTTTAAAAATACATTTGATGATTTTTACAAACCCTCTCTCAAAAACTGGTAGATAAACTAGACCAAAAAGAAAAAAAAAAAAAAAGCAGAGTTCTTGAAGGGCAAAATAATAAAATTATATAAGTTCAAGCTAATTAATAAAACCTGAATAAATAAGAAACTGATAGACTCTCTCACATTAAAAATGACCAAAGAGACATGAAAACTTACTGAAATGCTTGATTCTGGATTGCAGGACAAGAGACTGGGAGTGGCTGGAGTTATAAGGTTCTTTATTGGGAAAACTGGTAAAATTTGAATATGTACTGTGGATTAGCTAATATTATATCCAAGTTAAATTTTCTTAATATGACTGTTTTTCTGTGTTTATGTAAGAGAACAGCCTTGTTCTTAGGAAATACATTGAAATATTTAGCAGGAAAGGGGCATGTGTGTATGTAACTCCAGACTTCCTAACCATTTTAGAGTAAACCATTTTTTCTCTCTAATGTTTTTTCATAACCATTTTAGAGTAAGTCCCTAAAATGGACTTAGGAATATTAATGTTTTTTAGGAAAAAAACAGAGAGGGAAGCAGAGACAGAGAGAAAAAGAAAGCAAATATGACAAAATGTTGCAAATCATTGAATTTGGACAAGTGTACGTAAGAATTCTTTGTACTACTCTTCTAAAATTACTTCAAAATAAAAAGTTTTTAAATGTCACAAGTAACCTGTGAGTTAAAAGAAAAATATAAAGAATATGTAGAATTAAATAAAAATTAAAACACTGCATATCAAAATGTGTTAGATATGATTAAAGCAGAACTTAGAAGGAAATTTTTTACCTTTAAATACACTTACTAGGAAACACAAAAAAAGACCAAAATCAATAAGCTGAGTGTTCAACTCAAACGCTAGGTAAAGAGGAAGAGAATACACCCAAAGGAGGAAGGAAATAGTAAAGATAGTCATAAATGAAATAGAGAACTAAAAACAATAAAATAGATGAACAAAAACAAAAGCTGCCCTTTGAAAAGACATTTCTATTTATTATTCCAGGAAACAGAATGAAGAACAAAATCTGCCTAGGTTATTGTTTAGAGAAATTTTTATTACAAAAACAAACAAGGAAATACAAGAAAGGCAAGTTTTACGTCCATGCTTTATAAAAGTAAATACAACAACCCAAGTAAAATATTAACTAAATAACACCAACAGTAAATGTGTAACTATAGGATGAACAAATAGGGTTTATCCCAGGAATGCAAAGATGTTTCACATTTTAAAAATCTCTCAATATAATTCACTATATTAGGAGATTAAGAAGGAAAATACAATGAAATGAGTCAATTCTGATAAACTATTTTTTAAATGTAAAAAACCATTTATGTTTAAAAAATAAACTTTTAGAAAACCAGGAATAAAAGGAAACCTACTAATTTAGTAAAGGTTGACAGCAAAGACTTCTGGAAAAATTGAGTAGACATACTTTTTCCTATTCATCTCACTAAGTACAACTAAAAACTCTGGACATTATATATATATAAAACAAACATAAGAAGACTCTAAAAGGTGGAAATGAGAAGGCAGAACAGCTAGAATCTCAGGATCTGAGGAATGACATACTAGTGAGTTCCCTGGGCTTTCTTTTTGCCACATATATGCTGGGCTTGGAGCTGAAGAAAGTGACAATTTGGAAAGACCAACTGGCACAAACAAACAAACAAACAGAAAAAGCCCCAACAACACTTACAACAAAAGCCCTGATATCACTAGCCAAAAGACCAAGACAGAGGCAGGCAAGCCTGTCAAGCCTTAGAAAGTAACTGTTCAGTTCTAGGCAAATACCATAGCAATAACTGTGACTCTACTGCCATTCACACCAGAAAGACCAAGTGGGAGACCTAAACTTTCACCCTCTTGAAGCTGTAACAAGGTGCTCCAACATCACTCTGCAGTGGTATCCAAGAAGACCAATTAGGAAGCTAAGAATTTCATTTCTGCAAGCCAGTAATGGGGCCCCCTCTCTAAGATGTCAATGGAGATGGGGGCGGGGGGAGAACACCTGCCCAGAAATAATGAAAATGGCTAAAAGAAGTTATCTAAACAGAATGGAAATGATAAAATAGGAACCTTGGAACATCAAGGAAGAAGATAGAACAAGGTAAGCAAATAGATGGGTAAATACAATAAATTTTTCTTCTCCTCTTAAGTTTTCTAAAGTATGTTTGATGGTTGAAGCCAAAATTATAACACTGATGTGGTTCTAAATGTATGTAGAGGAAACATTTAAGACAATCGTATTTTCAGTGAGGAGGATAAAGGGATGGGACATAAATTAGGAAGGTAAGATTTTTATTATTTACTCAAAATGGTAAATGATGACTCCAGCAGACTGTGACAAGTTACATGTATATGTAATACTTAAAGCAACCACTTAAAAGTTATGCATCAATACACTCAAAAACACTGTAGATAAATAAAACTGGCGTTCTAAAAAATGCCCAAGTAAGCCACAGAAAGTCAGAAAAGAGTAAACAGAGATGAAAACTGGAGAGAACAAACAAAATAAATGAAAAACAATTAAGCCCTTCATGTTACTACAGGTTGGATTGTGTCCCACAGAATCCCATGTTGAAGCCCTAACCACCAATGGGACTATATTTGGAGATAGGGCCTTTTACAGAAGTAATTCAGGTTAAATGAATTCATAAGGGTAGGGCCATGATTCAATAGGATTAATTCAATAGGAAGAGAAACCAGGGTATGCTCTCTTGCTCTTTCTCCCTCCCAGCCTTCCTCTCTCTTTCTCTCTCACTCTGCCCCCAGAAGATGGCAACTCTCTCTATAAGCCAGGAAGAGCCCTTACCAGAAGCTGACCATGCTGGCGCCTTGATCTCAGACTTCCAACCTCCAGAACTGTGAGAGAATATATTTCTGTTGTTTAAGCCACCTAGTTTTATTTTGTTATGGCACCCCAAGCTAATACATATATCAATAATTACATTATTCCTAATACAAAGAAATGATAAATTCTTGAGGTGGTAGATGCCCCAATTACTCTGATTTGGTCATTGCACATTGTATGCCTGTAACTAACATCACATGTACCTCACTAATATATACAACGGTTGTGTACCCATAATAATTAAACATAAAAATTAAGAAAAAAAATTACACTAAATGCAAATGATCTAAATACCTCAATTAAGAAAC
Source organism: Homo sapiens (assembly GCF_000001405.40). NCBI lineage: Eukaryota > Metazoa > Chordata > Mammalia > Primates > Hominidae > Homo > Homo sapiens. Next base: position 4,335,271 of record NT_113891.3, read on the forward strand.
CCAGTTCAGGCCAGGCATGGTGGCTTACACCTGTAAACCCAGCACTCTACAAAAAAAAACAAACAAACAAAAAACAAAAACAAAAACAAAAAAAAACCCAGTTCAAATATAACAATATAGGCCAGGCTCAGTGGCTCTCAGCACTTTGGGAGGCTAAGCCAGGTGGATAATTTGAGGTAGGTCAGGAGTTCGAGACCAGCCTGGCCTACATGGTGAAACCCCGTCTCTACTAAAATACAAAAATTAGCCAGGCATGGTGGTGTGCACCTGTGGTCCCAGCTACTCAGGAGGCTGAGGCAGGAGAATCGCTTGACCCTGGAAGACAGAGGTTGCCGTGAGCAGAGATTGTGCCGCTGCACTCCAGCCTAGGTGACAAGATGAGACTTTGTCTCAAAAAAAACACAAAACAAACAAAAACAACAATAAAACCACACAAATATAACAACATAGGCAGGTTAAAAGTAAAAGGATGGAAAAAGACACAACATGTTTTCCTTAATTAGAGGAATACAGGAGTGAGTGTACTACTCTCAGATAAGGTAAACTTCAGAGCCAAAACAAAAAAAATTACCAGAGAAAGATAAGGACGTTTTATAATAATAGAAGGGTCAGTCTATCAAGAAGACATTGCAGTCAGAAATGTTTATGCCCAAAACACCAGAGCTGTAAAATATGTGAAGCAAAAACTGACGGAACTGAAAGAAAAAATAGAAAATCCACAATTATAATTGGAGACATCAACACAACTCTCACAACTATTAATAAAACTAGAAAGAAGGCAGGGAGTGGTGGCTCAGGCCTGTAATCCCAGCACTTTGGGAGGCCGAGGGGGGTGGATCACGAGGTCAGGAGATCGAGACCATCCTGGCTAACACGGTGAAACCCCGACTCTACTAAAAATACAAAAAATTAGCTGGGCGTGGTGGCGGGCGCCTGTAGTCCCAGATACTCGGGAGGCTGAGGCAGGAGAATGGCGTGAACCTGGGGACGGAGCTTTCAGTGAGCTGAGATCCTGCCACTGCACTCCAGCAGCCTGGGGGACAGAGCAAGACTCTGTCTCAAAAAAAATAAAAATAAAAAAATAAAAACTAGAAAGAAAATCAGCAAAGATGTAGAAGAGCTCAATAACACCATCAACCAACAGGATCAAATCCACATTTACAGGACACTCCACCCATCAATAGCAGAATACACATTGGCTCTTTTTTGTTGTTTTTCTTTTCCGGTTTTACTAGGTGCAAGGGGTACATATGCAGGTTTGTTACATGGGTAAATTGCGTGTCACAAGGGTTTGGTGTACAGATAATTTTAAAAGAATTTAAATTATACAAACTTTTCTCTGACTACAATGGAATCAAATTAGAAATCAATAACGGAAAGACAGCAGAGGAAAAATCATCAGCATAATACCCGATAGGTGCTTTTTCAATCATCACTGTCCTCCCACCCTCCACCCTCAAATAGGCCCCAGTGTCTATTTTTCCCATCTTTGTGTCCATGTGTATGCAATTAGCTGGTTTTTTGCTCCTGCGGTAATTTGTTTAGGATTATGGCCTCCAGTTCCATCTATGTTGCTGCAAAGGCCATGATCCCATTTTTTATAGCTGTGTAGTATTTCATGGTGTATATGTACCACATCTTCTTTATCCAGTGCACTGTTGATGAGCACTGGATAAAGAAATCTAGGTTCATTCCATGTCTTTGCTAACGTGAATAGCAGTGTGATGAACATGCATGTGCATGTGTCTTTATGACAGAACAATTTATATTCTTTTAGGTATATACCCAACAATGGAATTGCTGGGTTGTATGGGAATTTTGCTTTAAGTTCTTTGAGAAATCTCCAGACTGCTTTCCACAGTGCCTGAACTAATTTACATTACCCCCAATAGTGTACAAGTGTTCCTTTTTCTCCACAACCTTGTTAGCACCTGTTGTTTTTGACTTTTTAACAATAGCCATTCTGACTGGGGTGAGATGGTGTCTCATCATTGTTTTGATTTGCATTTCCCTAATGATTAGTTATACTGAGCATTTTTTTCACATGCTTGTTGGCCGCACAGAATATACATTCTTTTGAAGTGTCCATGCAACATATACCAAGTTGGACTATATCCAGGGCCATAAAACAAATATTGATAAATTTAAAAGAATATAAATTATACAGAATGTGTTCTCTGACTACATTGGAATCAAACTAGAAATAAATAACAGAAAGATGACAGAGGAAAGTCAAGAAACTAAGCGAAAACTTTTAAATACTCTACGAGTCAAAAAATAAATCTCAAAGGAAATTTAAAAATACACTGAATTGAAAGAAAATAAGAATACAACATATCAAAAATTTCTAGGAGAGACAACCCACAGAATGAGAGAAGATATTTGCAAACTACCCCTCTAACAAAGGATTAATAACTAGAATATATAAGGAGTTCAGACAACTCTATAGGAAAAAAGAGTTCAATAGTCCAAACAAAAAATGAGCTGATCTGAATAGACATTTCTCAAAAGAAGACATACAAATGGCAATCAGGCTTATGAAAGGTGCTCAACATTATGAATCATCAGAGAAATGCAAATCAGAAGTTCAATGAGATATTATCTCACTTCAGTTAAAATAGCTTGTATGCAGGCTGGACACGGTGGCTCACACCTGTAATCCCAGCACTGAGGGAGGCCGAGGCGGGCAGATCACCTGAGGTCAGGAGTTCAAGACCAGCCTGGCCAATATGGTGAAACCCTGTCTCTACTAAAAATACAAAAATTAGCTGGGCATGGTGGGCCATGCCTGTAGTCCCAACTACTTGGGAGGCTGAGGCAGAAGAATCGCTTGAACCTGGGAGATGGAGGTTGCAGTGAGCAGAGATTGGGCCACTGCACTCCAGCCTGGGCAACTGAGTAAGACTCCATCTCAAAAAAAAATGGCTTGTATCCAAAAGACAGGCAATAACAAGTACTGGTGAGTATGTGGAGAAGGCTTTGTACACTGTTGGCAGGAATATAAATTAGTACAACCACCATGGAGAACAGCTTGGAAGTTCCTCCAAAAAAATTAAAATTGAGCTACCATATGATCCAGCAATCCCACTGCTGGGAATATACCCGAAAGAAAGAAAATTAGTATTTCAAAGAGATATCTGCACTCCTATGTTAATTGCAGCATTGTTTACAATAGCTAAGACTTCGGAGCAACCTAAGTGTCTATCGACAGATGAATGGATAAAGAAAATGTGGTACATACATACAATGGAGTACTATTTAGCTAGAAAAAAGAATGATATCCAGTTATTTGCAACAACATAGATGGAACTGGAGATCATTATGTTAAGTGAAATAAGCCAGGTACAGAAAGACAAACATGACATGTTCTCATTTATTTGTGGGATCTAAAAATCAAAACAATTGAACTAATGGACATAGTGAGTAGAAGGATGGTTACCAGAGCCTGAGAAAAGTAGTGGATAGCTGAGCGGGGAGGTGGGGATGGTTAATGGGTACAAAAAAAGTAGAAAGAATGAATATGACCTACTATTTGATAGCACAATAGAGTGACTATAGTCAAAAATAACTTAATTGTATATTTTTAAGTTACTTAAAGAATGTAATTGAATTGTTTGTAACTCAAAGGATAAATGCTTGAGGGAATGGCTACCCCATTCTCCATGATTTGGTTATTTCACATTCCAGGCGTGTATCAAAACATCTCATGTACCCCATAAACATATACACCTACCATGAACCCACGAAATATTTTCAAAATAATAAAAAAAATTATAGGACACAGCTAAACCAGTGCTGAAAGGGAAATTTATAGCATTAAATGCATACATTAAAAAGAAGAAAAACTGGGTGCTACTTGGGAGGCTGAGGCAGGAAAGGATCACTTGAGCCCAGTAGTTCGAGGCCAGCCTGGGCAACATAAGGAGACCTTGTCTCTTTAAAAAAAAAAAAAAGTACACAAATTAATAATTCAAACTCTCATCTCAAGAGCCCAGAAAAAGAAGATCAAAATACATCCAAAGAAGAAAGGAAGGCCGAGCACTGTGGCTCACGCCTGTAATCCCAATAGTTTGGGAGGCCAAGGCAGGTGGATCACTTGAGCTCAGGAGTTAGAGACCAGCCTGCCCAACATGGTGAATCTCTGCTTCTACTAAAATTACAAAAAATTAGCCAAATGTGGTGGCAGGCGCTTGTAGTCCCAGCTACCTGGAAGGTTGAGGCAGGAGAATCACTTGAGCCCAGGAGGCGGAGGTTGTAGTGAGGTGAGATTGCACCACTGCACTCCAGCCTGGGCCACAGAGTGAGACACAAAAAGTTGCTTCTTTGAAAAGATCAGTCAACTGATGAACCTCTAGCAGACTACACTGACAAAGAAGAAAGAAAGAATATAGAAATGTCCACAGGGAATATCCCTACACACCCTGCAGACATCGGAAAAACATAAATGGTGCTGGAACAATTGAACATTCAAGGGCCATAGGAGGAGAGAAAGACAACAAGGAGGAAAAGAAGGAGGAGCAGCAGTTTAATCTAAGACTCATACCTTCTGCAAAAATTGACTCAATATGGATTACAAACTTCTATGCAAAATGTAAAACTATAAAACTTTTAGAATAAGATAGGGGAAAATCTTCTGAATCTAGATCTGGGCAACAAGTTCTTAGATTTGACACCAAAAACATGATCTGTAAAATGAAAAAATGGATATATTAGACCTGATTAAAACTAAAAACTGTTGCTCTGTGAAAGACTTGTAAAGGAATGAAAAGGCAAGCTACATAATGGAAGAAAATATTTGCAAATCATGTATCCAACAAAGGACTAGTATCTAGAATATATAACAACTTATCAAAACTCAGGCCAGGCCCCCTGGCTCATGCCTGTAATCCCAGCACTTTGGGAGGCTGAGGCGAGTGGATGACTTGAGGTCAGGAGTTTGAGACCAGCCTAGCCAACATGGTGAAACTCTGTCTCTACTAAAAATACTAAAAATTAGCTGGGCGTTGTGGCACACGCCTGTAATCCCAGGAGGTAGAGGTTGGGGTGAGCCGAGGTCATGCCACTGCACTCTAGCCTGAGTGACAGAGTAAGACTCCATCTCAGAAAAAAAAAGAAAAAAAATCAACAGTTTGAAAAAAATTAATTAGAAAATGGGAAAAATTCATGAAGAGACATTTCATTAAAAGGATATACAGATGGCAAATAAGCACATGAAAAGATGTTCGATATCATTAGCCATTAAGGAAACGCAAATTAAAACCACAATAAGATCTCACTACACACATATTAGAATGGCTGAAATAAAAAATAGTGACAATAAGCCAGGCGCAGTGGCTCATGCCTGTAATCCCAGAACTTTGGGAGGCTGAGGCAGGCGGATCATGAGGACAGGAGATTGAGACCATCCTGGCTAACATGGTGAAACCCCATCTCTACTAAAAATACAAAAAATTAGCCGGGCGTGGTGGCGGGCGCCTATAGTCCCAGCTACTTGGGAGGCTGAGGCAGGAGAATGGCGCGAACCCGGGAGGTGGAGCTTGCAGTGAGCCAAGATCGCACCACTGCACTCCAGCCTGGGCAACAGTGCAAGACTCCATCTCAAAAAAAATAAAAAAAATAGTGACAATACCAAATGCCTGTGAGGATGCAGTAAAACAATCACTCGCACATTGCTGGTGCAACCACTCTGGAAAACACTTTGACAGTTTATTTAAAAAACTAAAAATGCAACCACCATACAATTCAGCAGGTACACTCCTGGGCATTTGCTCCAGAGACATTAAGACTTATGTCCACACAAAAACTTATATTCATATCAGCCAAATCTGGAAACAACCCAGATGTGATGGACAGATGGCTAAACTAACTGTGCTATACCCATACCATATAATACAACTAGGCAATAATAAATTATTGATATATGCAACAACCTTGTATGATCTCCAGAGAAATACATTGAGAGAAAAAAAAGTCAATCCCAAAAGTGTATATACTATATGTTTCCATTTATTAATCATTTGTTTTAAAATGACAAAAAAAAATTTGTCTTGAAGTGACAAAGTCATAGAAATGGATAAGAGATTAGTGATTGCTAGACATTAAGGAGGGTATGGGATGGTAGGGAAGTGGGTGTGTCTAGAAAAGGGCAAGGTGAAGAATCCTTGTGATCATAGAAGTGTTCTGTATTGTGGCTGTATCCATGTATCCTAATTGTGATATTGTACCATAGTTTTGCAAAATGTTACCATCAAGGGAAACTGGGTAAAGGATACACAGGATTGTTTTTATTATTTCTTACCACTGCATGTGAATCTACAATATACAGCAAAATTTATACTTAATGGAGAATATTTAGGTTTATTTCCTTTAAGAGTAATGCTCATTATCACCCTACTGTTTGACACAGCATTGAAGATCCTAGTCAACAACATGAAAAATAAAACACTAAGGATTAAGAGGGAAAACACAAAACAATGCTCGCAGATGATACTATTATCTACCTGGAAAAAGAGAGAGACAGAGAGAATATCAATAACAACAATGACAACAACAACAACAAAAACCCCACTAAAACCAATAAGAGGATCGAGCAAGGTTGTCCCATATAAGATCAACTTACAAAAATTATTAATTTCTAATATTTGAAAATCATATATCAGTATTTGAATATCATATATCCAATAAAGGGTTAATATTCAGAATATGTAAAGAACTCATAAAACCCAACAATAATTGTTTATACAAACAGTTAAAAAGGGGGCAACAAACTTCAACAGACATTTTTCCAAAGATGATATACAAGTGGCAAACACACATATGAAAAGATGCTCAGCATTACTTATTATTAGAGAAGTGCAAATTAAAACCATAACATCATCTAATTCTCATTAGCATGGCTACTATAAAAATGAAAGGAAAAAGGAAAGAAGGGAGGGAATGAAGGAGGGAGCAAATGAAGGAGGAAAGGAAAGAAGGAAGGAAGGAAGGAAGGGAGAGAGGGAGGGAAGAAATAAGTGTTGGTGAGGATGTAGAGACATTAGAACCTTTATATGCAATGTTCGTGGGATTGTAAAATGTGTAACTGCTATGGGAAACAGTACGGCAGTTCCTCAAAAAATCAGTAGTAAAACTACTATATGACCCAAGAGTCCACTTCTGGGTATAAATGCAAAAGAATTGAAAGCAGGGACTTAAGCAGATATTTTCCCCCATATTCATAGCAGCACTATTCTCGATAGCCAAGAGGTGGAAGCAACAAAGATGTCCATAGACAGATGAATGGGCAAACAAAATATGGCATATACATACAGTAGCTTATTATTCAGCCTAAAAAGGAAGAAAGCACTCTTACATGCTGCAACAAGTATGAATTTTAAGGACATTAAGCTAAGTGAAATAAGCCAATCGCCAAAAGACAAAAACTCCATGATTGCACTTGTACAGGGTATCTGAAGTAGTCAGATTCATAGAAACAGAATGTAGAGTGATAGTAGCCAGGGGCTAGAGGAAGAGAGAAATGAGGAGTTGTTGTTTAATGGGTGTAGAGTTCTGGTTTTGCAAGGTGAAAAGGAGTTCTGGAGATTGGTTGCACAAAAATGTGAATATACTTAACACTGCTGAGCTGTACACTTCAAAGTGGTTAAGACGGTAAATGTTATTTTTTTAACCACAATTTTTTAAATTAGATACATTCTTCTACATCAGAAATTACTGATTCAAAAGTAGAATTGCAATAAGATACCAATCACAATAGCAGCAAAAGCTACAACATGCCTAAGAATTAACTGAGCATACTCAGGACTACTATGAAAAAGTAAAGTTTAAAAACCATAATAAAGAGCAAACAAAATGATTTCAATAAATGAGAAAACATCCTGTTTTTGCATGGTATGATTTAGTAATAAAAACAAGTCAGTTAACCCCAAATTTCTATAAATTCAGTATAACCACAATCAAAATTCAAGTGGGGAAGACAGAACTAGAAGTGAGTGTCCTCCCAAACTCCCCAGTAGGAAACTACAAACTTAGTTTCTGTTGCTACTATGCGCTTGTCATTGTCCAAGGCCAAAAGAAGCCCAGATTTTGCACCTCTCTCTCCACCCCACAACATTGACGTTTTTCCTTCTTGTTGTGAATGTACTTCCTGTCCTCCATCTGTCCTTCTGGACCCACTCTCAATACTTCTGCACCTGGGGTCTGCCTCAGGTGCTGACCTGCATGACATTGAATGGCTCCCATGCTCCCTGGCTTCTTCTTGCTTCCAGCATCAGCCTAAGAGCAGAGGGAAGAGGGGAGTGAGGTCAGTGTTTCTAATCCCTTGGCTTCCTCCCTACAAGGTCACCTTAAGCTGTTGTGTCCCTTGACTGAAGGGCACTGCCCTTGGCAAGGTGGTGACTGTACAGGGCTTGCTGTCCTTCTGAGTCCTGATAACCCCTTCTGTCCCCGGCCTCTTTGGACCTTGGGGTAGTAACAGCTATCCTCCACCCAGTTCTTTGTAAATACTTTGCTAATAAATAAACTTTCCTTGAAATGTCCTATTTCGAGTATGCCATCTGTTTTCTGTTGAGACTCTGATACAATAAAAGCCATTTCTTTATTCCCTGCCCCAGACCAGCACGGCCAGGGGCCTCTTAGAAGCCTCATATGAAATGGAAGAGGAAGGGTCTGGAGAAACAAGGAGCCCCCCATCTGGGAGTAGTCTCTATAGGTTTGGGGCCTCTCCACTCTCTGAAACCCCTGGAGACTGGTCTGGCCAAGTAGTGGCAGGAAGCACCACGGAGAAATCCCCCATGCCTTGCTTCAAGGCAGTTGGAGGGCTCTTGGGAATGACAGACACTCAAGCCAAAAAAAAAAAGGATTTGAGGATGGGGTTGAACTCCACCCTCGTTTTTCATCTGATTTGCCCAATTTTACTTTGGAAAGAGAAAAACTTGAGAAAATGGCCTAAAGATAATTTTCATAAATAGACATTGGGATTAAATGTCAATCTTGTCTGTTTCTTTCACATGCATGTGTTCGTGGGTAGGGAGGCAAAGAGAACCTGGAACCTAGGAACATGCTCTCCCTCAGGGAAAAAAAAAATGCCAAGGATACCACCTCCCGTGGTGTATTTGAGATTTATTCTCATTGTCTTTAATGGTCAAAAGAAGAAGCTCAAATGTGGGGTCAACGCGTTTCTCTAAAATATTGTTATCTGCCCCAAGTGTTGAAGGAACTCCCTGCACTGTGTGTGCCCTTGTTAACACAGGCCCAGTTCTTTCATGGGAGGGGAGGTGGACTAGATGACCTTTAAAACCAATTCTAGCTCCAAGTTCAGCTTTTAAAACAACAAGACATTGAAGGGCGAAAACAATTCTTTGTGCAGCTTGGATTATGTATAACCCGAAAGTCCAGCTCTCTCTCTCTTCCCCCGCTCCCCTCCCTCCCTCTCTCTATGTCCCTCTCCTTCTTTCTCCCACTCCACTTCTCTCCTCTCACCCTTTTGCTCCCTCTCTCTTACTCTCTTCCACTCCTTCTCTTTTTTTCCTCTCTTTCTCTCACATGTGCTCAAGTGCACACACACACACACACACACACGCACTCCTTTTTTGGCAATCCATTATGTTTACATTCCATTCTCCTCATGCAGCATCCATTCTCTTCTCCTCATCCTCCTACAATTGGTGCACCATCACCCTTCTTCCACCTTCCTTTCAAGTACCACTCATTCCCCTGTGTAAGAACTCCCCTTTCTACCTATAGTATTCTGACTTTCTGGATCCTAGCAGACCTACATATACTTTTCCCTATTCCTTACCTGGAAGGGGACAGCCTTTCCTATAAAACAAAAAACCTACAAAGTTAGGGCAGAGAAAAGCCTGCACTGGAAATCTCTAGAAAAGGAACTGGAAGCCGTCCCATTAGCTAACTCTCTACTTCCTTTCTCTGGGATCCTGTCACTTTGATTCCCACTGCTGTGACTAGAACTAGACCCTTCAGATCTGCAGCTTCTCCTTTAAAACTGTCCAGATAGGCCTAGTGCGGTGGCTCACGCCTGTAATCCCAGCACTTTGGGAGGCTGAGCAGGTGGATCACTTGAGGTCAGGAGATCGAGACCAGCCTGACCAACATGGTGAAACCGCATCCCTACTAAGAAAATACAAAATTAGCCAGGCGTGGTGGTGCACGCCTGTAATCTCAGCTACTTGGGAGGCTGAGGCAGGAGAATCGCTTGAACATGGGAGGCAGAAGTTGCAATAAGCCGAGATCACGCCATTGCACTCCAGCCTGGGCAACAAGAGCAAAACTCTGTCTCGAAAAAAAATAAATAAATAAAATAAAAATAATAAATAAAACTGCCCAGATATAGACAAGGCCCAAAGCCCCCCATTCCTAGACTAAACTAGAATTTCAAAAGGAATTTGCTTTGTCAAACAAACAAAAATAAAAACAAAAACAGTGAATAGAAAAAAATGAAAATGAAACATAAAAATGGTAAAATGTAGAGATTAAGTTCCTTTCACTGACTTCTTCTGTTAACCCCTTCCAGAAGAGATGCTCTAATTCCAAGGATGCTTCTGAAGAAATTATGGAGGTGTTCCAAATCAACTCATTTCTTGGTTTCTTTTTCTTACCCATATTCTAGTATCTAGCTCTAATTCCAAAAACAATTCCACACCCTAGGTTTCTGTGTCCAGCAGGTGTCGCCCTTCGTGGGACAACAAACCACCAGCCAGCATCCTCTCTTCCTTAGGGTGGAGTCCATTCCCCCAAAGGGCTCTCCTTGGTCTTGGGGTAGAAGGGAATGGAACGGTGGCTCTGAAGAGATGTGTGCTCACCAGCATGAGGGTCTTCAGAATAAAGTAATCTGCTACTTCCAGCTCAGGTAGACAAACATCCTACAGAAATCTGTTCTTTGACCTTGGACAAGTCACTTAAATGTCTCTGAGCCTCACATCTTTTGTCTGTAACATAGAGGGAAACAATCTGTCCCTTGTGTGGTTATTGTGAGAAGAGAATGAGCTACAAATATAAAGGTCTGAGACCAGTGCCTAAGACATAATAATCACTCAAGCTATGTTCCCTTCTGCATTCAGGGTATGAAAGAAATAACTGTCTAGAACTCAATCTGGAGTTAAGCTCTGTCCCCTGAATCCTGAGGGGTATGAGGGGTCTGCCTTACGGTTGTGATGAGGATCAAAGCACCTGGTACAATGCCTGGCCAGAAAGTTGAATAATCGAATATAGCTAACGTCACTATTGCAGGCTGGCTATGTGCCTGGCGGTGTTCTTAGCCATTTACAAGTATGAACTCATTTAATCCTCATAAGATCCTGTATGAGGTGAGTAAGCTGTTAATTCCCTTCCTTGCCCATACTCTGTGACTCCAACCCACCACAGTTGAATTTCTCCTTATGAATTATAAATCAGAAAACGGCCCCAAATTCTGTCATGTCTAAGTGGGAAAATGGAAGAAGGCATTGATTTCTCCCCTACTCAAGCAGAAGAGAATTAACCTCAGTCCCTGCTTTGCCCATATTCCTTCCCCAGGGCCCCAGGAAGAAGACATGGAAAAACAATATTTCCACCAAAGTTTATTTCTCTGAAACAATCACCAGTTGCTGTCCTCTATGGCACACTGAGAGCCCCAGGAGGGTCTTTAACTCCCTTCCTCAGATTATATTCATCCCAGAAATATAGCCTTGGACAATAATTTGGTTACAGCATAGTCCCAGGAATGAGGTCCCCCAAATTGCTAAGTTTTACATAGGGGAGACTGGGAAATTCAAAGAATTGGATGGAGAAACCATAGGATCCAAGATAATGTCAGGGGGTTGAAGATATTGGAGAGGCATGGTAGCATCATTGAGTTTGAATCTCCTTCTCACTTGGAGTGGAAGTTGTAGGATTCTGCCTCTAGGAAATGTGCCATCCTACAGAATAAATAAAAGGGAGATAATGAGGCTTCAACCCAACTTGCCCCCATCGTTTGTCACTGTAACCATCCCATGCCTTAATACAGTGATACTGAAAACTCCAGGGCACCAACAACTAATACAAAGGAAGCACCTTCAGCCTCCTCTCCACAGACATCCCACTTGGTAGAAGAGGAGGATGCTCCTTCCTGCTCTTAATCCTAGCAATGGCAGCTTAAATCATGCCCTTGCCTAGATCCTCATGGAAGCTCACCCATATAATAATCAAGATTAGTTGAACCCAACACTGACCCCTCTAACCCGCACCCCTACCAAAGGGCAAGTAGGGAAACAGACCAACAGAGATGTTACCTTCTGAATAATTGGACCCAGGAAGAGGAGTGTAACCTAAGAGAGGAAGATACTTGATTATACCAGTCTTTGTGGATGAAAATATCTAGCAGTATTCATAGCAAATGCAGTAGGAAGGAGAGAGTTAATCACAAACAGAAAGTAAGCAGAGAGTGGGACCAAGAGTGGGGATGGGAGTTCAGCGAGTCACTCACTAGAGTGGCCAGCTCTCCGCCAGCTGATCACACCAAGAGAGAAGATGATGAGGCCCAGGCCCAGAGTCACTGCAGACACAGAAACCTTCAGGGTCTGCATGGGGGACAGCCCAGGTGCTGCAAAAAATAGAAACTTACTTGACCCAGTTTCTGTTGCTCACCCCCAGGGCAATTCCATTTATTGCAGCCACCTCTCAGTGGGTTAAAAGGTCCTTTATCCCAGCTCCAAGGGTCTAGCTCACACCACCCACTCCCAAGAAAATGATCTTTCTCAAATCAAACCCTCGTCCCATGGACCTCTACTCCTAGAGTAAGCCTGGGGAACCCATCTCCCCAGAATTAGCATCCTGGCTTCCAGGTCCTCTCTAATACAGTGGGGCCTCTCAAGGCATCCTCTTTCCTTCCTTTACCCCAAAGCCACCCTTATCAGGATAAAGGGCTCCTCACTGTCCTCTCCATTGCCCCCACGGTAACAATGTTTGCTTCCTTACTTTCTCCAACTGAGCAGCTTCCTATTACACTGTCTTACCACATGTCTTAACCTCCAGTGGATCCATCCTGTGAGTTATCCTACTACTTGTGTACCTTCTACATCTAGATCTCCCATGTGTCCTTTCAGAGCTTGTCTCCATCCCACTCCACAGCCCCTGCACTTCCTTGGGCCGGTCCTGTTCTGAATCATGTCCCACTCAGATTCTTTTCCCATGATAAAATGAACACTCCATTTCCAAAGGGAGGCTCTTGTGCACGCTGTGAGGAGACGTTCCCCAGGAAAGTTCAAGTGAGCATGTGATTTCCACTCTCTTCTCTGTTCTCCATTCCCTTCCCAACTGCCCAGCAAGAAACAACACTTCCCACAAGGGGAAACCTGGTTACAGCAGCTGATCTGAGATCCTGTTCTCTGGCCCTTTGTAGACACCCTTCCTCTTCCTCATTTCTTCCTCTTTCTTTTCCAAGAGTCCCCAAAGCTGTGTGCAACTTCTCACGATACCTTTAACTACTCCCGACACTGAGTTCAAACAGTGTTTGAACTGTAAGTAATTCTTTATCCACTGGCCCCTGAGCATGCATGCCAAATGGTCTGCCAGCCGTGGCTTTACTACTCCCGTATGCTTGGTAGAGCAGGCCAAATGCAGTACTGCCCCACACCAAGAAAAGCCCCCCTTCTTCAACCTTCATCATTCCTTCAGCTCCCATCTGCTTCTGGCACCAGAATAGTTGAAATCTAAGGAGGCTAGAATAGTGTATTACAATTTGGGGTTCTGAAAATATGATTGCCAAATTTACAGCCTCATTTCAAAGCAAGCACGCTCCCCTCTCACCCTCAAACATAGACGCAGCAACATCAGCCACACCACCAGAGCAGCAATAGCACAGACTAAATATTAAACTGGTGCAAAAGTAATTGCGGTTTTTGCCACTGAAAGTAATGGCAAAAACTGCAATTACTTTTGCACCAACCTAAATATTTCCATTTCTTTATCCCATTTCCCCATTCTGGTCCTAAGCCCCCCGTAAGTTCCTCCAGACTCAGTCCCCATTTTCAGCACTTCGCTGTCTACCATGTACCATGTATCGATCCACATCTCATTTTCTCTGCTTTGACCCTAATTCCATCCATCTGCCATACACTTACTCCAGTCCCGAAGGATGGGCTCAGGAGCCCCAGTGTGCTCTACCACACAGGTGTAAGTGTCCCCGTAAGAGGGGGTTAAGGCTAAATGGGAGAGGGTCTGGTATGTCCAGTCTCCATTGGGCTGGGCAGTCTTGTGCGCACTGCTGTGAGGCATGACAAGCTTCCCGTTCTTCCTCCACGTGATAGTCACTTCTGCTGGATAGAAGCCCCACACATAGCAGGCCAGCATCACAGGCTCCCTCGTGTTAAAAGGAGTGGTTTTGGCTACTTGCACAGATGGTGGCCCTGCATAGGAGAAAAAAACATGTTTAGGAAGGAGGGTGACATTCTGGCTGCTTCCTCAACCTGGTTTCTTCCCTATCGCAACTCTTCGTAGATTTTGCAACCCACTTTCCACCCCAGCCCCCTCTGCCATGCTGCCCCTTGAAGGGGAACCGTTAGAATGTATTCCTGCATTACTCTTTCTTCTCTCCCATTCCTTCATTGCCCCTTTCTTTCTTTCCTCCTCCAGAATTATGTTTGATTACAATTAGTAAAAGCCAGATCTGAACTGCAAGCTGTTCTAGAAGTTGTTGTATTTATTTCAAGTACATAAACTGGAAAGTATTTGAAATAAGGAAGCTAAGAGTAATCCAGAGTTGTACATTGGGTTTTTTTAAGGTGGAAAAGGAATTTTTCTCCAAATCTTGTTTAATACGTTCTTTTGCTAGTTAAAGCTTTTTCTCCTCACATAGTTCAAGGAAACAAGCCTAACTTAGGACTCACTCTTAAATTTGGAATGAATGTAGTCAAACTAATGAGATTGCTAATACTGCCATCTTTTACTAATTTACTCTCCTAGGTGATCCTCTTGCTTGCCTCTATCTTGACATTTTTCAAACACAATCTTAAATAAAAATCCAAGGAATTATGTTAAAATGCAGATTTCCTAGGCTGTATCCCCAGATACTTTCTTTCAACAGATCTGGAGTGGTACTAAGGGGCTTGCATCTTTAACAAGCACCTCCTCCAGGCAATTCTGAGAAAGGTGGTTCAGAAACCACCCTTGAGACACACTGTTCTGTACTGTGGAGATCTTCAAGTTTACTTTCACAAACTTCAAGCCATTGTCAATGCAAGAGTTTAAGGGTGAGAAAAAGCATGTGTCAGAATCCCCTGGGATTCCAAATATTCCCATGCCTGGGCCCACATCAGATCTGGAACATCAAAATCTGGGATAACAAGGCAAGAACATCTTGGGTATGCATCCTGAGATGCCCCAGCCTCTGCATAAGCTCCCCACATGGCACCTCGCGGTTCAAGCCTCACCTCCCCTTCTTTACTCCTGTTCCACTCACGTCAGCCACCTTGTTCCCCTTGAGGTTCAATCCTCCGTCTTTCTACATTTCAGATCCACACATTTTCTCTTATTTGCTGCTCAAATCTCAAACCCCTGGGCCACTGTGGGATCCTCCCTGGCCTGCCCTCCTAACTGCACTTCCTGGTAGCCCCTCTGCACCCCTCTCTCCTCACGTGTCCTGTTGGTCAGTGATCCCCAGAAGGGCTGGGTGTGTGTGGCACAATTCTGAAGCCCATTGCGCAAGCGCTGCATCAGGGTGTCTTTTTGGTTGAGGTGCTGTGAGAGGACATTCGCCAAGCTATTCAGCACCCCAAATTCGCAAGGGGCCATCTTATTCTCCTCTGGATCCCAGCAGGTCAGCAGATCCTTGTTGAAGGAGATGCAGTATGTGAAATCCTTTGGAGTCCCAGCATCATCCAACAGACAGGTGCTTTCCACATGGGCCACGAAGCCACCTAGAGGAGCCAGGGAAGGGAGAACAGGTCAATGTCTTCTACTGGCCTGGCAATAAATAAATAAATATATAAATAATAAATATACACAAATAATAAATATATAAAACATACAGACGTATATTTAGGAGCTCTGCACAGAGCTTTGTCTTTGACCCTGGTTCCTGACATAGAGTGCCTAATCGCTTAGAATTTCCTAGATAACAGGAGTGTCTTTTGTTCTAATGAGGTACTCTTGGTGGGCTCCTGCAGGAGGGGCTGGTCACCAGAAAGACCAAGTCATGATTAGAAGTCTGGAACTTTTAGTCCCATCCCCCATACTCCCTGAAGGGGAAGGGGCTGGAGATTGAGTTAATAATCAGTCATGCCTACATGATGAAGCCTCCATAAAAATCCCGGAACTATGGAGTTCAGAGAACTTCTCAGTTGGTAAACACATCCACATGCCAGGAGGTGAAGTACCCCAATTCTGTGGGGACAGAGCTCCTGTGATTGGGACCCTTCCAGATCTGGTATCTCTTCATCTGGATGTTCCTTTGTATGCTTTAAAATATCCTTTGTTAAAGGATGCAAAATTATGATCTAGTGTTCTATACCACTGTGGGATGACTGTCATTAACAATAATACTTTATATCATTTCAAATCGCTAGAAGAAGGATATGGAATGTTTCCAACACAAAGAAATGATAAATGAGATGATGATCTGATCTGATCACTGTACATTACATGTACTAAAACATCATTATCCACCCCATGAATATTTATAATTATTATTATCAATTAAAATATCCTTTGTAAAAAATCTACAATAATAAGTAAACTTTTCCTGAGTTCCATAAGCCACTTTAGCAAATTACCAACCCCAAGGAGGGGGTCATGGGAACCTCTGATTTGTAGGCAAGTTGGACAGAAGATGTGGGTAATTTGGGAACCTACTACTTGTGATTGGTGTCTGAAATGGAGGCAGTCTTATGGGACTGAGTCTTTAACCTTTGGTGTCTATGTTAACTCTAGTTAATGTCACAATGGAATTGAATTATAGGATATCCAGCTAATATAGGAGAATTGGTTGGTATGAGTAAAAAAAAAAAAAAAACCTCACACAGTTGGTCAAAGAAGTGTTGAGTGTGAGCATATAGAAGAAAAAAAGTTGATTTTTCCTATATTCAGCTCAGAACCTAAGCCTTGGTGACATCCAGCTAGTCTGGCACAGATTTCCTGCTCAGGGAACATCTACTGACCAAGCTCATACACTGAAGTTTCTGAAAGTCTGATTTGAGGGAGTCAGTAGAAGTAGTAGATAAGTTTTTAGATCCAGTCTCCTCTTTATGCAAGACTAAGCACAGGGATAGGAGTAGCCCCCCGAGATTATTTGCATGTTTAAACATGACAATTTGCCCAGAACACAGACCTTCAGTAAGGCAAATTATTGAGAGAGAAAAAGGGTCAAGAGAAAGAGTCAGCCTTGTATTGTGCTGGAAATATTAAATATTCACTTCGCACATATTTATGAAGCACTTGCTGCATGCAAGGCACTGTGCTAGGAGCTGAGGAGGCAGCAATAAATAAGATGAACATTGTCCTTGCCTATATTCCAGCAGGGAATATACACTGCACAGATAATTATACAGATTAATTACATTAAAATTGCTACAAAGTACAAAGTGCTATAGGAATGTATACCAGGGAGACAAACTATCTGGGGTGTCAAATGCAATTACAAAACGGAACACCCTTACCCTGAAACAGGAGCAGGGGAAGGGAGAGTCCCCAGAAGAAGTGTCCTTACCTGCTCCTGTGCAGCCCAGGCTGAGCCCCAGCAGCAGCGGCAGGAATGTGATCATGCTCTGCTCTGTAAAGATGCCGGGAGTTCAGTCCCCTGGACCAGCTCTTCCAGGGTCCGTGGGTCCTCGCCTGTCCCAGAAGCCCCAGCCTGGGTAGATGATCTCCAGACACTGAGCAGAATACTATATTGCCCGGGTCCCTTGACCCCCCAAATGAGTGATGTGGGAATACCCAGCCCCTAGATATTAAATCTGTTCCTTCCAGCTCACGGGAGTCCAGTGTCCCAAACAGGGACAGATTGGCTAGGTAGGCAGGGACAAATGTAGAGACAAATCACTGAGTGCCTCAGCCTAGCATCATCAGTTACTAGGTAAACGTCATCCTGCCTTAGTCTTAGACAACAGGTCTCCTTGTCTCTCTTAATTCTTTTTCTGCAGAACAACCAGTAGATTTCCGTAGATTACTGGAGAGAATAATCGCAATATTCCCAGGATGTATGCAGCCTGGGCTGCCCACTGGTTTAACTTTTTCTTCTCAATGCTCTCCCAAAAGACCAGGACCAGATAACCTCTCCTATTCCTTACAGGGAGGTTACCCAAGAAGATAATTACAAAAACCCTTGTCTGTCCTGAGATGAGAGGACCCAGAGCCCTTCTGGGGCAGGTGGCAGAGGCAGGGCTGCTGAGAAGGAAGAAGGCACAGACAGAGTACAGAATTGTCTGGTCTCAAAGCAAGACTGCAGAATAAGGGAAGCAGCGCCACCATGGAGATCAGGAATAGGGGCCTGGAAAATCCCTCCATGGGCCTCCATTGTTGCTTCTGTTCTAGCCAGTCAAGCTTCATTTCCTCCTCAGTTATAATAGCTGCTTTCCGGAGCTAGTAAACCATATCCTCCTACACTCTGAGCAATCTCACGGGGTAGACCGCAGGTTAACACCTCTCAGACTCCTTGAAAAATAGCTGGTGACGGGTCAGTGCCCAGAGCTCACCTGCCTTTCGCCAAACTCTAAACACCCCTGTGTGTTTCCCCTACTATACCCTGTTCCCTGGGGGCAGGTCCCTGCATTATGAAGCCACTAGGAAAATGAGATAAAGCTTTCCTACTTTTCTTCCCCTGAAAAGACAGATTTTGTTTTTTATTTTTTGAGAATACCAAGTAAGATTTTATTTTTTATTTATTTTAAATTATTTTAACCTTTGTTTTAGGTTCAAGGGTACACATGCAGGTTTGTTATATAGGTAAATTGTGTGTCATCGGGATTTGGCGTAAAAATTTATTTCATCACCCAGGTAATAAGTATAGTATCTGATAGGTAGTGTTTTGATCCTCTCCCTCCTCCCATCCTCCACCCTCAAGTAGGGCCCAGTGTCTATTATTCCCTTTTTTGTGTCCATGTGTACTCAATGTTTAGCTCCCACTTATAAAAGTGAGAACATGCAGTATTTCATTTTCTGCTCCTGTGTTAGTTTGCCTAGGATAACAGCCCCCAGCTCCATCCATGATGCTGCAAAAGACGTGATCTCGTCCTTTTTTGTCTGTGGAGTATTCCATGGTGTATATGTACCACATTTTCTTTATACAGTCTACTGTTGGTGGGCATTTAGGCTGATTCCATGTCTTTGCTATTATGAATACTGCTGCAGTGAGCATTCATGTGCATGTGTCCTTATGGTAGAACAATGTATACTCCTTTGGGTATATGCCTAATAATGGGATTCCTGGGACGAATGGTAGCTCTGTTTTAAGGTTCTTGAGAAATTGCCAAACTGCTTTCCTCAATGGCTGAACTAATTTATGTTCCCACCAGCAGTGTATAAGCCTTCCGTTTTCTCTGCAACCTCTCCAACATTTGTTATTTTTTGACTTTTTAATAATAGCCATTCTGACTGGTGTGAGACGGTATCTCATTATGATTTTGATTTGCATTTTTCTAATCATTAGTAATGTTGAACATTTTTTCATATGCTTCTTGGTCACGTGTGTGTCTTGAAAAGGCAGATTTTATGTATTTGCGTATTTATTTTTTTCACAGGTTTTTTTTTTGAAAGTCTCACTCTGTCGCCTAGGCTGGAGTACAGTGGGATAATCTCGGCTCACTGCAATCTTCGCCTCCTGGGTTCAAATGACTCTCATGCCTCAGCCACTTGAGTAGCTGGGGTTACAGTCATGTGCCACCACTCCTGGTTAGTTTTTGTCTTTTTTTTTTTTTTGGTAGAGACAGGGTTTCATCATGTTGGCCAGGCTGTTCTTGAACTCCTGACCTCAAGTGATCCACCCACCTCAGCCTCCTAAAGTGCTAGGATTACAGGCATGAGCCATCGTGCCTGGCCTGAAAAAGCAGATTTTAAACGGCAATTCATTCTTCTATCCCATTGTGAACTATACAGTTGATGGATTTTCCATCACTAACTTGAAACTCTAAATTGGCTTCCTTCTGCTCCCCAGTAGGTTTCAGGGCTGCCTCTTCACATCTTAGTTTCTGAGAACTCTTGGATTTTATTAAATAGTGAGCTAAACAAAAGAGGATTGTGGAAGGGGCCCCTTGACACCACACTTACCTGCCCTCCCTCAAAGTCCCTGATCTCAGGAAAATCTAACACTTATGAAGAAAATGGGGATAAAAAATGCATACAAAGATTATTACCAAAAACGAAAGATTCGTTGTGTAACTAATTGAGATTAACTGAAGCTCTGCCATAGCTCCCAGCCACTGCCCCCACTCACCTTGCTTATATACTCTAACTCTGCTAACGAACTGTCAAGTGTGTTGGAATGGGCAGAATATGGGGTGGGGAGTGCATAATCTGTAGAGCTTCTACAGATACAGTGCTAGGTAGGTCCTTTCTATAATATCTCATCTCATCTTAAAAGACTTGTTGGCCGGGCATGGTGGCTCACGCTTGTAATCCCAGCACTTTGGGAGGCTGAGGAAGGCATATCACCTGAGGTCAGGAGTTTGAGACCAGCCTGGCAAACATGGTGAAACCCCGTCTCTACAAAAAATACAAAAATTAGCTGGGTGTGGTGGCGCGTGCCTGTAATCCCAGCTACTCTGGAGGCTGAGGCAGGAGAATCGATTGAACCTGGGAGGTGGAGGTTGCAGTGAGCCGAGATCGTGCCACTGCACTCCAGCCTGGGTGACAGAATGAGACTGTCTCAAAAAAAAAAAAAAAAAAAAAAAAAACTTGTTAATTGTCCTCATTTCCCAGGTTGGAAAACAGGTCCAAAGATTCACACCCAAGGTCTAAAGGCTGTAACTCCTCTTCTTATACAGCTGTTACACATGCACATGTGTACACACACACACACATACACACTCTCTTGAGCATGCCCACACACTCACTACATCTTGGAACTGGGATGGCTCAAATAAAGGGAGTTAGTGAGGCCTCCGCTGAGAAAGAGAGAAAGAGAAGAGTCACAATCCATAACCCAATTCACCCAAGTCTTATCTTTCCTGTCCTCAGAGTTCCTTCTGCTCTGAGAACCACCGTCCCTTCCACTTTCTCTTTTGACAAGTTTCAAAACTGAATTTTCCCCCACACCCCCCCAATACATTTCCCCCTCACATTCCTCCCCATCCTGCCCAGGTAAGCTGTTAGCCTAACCTTATAGGAACCAAGTCCTGGGATCCTTTTCAATGTCTACAAAGCCTAGCCCTGGCAAGGGAGCACTGGCTGTGTGGTCCTGTGCCAGCACTGAACATGGCCCTAGCCAGTAACAGTGGGGCTGAATGTAGTTCCCTCTTATGTCTAGATCTCTGCTCCGGCAGTCAAAGGAGATGTGAAACCTTCTGTGAGGCCACAACAGGAAATGGTAGGAGAGGATTTCACTTCTCTATTAATTCAAACACTGAGGGAGCTTTTTAGAATAAAGAAGGACAGAAAACCCAGACACCTGTGCTCAGCAGTGTTTTCCTTCCTCTCCTCCTCCCAACCCTTCCATTTTTACAGATATAGCTCTGTCTTTCCACCTCTAGCCAATTCAAAATAACATTTCAGTTGCTCTGTCCATTGTTACTTATTTGTTAATTATTGATATAGCACCGGGACCGAAGAGGTATGGAGCCCCAACCAGGTTCCCACATGTTGCCTTTCTTTTATTGCCTCTACACAACCACCCAAAGAGTGAGTCCTCTCCTTTCCCATTGCCTCTGCCCTTAGCCTGACCACCACATGCCTGCAGTAAACTAGTCCCAGGGTTTGTGTGCAAAGCATTACTGGGAAAATACAGAGTGAGAAGATATGGATTCTGCCCCCATATCGCTTTGCTTGTACGTCAATTGGGGAGTGAGAACAAACACTTTAAATAGTTTATATTAAAGTAAGTAAGCAATAAGGCCAGTGGTCTTAAAAGAGAAGAGAGAAATCACCATGGACATGGTAGACAGGGAGTACTCTCAGTCGAGAGGGCCTGGAATGAGCCTTGAATACTGGGCTGGATTTGTGTTGGAGAGGAGGAAGGCAGTTGGCATTGTAGGTCTGGTGTATAGCTCCACAAGCTTGACAATGCTGTGAGGTGCCATCAGGGAGGAGGTGTCCTACGAGAGCCTGGGTTAGCTAAAACAAAGACAAGCTACAATAACGTCACTGGCACTGCACGTTGGAGGAAGTCACAAATGTGATTTCTTGTTTTTTTCTGAGAGTATGGCCATAATAATAAATCTCTTCTAGGCACTTCCTAAAGTTGCTCCATGTCAGTTCGCAGGTTCTTGGGGCAGACGGTTTTAACTGAAGTCTCCATTTTATAAACACAAAATTGCTCAACCAGTTAATCACGCCTCATAGCATAAGACCACATTCGTGACTTCAGTGTCTTTTCAAAACTACACACACCTACATCCTGCCAAGATTATATTACTTGCCCAATCTGTCCAATCCCCACCCCACCCCTGCCATCTACCCCTTACCTCACCTCCGCCCACACACACACCCTCCTACCCTGTCAGGATTCACTGCTCTAGACCCTGACCTTTGGATTATAGTTTCTGTAGTCAGTTCACCATCCTTCCAACCTACAGTCAAATTATTTGAACTACTAGGGATAGTCTATCTGATTTGCCACAACTATTTTTCCTTTTTTAATTTTATTTTTTGCCACCACAACTATTGAAGAATGCTATCTTCATCTTACCCACGAGAAAATGGAGGCAGAGGGAGGTTAAGTGGTTGCCCAGATTTACCCAGATACTAAGTAATAAAACCATTACTTGAACTCAGGATTTATTACTTTAAATCCTGTATTGCCAATAATCAATTGGAAAATAACTGAAAATTGCCTACTATTTATAATAACAATAAAAACCATAGCATATTTATGAATTAACATATCAAATATAAGAATTTTAAGAAAAAAGAAAACTTTATTGAAGTGCACAAAGACCTGAGAGGTGTAGAGATATACCATATTCATGGATAGGCCATGCTAACATAATGACAACCTCTCCCCACATCTCTAACCTAAATGCTACCCCAATTAAAGTAACAGTAGGATTTCAGGAGAATTTAACAAACTGATTATAGAATGTACATGGAAATAAAGTCCAAGAGTATCTTAGAATATTTTGATAAAGAAAAGGAAAATAAATTTTTTGGGAAGGTGGTGAAGGAATGGAGACTAGTTCTACTAAATAGTAACACATATTAAAAAGCCAAAATAATCAAACAATATGATACTGATTAGTAATGAGAGAAAAGCAAATTAAAACAACAAAATACCACTCTACACCCACCATGTTGCCAACATTTGAAAGTCAAATAATTACAAGCATTAATGAGCATAAAGGGAAATGTGAACTATCTTGCTCTGTTGATGGGAGTGTAAACTGTTTATGATCCCTGAATTATAGAAATTATAAACTAGTTGGGCGAAAAAATTAACATAGGAAATAAAGCGGCATATCCCAATCCTTAGGTTGAGTGCTTTAAGTCTTGGAAGATTTCAATAAAGAGAAATTAGGGGCAGGTTCATGGAATAAGTTGAACTGGAGTTGGACCTATGGAGTGGGTTAAGACAGGAACAAGATGAGCAGAATAAAGAAAGCATTCTTGTGAGAGGAAAGAGCCTGGGCAAATGCCCTAAACCAAAACCAGATATAATACCTCAAGGAAGAGTGAGGAAAAAAGATTTATTCAAGAATAGCATTCCTGCTGGGAATAGTGAGTAATATTTTTTATTAGAAAAGGGGCACCAGACTAGAGAGGATACTGAGTGCTTCTAGAGTACTTAAGTAACAGTATCATAGAAGGTTTCATCAGAGAGCATCTAATCTAAGCCCATCATTTTACAGATGAAGACTTTGAGGCCCAGAGAGGGGAAGTGACTTGTCTAAAGTCACACAGCATAATAAAGCACTTTTAAGTCTTGCCTGACAGGAAATATCTAGATAAGTTGGAAAACAGAGAGACAGAGAAATTAGGAAGAACTAGAAAGCACCACATCTAGAATTACTAACATGAGAATAAAAAGAAAAACATCTAAAATGGAGAAAATACAATACTTGAAGCTAGTATTGAGGTATATTTCAGAAAAGAGAAAGAAGTCTACGAGGCAACTAAGTTCTCCTCTGAAGATCAAGACCAATAATGATAAGGTTAGGTTATTCAGCACATTTTCTATGTGCCAAACACTATTTTAAGCATTCTGTAGGTATTAACTTATTTAAGCTTCACAGCATGAGGATATGCTGCCTTATTTCCTATATTAACTTTTTCACTCAACTAGTTCATAATTTCTGTAATTCGGGCATCATAAACAGTTTACATTCCCACCAACAGACCAAGATATTACAGTTCACATTTTCCTTTATCCTCGCTAATACTTATTTGACTTTCAAATGTTGGCAACATGGTGGGTGTAGAGTGGTAAGGGGGACACCATTGTTATCATCATCCTTTTACAGAAAATGACACCAAAGCACAAGTTAAGTAACTTGCCCAAGGGCTCACAGCTAAACGCTGACAGTTACGATTGAATCCCCAGCAGTCAGGTTCCAGAGCCCATGCTTCTTAACCGGTACACATGATGCTGTTAGAAATGAGATGGTTCAGAGACAGTGCAACTTCTCTTAGGGAGAATTTAATATTTTCTTTTAGATTAGACTCTAGTACAATGCCAAGAACAGAAACTCCCTCACCAAATAATTGCCCTCTCAACTTTATTGCCACCCTGTCATCCAAAGCAACTCCCAGACCCTAAGGAATGCAAGAAAGAAAGCATATGCAAAGCAATTTACCACCAGTGGTCATGTGCTGCCACCTTTCGTTATCTTCCCAGGACAGCACCTGTGCAGTTCTCCTTGGACAGTTCACTCAGGCCAAGGAACAGATTGTCAGGAAAGACATGTGAATTCTTTGCCCTTCCAGGCTGTTTTCACTTCATGTTAGGGGCTTCATGATACTGTTTTCCCAGAACTGACATAACTGATTGGTATAGCACTTGGGAGCTTATTCTTCCCATCCCTGAGCTTCTGTTTCTCAGTTACGGTGAGGGTTGAAGGGAGTTATATGTTCCTCAGGGCAGCCTATACGAGACATAAACATTTTCACAAACAGTAAAATACACAACACACACACACACGCACAAAACACACAAGCAGCTTCCTTAACCATTTTGTAAGCAGATTATTAGAAAATAACTCTGCCTTCGTTTCTCACATATTTTGCACAAACCGATAGATGGAAAAACATCATGTACCGCCAAGACCAGGGAATAAGAGCTCAGCTGGCAAATTAGGGGTTTTCCCTATTTCCCTCCCTAACGAGGTCAAGCTGTGTTCAGGTTAAGGCATGCTGAATTTGAAACGACAACCCACTCAAGTTGAGATATCCAGAAACAAATACCATGAGTTAAGAAAGAAGCCACACTGATATAAAGAAATGAGATTTATTGCCTTGTGGGGGGAAGGGATGTGGTTGTGATAGGCAGGCCACTCTGGGATCCCTGGGATGCAAGCCCAGGGACAGCAGAGTCCCCAGGTGGGAAATCTACACACACACCCCAGGGATGTCCCAGAGACTTCTTCTACCCTAAGAGGAGATCCTGGGCAGGATGTGAGAAATCTGAGCATCCTCTGTTTGGATGGCCGAAGCTGCTGGCATCAAACTCTGGTCTGGAAGAATCAGTCTGGGGGAGAGACAGGGATGGAGGAAAGGCATCAGGGGATCCATCCTCCTCCTCCTTCTCCTCCTCCTCCTCCCCCACAAAGGCCTTGCTCGCCCTGCCTGCACCACACCCTGCAGAAGTTGATCTCTCCTTGTTCCCAAATCATCTCCAAGCACCCTTCCTACAGCACCCCATGATTCCTTTTTTCACTCAAAGCAATTCTTGTGACCCATAACTGTGTGTGTGTAACTGGGTCCCCAACTGGGAAGATGTGCCCCCATGGTGCTGGATACAGGCCCCCACACCCAAGGGCCTGAGGATCGCTATATGTCCCCCCATGCCACAAAATAATCCTGACACATGCACGCATGCACCACTGTATCTGGCTCCCACAGGCTCACCCGCCCCCTCCAGATGACATACCACCTGAGCAAGGCTTCCGGAAGTAGATGATGAGAACAATGCCCACGATGATGCCCAGCACACCCAGGCCAAAGGCCACGCCACACAGCACATTCTCCAGCAGATCTGAGGGCAGTGCGTTCCGGGGTACTGGAGGAAATGAGTGGCTCAGCCTGGGGACCTAGTTAGGGAGCCTCCCACCCAGGGAAATGACGTGGGTGTCTGGGATGACATGGGAGACTGGGATGGGCTTAGGGTAGGAATGGACTAAACAAGGTACCAGTGGAGAAAGAAGCCTCCTCCCATGGATCTATCCCTTTTTGCCCCCAAAAGGACCAGAATTCCAGGGAGAAAGCCTCACCCCAATAGGCAATTGCTGTGTAGCGGTCAATTTCGTGAGTCACAATGCAGGAGAAAATGTCAGAAGGTTCTGGTGTGAAGTTTAAGTAAGAAAAGGCCTGGAAGCTGAGTCCATCGACAGCTGAGACAAAAGTAGGCCCAAATCCTTCCACAGGGACGGAATGATGCTGCCAGTTCACTGTCAGCATGGGTGGGAAGAGATTACTGACAAAACAGACCAAAGTGTTGGGCTTGCCAAACTCCAGGGGCTTCAGCGTGAACACTTCAGCGATAGGAAACCCTGGTGGGGGGATTGAAGTGTAGGGGGAAAAAGAGACTAGTTTAGATGGTATCTCTGTGTTTGGAGGGGCCATGGCATATGGAGGGGAGGGCAGAGAAGAACACAGTGGGTCAGGCTTTGGGAGACAGAGATGAGCGAGGAGCTGGGCTCTGAAGGGAGGTCTTCTTCCAGGCAAGGACTGCAGCTAGACGTAGAAGCAGAGCCAGATCCAGGCTACTCTGGACCCCTCCACCATGACTTCCTTCAGCACTTCCTGTCTAGAGCTCACATTGATGTCTAACCATGCACTGTCTTCTCACTAAGACATAGTCACGTCATCAGATATTTCCACTCTTCCCATCCATCTTGCTGGGCATAGTAGCACAAGTGTTAATATTCAGTAGGTATCAGTTGGTACCTGTTGAATTCATCACATTCAATACATAGTTCTGAATGCCTACTACATGCTAGGTACTTCGGCCCACCAAAAGAACACAGGGTGCAGACCAAGGCTGGTGGAAAAATTAAGGTGATGAAGAGAACCAGAAAGTATTTGAGATGGGGAGCTGGTATCAAGGGGAATTATTCAGTGTACAGATCAATGAGGTTAATGCAGCCCTCCTCCCTTCACTCCCCAGAAAACTCCTGACCTCTGGACACCGGGATTTTCCCATCAAGTTTTGGCCCTATTTGCTGGATCATCCACTCGCAGAACTCTTTGTCAAATAAAATGGCAGGAGCATCTCCCTGTTCCTGAGCCCAGTCAGCAAATTCGGGCAGGCGAGGCACCCGAGTGTTCTGGGAAAAGTCGAAGAAGAAAAGCTGGTCCTCGTCGTAGGCCTCAGAGAGTCCCACACTGGGACTCCCATCCTGGCAGTACACTGTGTGCAGGAATGTGTGGTTTTGCAGGTCATCTGGCCACATTGGAGTAGGAGCTGCAAAGGACACAGGGTGAGGTTCAGGGAGGTGGGAGCCTTCTCCTCCAACTTAAAAAACAGCAAGGTGGGGCTAGGCGCAGTGGCTCATGCCTGTAATCCCAGCACTTTGGGAGGCCAAGGTGGGTGGATCATGAGGTCAGGAGTTTGAGACCAGCCTGGCCAGCATGGTGAAACTCCATCTCTACTAAAAATACAAAAAAGTAGCTGGGCATGTTGGCATGCGCCTGTAGCTACTCGGGAGGCTGAGGGAGGAGAATTGCTTGAACCAGGGAGGCAGAGGTTGCCGGGAGCTAAGATTAAGCCACTGCACTCCAGCCTGGGTGACAGAGTGAGACTCTGTCTCAAAACAAAACAACAAAAACAAGCAAGGCCTGCTTAAGGAGCGTGGGCTGAGGTGAGACCCTTTCCTGTGTCTGTTATTTAGACTCCCCCTCCCAAAGGGGGTGAAGAACAAATTATGGCATCTCTCCAAGCTTCCCCTGCCTATAAAAAGGCCAGTTGGCAAAAGTAAAGAGTTCTACTTTCTAAAGTGACAGATTCAGGCCAGGCATGGTGGCTCATGCCTGTAATCCCAGCACTTTGGGAGGCTGAGGCAGGCAGATTGCTTGAGCCCAGGAGTTCAAGACCAACCTGGGCAACACAGCGAGACCCTGTCTCTACAAAAAATACAAAAACTTAGCCAGGTGTGGTGGCAAACACCTGTGGTCTCAGCTACTCTGGAGGCTGAGGCAGGAGGATTGCTTGTGCCTAGGAAGTTGGGGCTGCAGTGAGCCATGATTGTGCCACTGGACTCCAGCCCAGGTGACAGAATGAGCCCGTCTCAAAAAATATATATATAAAGGCCGGGCGCGGTGGCTCAAGCTTGTAATCCCAGCACTTTGGGAGGCCAAGGCGGGTGGATCACCTGAGGTCAGGAGTTTGAGACCAGCCTGGCAAACATGATGAAACCCCATCTCTACTAAAAATACAAAAATCAGCTGGGTGTGGTGGCATGCGCCTGTAATCCCAGCTACTTGGGAGGCTGAGGCAGGAGAGTCTCTTGAACCCCAGAGGCAGGGGTTGCAGGGAGCCGAGATCACGTCACTGCACTCTAGCCTGGGTGACAGAGCGAGATGCCGTGTCAAAAAAAATAAATTAAATCAAATAAAAAATTTAAAAATGTATATATATAAAATAAAGTGACAGATTCAGAGTCACTGTTCATTGTGTGTTTGGGGGCTGCACAAAGACACCTAGCCAAAGAAGCAAGTGAAAGCCTGCATTCTGCTCACCATGCCATACATCCTGGCATAGGGCTGTATCCTCCCAAAGGGGATTCCTTTGTCTAATTCATACCAGGCCACTGTATTGACTAGAGAAGGCCATGGATGGGTTTCTCACTCTTAGAAGGGAAAGAGGAGGAATGGCTACAGCCTCCCCAAGCCATAGATGGGACTGCCTCCCACTATCCCCAGACACAAATGGTAAATTGGAAAACCTGTATCCAGACATTTCTTCAGCCACTTCATTGGCACCAAGCGTCTCTCAAAATGTCTTCTGTTCCTTAACCTACCAGGCCTCCCAAAGACAGCAATGGGAGAAGTGACCCCATAACTGCATAAAATAATCCCTCTTCTTTGAAGCTCTTGGCAGGAATCGCTCAGCCAGCAGGAAACCTTTAACCCAATACCCAGAAAAACAGACATTTGGAGGAAGAGGGATCTTCCAGATTATTCTTCCATTCTGCCCCATCCTCTACAGAGAAGGAAACTAAGACACTTTTCAAGAATCACAAGATAAGTTAATGATAGAAAGCAGAGTAGAATCTTGAGTGGAGGAGTGAAAATAACATTCACTTTGTTCAAATCCCAGCTCTACCACTTTCCAATGGTGTGAACTTGCACAAATAACTCTGAGTCTCATTTTCTTCATTTGTAAAATGGAGAGAACAATCTCCGCTTCAAGAGATTGTCTTAAATGGAACATGCAAAGCATCACTGATATCGTTTACCAACCACACATAGCAGCTGTCTTTCCCCACTCCCCTGTTGTTTCCACTGCCTCATAAGACTTCCCACCACTCACAAAGCACAGCGCTTTTCCTCACAAAGCTGAGTGGGCTCCCTAGGTTCAGGATGGAAGTAAATAGGAGTACCATCTTACCTTCAGGGACGGCCCAGGAGTGGGGTAGCAGCCACAGAAGTGGTAACATCTGTAGCAGCGCAGCTCCTTGGTTCTGTTCATGACCCATACCTTCTTGCCACACAGTAGGTAGGAGCTACCAACCCAGCCAACCCAGCTTCCCCAACTCCCTCCCCGAGAGGGTGGCCTTAGATCATGTTTTGCCAGATCATTTCCAATAGGTGCCCTTGTCATTTTGTCTAAACCAATCAGAGAAGCGTAGGGTTTAACATCATCAGTCACTGGGGAGACGCCTGGGGCCAGTAACCTCCTGAAGACTTGGCTGTTTGACCAGGGCAGAGTATGGCATGTAACTGGGCTGGGAAGCCCAGTGGAGGAATGTTGCTTCCTGGTGGAGTTCCCTCTTTGGTTTCAAGCTGTCAGCCTCAGTCTGTAAGCGACCAGCTGGCTCTTCAGAGCAGTGCCACCTCCTGGCAGAATGCTGCAATGGGGAACCGCATCTTCCCCAAGTAAACCCCCAGGGCTCTTCGGACCCTGCCTTCTCCTCCCTCCTGGCTCTTCCTCTTTCTCAAAAAAACTTATTCTCCTTCAGGCATTAGCTCTAATTCATTTGGCAGACATATATTGAAAATACAAGAAATTCTGGGTGTTGGGCCCAGGGCTAGAAATACAAAGATGAATAGGCATAGTCTGCCTTCAAAGAGCTTAGAGTCTAGTGCTGGGGGAGGGGGCCAAGGGATAATTACACAACAATGTAATGTATTCAAATAAGAATGTGCCAAGTGTTTTGGAAGTCGCAGTAATTTTATGAGGATGCGGAATAGGAGGAACATAATCAGGCAGGCTCCTAAGACTTGAAGGAAAAACAATTTGGCCAGCAGAACATGAAGGAAGAGAAAAACACGCCAGGGCAAAGGGTAGGCAGAAGTACAAAGATCACAGGCATCCAGAGGTCCTCTTTGGAGACCCTGTGTACTAGTTGATATGAATGTTGTGAAGGTCGCTTGGGTGTTCCTGTATAATAGGAGGTAATGGGGGGTAGAAGGATGTTGTGATAAGCTACAAATTCGGGCAAGGGCCAGATCACGTGGGCCCTGCTACGCCACAAGGAGGAGCTTGCTTTTACTTAGCAGATGATAGAGATATTAAAACTGGGGAATGACAATCATTTTAGCATTTTGGAAAAAATGTTCTGATTGATATTTCAAACAATGAACTGGAGCTTTTAAAGAATTGAGGCAAAACTGCTGGGCAAGAGTCTATAGCATACCAAGATGAACAGTTGCACATATACACACCACTCCTGTAGCAATACAGCAATAATTTAAATGACAGATAATAAGAGCCTGAATTAAGTCATAATAAGAGGAGGCGGAGGAGATAGAATATCAAGATAATTAGGAAGTAGAATCTAAAGGGTTTGGCTACTGATTAGCTGTGGGAGTGGGAAGGTGGAGGAGTCAAAGATATCTCAGATTTCCAGCATGGGTGGCTGGGTGGGTGGTCAGGGATGGACTGAATTGAAGCAGAAAAGAATGCCATGGGAGCAGGTTTACAGAGAGAAAGAGCTTGATTTTGTACATGTTGAATTTGAAATGCCAGTGGAACAGCCAGCTGAAACTGCATGGGAGCGCAGTGAGGCGTGTGGGTATGGACCCCAGGTATGGTCTGAAGACCCTGATTTGAGAGTCATCAGCACAAATGTCGAAGCAGAGGCCATGAATAAGATCACCCAAGTAAACTGTGCAGAAGGAGTGGGAAGTGAAACAAGGACAAAAGCATGCATGGGCTCAAACCCCAAACCTCATACCAGTTATCCAGGATCCAGTCAGGAGCATTTAACTACTTTATGTGCTTCAGACTGAAAGAATTTAATATAGAGAATTGGTTACAAAGGTGTTAAAAGGGCAAGAAGTACAAAAAAAAAAAAAAAAGGAGAGTCCTAGAAATGTACATTTTAAAAAAAGATTGCTATCTGGAAATCAGAAGCTGCCATCATCCCTGAGCTGGAATCTGTAAATCTACTCATTGCCTTGTGAGAGACACTGTCATAGTCAGTTCCAATCTACTAGAAAGGTGCCACCTCCTTCAAGGCTAGAATCCTTGAGAAGGTACTTCTGCTCAGGAGGCTGGAGTCCTGAGTCTCCCATTCTTCCTGCTGCTACAGCTACAGCCAATAGCTACCAGCTATTGCCAGCCACCGACACTGTTTAGAGGCTGAAGCAGGATGCTTCTCAGTTTCTCTTGCCTTCTGATCTCCCATCAGTGCCTCCTACTGGCAGAATCAAAAAGGAAGCCAGATGTCCAGGAAGGCTGGGAAATACACACCTGGCTGACTCCTAAGCTAAGCAGTTCAAAACACAGTAGAGGAGGGTGTGTGTGTCACTGAGACAAAGATAATAACGAGTACACTGAAATACCCTGGTTTGTAAGAATCTGGTGGCACGAGGACCATCCAGAGCACTAAGAAAAGACCAAGGTAGAAGCAGATCAGAGAAATAAAAAAGAGGTGTGCCATGAAGGAGGGCAAGGTCAGCATTTTTAAATGCTACTCAAAAGTCAAGAAAGGATTGAAAAGTGTCCTTAGATTTGGTGATTATGAGATGGCTGACAAATTTATTGAGAGCAGTTTCAGTGTTGTAGTGGGAGTCAACTCCAGATTGTGGTGGGCTGAGAAGTAAGTGGGAGGTGAGGAAGAAACTGTCAGTGTACATGCTTCAAGTTTGTTAGACAAAAGAAAGAGAAAGACAGAAGGGGTGGGGGAAGAGGCAGTGAGAAAGCTCTAATGTGGCAATCAAGTAATCTGAGAAATTAATATATGTGAATATTGTCCAACAGTGTTTCTGAGGCTTTCAAAATTCATACCTTCCACCTTTTTTTTTTTTTTTTTTAAGACAAAGTTTCCCCTGTTGCCCAGACTGGAGTGCAGTGGCTACTTACAGGTGCAATCATAACTCACTCCAGTCTTGAACCCCCGAGTTCAAGCGATCCTCCCGCCTCAGTAGCTGGGGACTATAGGCACATGCCACTGTGCCTGGCTTCATATCCTCTTTTGATAAACAAGTAATAGCAGCAGTAATAGCCAAAAACAAAAACAACTCTATGACCTCCTAGATATTCTGGAACAGCAATGTGTATATATGTGTGTGTGTCTGTGTGGTGGAGGCAGGGTGCCAGGGAAGGACTAGGGTTTGGAAATCATGGTAACCCTCCAGAAAACAAAAGAACATTTCCCAGTATCCCAACATTTATGCACTAACCCATCAGCGGTTCTGGCAGTGGGAAGATGCAGGCCCCTGGACAGTAGAAAAGAAGTTTATGAGACTACCAGTGGGGAGACATATGGGACACAGCCACCTAGAGTCCTAAACCAGGGGTTAGCAAACTTTTTCTGTAAAGGGCCAGATGGCAAATATTTTAGACATTGTGGGCTATCAGATCTCTGTCATGAGTACTCAACTGTGGCACGAAAGCCTCCATGCACAATATGTAAATGAAGGAGAGTGGCTGTGTTCCTAGTTTCCTCCTAGCTTTTCCTCCCACTTCTTGAGCATCTCCTTCTCAGTCTCCTTCATAGACTCCTTCCTTTCAGCTACTCTTTAAATACTGGTGTTCCCTGGAGTTTTTGTCCTCAACCCTCTTTTTATTTATGGACACTAAAATTCAAATTTCATGTAATTTTCATGTGTCACGAAATATTCTTCATTTGCTTTTTTTTTTCCCTAACCATTTAAAAATGTGAAGACCATTCTTAGCTTTTAGGCCATTTAAAAACAGGTGGTAGGCAAGATTGTGCTCACAGCCCATAGTGTGCTGAATGATGCTCTACACGTGGTCAGAATTGGTACGAAAGCCCCAAATTAAACCCACCCTTCAAAGAAGAACCTCAGTCCCCTTATTATTGGATTGGCAATCAGTTAACAAACACTTTGTGCCAGTTACACCAGTCTATTTGGAAGGAGATCTGGGGAAGAACAGGAGAAACTAGACTGGGTGGAAGGGCATAGGAATAGGTACAGCAGACACTGCAATTTCTCTGGGTGAGAGGAACAAGGCAGAGGGGTCCAAGTTCTCCATAGGGAGCACAGTGTAGACAAGACCAAGGTGAGGACAAACATAACCATCCCTCACCAAGACTGTGGTGAGGGGTGGTTAACTCCATTCTCCCCTTCTATAATCTCAGTTTAAATGGTAACAAGTTCAAACACTTATAACTACTCTTCCCTCCATGTAATCCTTCCCCACCAGGACCTCCCAACTACCTCCATCATAAGTATCTCAGGAATAGTCTCTCATCAGTTTGGAAAGTAATAATTGTGGGCAAGAGATGAGCAAGGCAGCCAGTTCTGCTTTGCAGTAGTTCACTGTCTACTTTGTCATTAGCTATGAATGCCTCTGAAAATAATGGCACAGCACCGGTAAATCCAGGAGGCTCTGGCTTTCTAACACTCAGCTCTGCCATCCCTTTCTAGCATTTAAAAATGGACTCTATTTGGCCAGGCGCAGTGATTCACGCCTGTAATCCCAGCACTTTGGGAGGCCGAGGGGGGTGGATCACGAGGTCAGGAGATCAAGGCCATCCTGGTTAATGGTGAAATCCCATCTCTACTAAAAATACAAAAAAAAAAAAAAATTAGCCAGGCGTGATGGCGGGTGCCTGTAATCCAAGCTACTCAGGAGGCTGAGGCAGGAGAATCACTTGAATTCGGGAGGTGGAGGTTGCAGTGAGCTGAGATTGTGCCATTGCACTCCAGCCTGGGTGACAGAGCAAGACTCCATCTCAAAAAATAAATAAATAAATATATAAAAAGGACTCTATTTTTTTTCCCCTAGCAGAGTCAGATTTCTTGGAAAAGTCATGGGCAACTGTGGCCCCGCTCCCATTCTTGCCATTTAATCTTTTAACTCTCAACAATGCAATTGTTCACCAATACTTTTGTGTTGCCAAATCAAATGAACTAGTCTCTGCAACATCTGACACTGTTGGCCATACCCCATCTCCTAAATTGGTCAAATTTCTGGCATCCCTGATGGCACTCTCTCCTAGTTTTCCCTCCTACTTTTCTGGCGTCCCCTTTTCAGTCCCTTTGGGACTCCTTTCTTTCAGCAACCCTTTAAGTATTGGTGTTCCCTGGAGTTTTGTCCTCAACCTTTACTCTTCTTAGACTATACACTTGCCCTGGATGGTCCTCTCATTTACTCCCACATGCCTTCTGTTACCACCCATTTGCTAATGTCTTCCAAGCTTACCTCTTCAGCTCAGATCTTGCTCTGAGTTCCACACTACCCATATCTGAACCACTTCTGGTCAAATCCACTTGGATGCTATGCAATAGCAGTTTTTTGTTTTTGTTTTTTTTTTAAATATGGAACGCTTCATGAATTTGCATGTTCTTAAACTGTATTCTTCACAATAGCGTTCCTCAAGAAATAAAAAAAGTAAGTTTGATGATAGCAATCATTTATTTTTGAATTTATTTCCACATAGACATAATGCAACATCAAACACATTTATATAATATTTTTTATTATGTAACAATTTATTATATTTAATAAGTCTATTTATTGCAAGCAATAGAAACCAATTCTGGCTAACTTACATTTTAAAAATGAGGATTTATTGGAAAGATACTGATCTAACTCATGAAATGAAAGTAATAGTTGAATAAGCTAGCCTCAGGTAGAATAGCCACAGGGACCTTAGAAGCAGGGGTTGAGTTGCCATTAATATGCTCACCTGCAAAGGCCTCCTGCCTCTTTATCTTTCAAGTTTTGCTTTGCTGGGAGAGCCTCTCTCACTGGCTCAGCTTGTATTAGGTGTGTACCACTGGATTCATTGGTTGTGGCCAGGTACAGTATTACCTCTATGGATTAGAGCTATTCCTAGAGAAGGGAGAATCATATGAAAAGTAACCACCTCAATACAGCTATTTTCAACATATGGCATCTCAGACAATTGTATGAGATCATCTGAGGCATAAACATAAGGTTAAATCTGTGTATTAATGCTCAAACAGCATTTCCTAACTACTCAGGTGACATATGTCATCTGCTTGATGATCTCTGGTCGGTCACTTGTCTTATCACATATTCAAATTACATTTATCATGTGATTCAATATTGATTTATTAATTTAAAATTATATATTCCACGAATTTCCTTTGAATCTCTGACTAAAAAGGTTTTTTTAATTTTACTTTGAAAAGCTCCAAGCACACACAGAAGAGAAGAATCTAATAAACTCCAATGTACTCTCATGAATGTCAACAATTTTCAACATTTAACATTCTTCCATTCTTGTTTCATCTATTGTTCTGCATTTTTTGGAGTATTTTAAACAAATTCTGTCATTACATTTCACCAGTAAATACTTTTAGGCATATCTATAATAGATAATAACCTTTCCCTTAACATAACTATAATGCCATCACCACAACCAACAAAATTAAAAATTACTTAACTTCATTTGACCCAATCTGTTCATTTCTCCTAGTTATCTCAAAAATGTGTAAGAGAATGAAGTTTTAAATGAAAAGCAGTGTCTTATAATTTTCAAACCGTGCCATTAGTTTAAAAAAATTGGTGAGTTTTCTATTTTATGTTTCATAAGCTATTGATGGTTCAATAATGAATTCTAATTAGGTATTCCATAGGCAAATAAAGTTAGCAATTGTTACTCTGAATGTATCTCCATCTCAAGATTACAAGAGTACACTCATCACTTTCCCTTCCCAATATATTCCAACTCCTCTCTTATATTTAAGACTTCAGTGAATAACAAGATGTCCACCCGAGCTACAAATGTGGGTCATCGTTGATGACCCCATCTTCCTCAAACCTTCCCATTCAATTGTCCTAACAATTCTACCTTTCTAATAGCTCTTGAATCTTCCTTTCTTTTCCTTCCATTCCTACTGGTCCAGGCCTTCAATGGTTGGTTTTCACTGATTATTGCAACTTTCTTTATAATTGGTCTCTCTCTCTCCAATCTTATTATTTTCCACAGTGCTGCCAGAAGGATATTTTTATTATGCTTAGTTGATCATATTATACTTCTGCATGAAAACCTTCCATGATTGTTAATGATCTACTTTCCTTGTCATGACCCATAATGACCTGAAGTCTACTTACCTACTTCTATATGTCTTTTCAGGTGAAATCTCACTCCTCTCAGGAAGCCTTCCTTGAACCCAGAGTTGAGATTAATAGCCTCTTCAGTACGTTTCCAAAGCACCCTGTGTTGGCCATTATCACTGTTTTAATTGTATTATTCTCTTCCATTTATATGTCTGTTTCATAGTCACCTCATCTCTACTGCAAGGTCCTTAGGGGAGGGTGTACTATATATATATATATCTCCACCAAGAGGCCCACTAAGTGACCTTTCACTCGATGAACAAATGGGCTACCAGTCTCTGAAGGTGCTGAACTGAGAATGGAAGAGCCTTCAGGTATTAGATGATGATGGATTGTCCCTTCTAACAGATGTTTCAAAGGTAAATCTTATCAGGTTTATCTATAAGCCATTCTTTTTTTTTTTTTTTTGAGATGGAGTTTCACTCTGTTGCCAAGGCTGGAGTGCAGTGGTACGGTGTCCGCTCACTGCAACCTCCGCCTCCCAGGTTCAAGTGATTCTCCTGCCTCAGCCTCTGGAGTATCTGGGACTACGGGCACGTGCCACCATACCCGGCTAATTTTTTTTTTTTTTTTTGTATTTTTAGTAGAGATGGGGTTTCACTGTGTTAGCCAGGATAATCTTGATCTCCTGACCTCGTGATCCACCTGGCTCGGCCTCCCTAAGTGCTTTGATTACAGGCATGAGCAACCACACCCAGTCTCTATGAGCCATTTTACACCTCCACAGCCTTCCCTATATACTCTACTACCCTTCCAATTCCATTCTAGGCCCTTCCCAAGCTCCTTGCCAACTACCATTTTCTTCCTACTCCCTGCCACCTCCTGTTTCAGAGAGCAAACCTAGCCATCCAGCTCCCACATTTACTCTTATTTCTACCTCAGTACATTTCTCCATACCCATATTCATCCTCCCTTTTAGTGACATTACTATGATGCAGCAATCCTTACAACTACTCTACAAGGTTATAATTTATTATCCCCATTATATAAACAAGAAAACTGGGACTCAGAAAGGTTCATTTATTTAGCAAATATTTATTGGCCACCTTCTGTGTCTAGCAGTATGCTCTGTATCAGATACCTGCCATCATCACACTTAAAGTCTAATGAAAATAAAGAGACATTAAACAAGAAAACATACAAATTTATAAACTAAAAGGTCCACACACACACACACACAAAATCTCTTAGAATTGATAAATTCAGTACAGTTGCAGGATACAAAATTATCATATAAAAATTAATGGTGCTTCTGGATACAAACAGTAAACTAGTGGGAAAAGAAATCAAAGAAAGTAATCCCATTTACAATAGCTACAACCCCTCCCCCCACCAAAAAAACAAAATAGAATACCTAGAATAAACCAAGGAGGTGAAAGATCTCTACAAGGAAAACTATGAGACACTGAGGAAAAAAACTGAAGAGGTCACAAAAAAATAGAAAGACATCCTATGTCTTCGGAAGAATTCGTATCGTGAAAATGACTGTACTACCAAAAGCAATCTACAGATTTGTTGCAATTCCTATCAAAATACAAAGATATTCCTTGCAGAAACAGAAAAAACAAACCTAAAATTAATATGGAACCACAGAAAACACAAATAGTCAAGGTAATTCTGAACAAAAAGAACAAAGCTGTAGACATCATACCACCCAACTTCAAAATATACTACAAAGCTACAGTAACTAAAAGAGCACGGTACTGGCATAAAAACAGATACACAGACCAATAGAACCGAATAAAGGACCCAGAAATAATAGATCCACATCTTAACAGCCAACTGATTTTCAACAAAGGTACCAAGATATTCAATGGGAAAAGGACACACTCTTCATTAAATGGTGCTGGGAACACTGAATAACAATATGCAGAAAAATACAACTACACCCCCATCTCTCATCAAATACAAAAATTAAATCAAAATGGATTAAAAACTTAAATGTAAGACCTGAAACTATAAAAGTTACTGTAAGAAAATACTGGGGAAATGCTCAAGACTTTGAGCAAACATTTTTTGGTTTAAGACTTCAAAAGGAGAGGCAATGAAAGCAAAAATACACAAATGGGATTACATCAAGCTAAAAGGCTTCTGCCACAGCAAAGGAAACAATCAACAGAGTGAAGAGACAACCTTCAGAATGGGAAAAAATATGTGCAAACTATCCATCTGATAAGGGATTAATAACCAGAATATATAAGGAACTCAAACTCAACAGCAAAAATCCTCCAAATAATCCCATTTGAAAATGGGCAAATGATCTGAATAGACATTTCTCAAAAGACATACAAATGGCCAACAGGCATATGAAAAAATTCTCAACGTTACTAACCATCAGGGATATGCAAATCAAAACCACAATGAGATATCATCTGAATCTAATTAAAATGGCTATTATCAAAAAGACACAGATAAGAGATACTGGTGAGGATGCAAAGAAAGGGGAATGCTCATATACTGATGGTAGAAATGTAAATTAACATAGCCACTATGGAAAACAGCATAAAGGTTCCTCAAACAACTAAAAATAGATCTACTAGATGATTCAGCAATCCCACTGCTGGGTATATATCCAAAAGAAAGGAAATCAGTGTATCAAAGAGATGTGTACATGCCCATGTTTATTTCAGCACTACCCACAGTAGCCAAGACATGGAATCAATCTAAGTGTCTATCAAGTGACTGGATAAAGAAAATGTGGTGTATATATATACAATGGATACTAGTCAGCCATAAAAAAGAATGAAATCCTGTCATTTCCAGCAACATGGATGGAACTGGAAGTCATTATGTTAATGAAATAAGTCAGACACAGAAAAAAAAATATCACGTTCTCATAAGTGGGAGCTAAAAAAGTTGATCTTATGGAGGTAGAGGGTAGAATGATGGTTACCAGAGACTGGGAAAGGGAGGGGGTGGAGGGGGGATGAAGAGAGATTCATTAATGGTTACAAAAATATAGTTAAATTGAAGGAATAAATTCTATAGTGTTTGATAGCACAGCTGGGTGACTACAGTTAACATTAATTTACTGTATATTCCAAAATAGCTAGTAGATTTGAAGTGCTCCCAACAGAAGGAAATAATAAATGTTTGAGGTGATGGATATCCTAATTATCCTGATTTGATCATTACACATCGTATGCATGTATCAAAATATCATATGTACCCCATAAATATGTACAATTATTATGTATCAATAAAAAATAAAAAAAAACAATTCAGAAGTCCATAAACTTGGATGGAATAAAAAAAAGTCAACTTTATTTTCAAAAAACTCTCACTGAAATCTAATTTTATGAATGTAGAAAATAAATCTTTGTAGTACCAGCCAGCAGCTGTAACACTGTCATCAATAGAAAACACCATCAATTAATATTTTCATATCACATTATAGTTGTTACAGACATCT
This sequence comes from Homo sapiens, assembly GCF_000001405.40. Classification (NCBI taxonomy): domain Eukaryota; kingdom Metazoa; phylum Chordata; class Mammalia; order Primates; family Hominidae; genus Homo; species Homo sapiens. The sequence goes on from NT_113891.3 coordinate 4,375,677, forward strand.
TAAAATATCACTTACAATTATGGGAGCTGTTAAACTTGCCAAAAAATCATGCTTTTTAATGTATTAGTAAAGAAACACTGTATTGTATTAATACAGAAACACATACTACTAGATCATCACACGTTTCTTTGAATATAGTAGTGTCCCCCACACAGCACCAAATGTGATTATACAGTTTATTCCTATCCATAGATATACCTATGATAAAGTTTAATTTATAAATTTGCACAGGAAGAGATTAACAACAAAATAGGACAATTATATTGTAATAAAAGTTATGTGAATATGGTCTTTCTGTCTCATACACAAAGTATCTTATTGTACTTATTTTCAGACCAGGTTGACCTTGGGTAACTGAAATCACAGAAATTGAAACTGCAGTTAAGGGGGGACCACTGTATTTTGATAACTATAGTTTATATTTTATTTTATGCATTTACAAATATTATCAGACAAGATCCAAAGGCTTCACCAAACTGCCAAAAAAGCTAATGGCACATAAAAAGCTTAAGGAGTCCTGATTTAATCAGTCATTCAATGAACATGACATCCTTCCTGGAACCATCTCCTGTTCTAGCTTCCTCACATTATGTTGCTCTGCTTCTCCTTGAGATCTTCCATTGGTTCCACTTCCTATTCTTGCTTCCTGTATGAAGATGTAACCCAAAGCTCAATCCTTCACCCTAAATTGTTTTTATACCCCCTCTTTTACAAACCTCAGCTACCTTCGTGGCTGATTCAAACATCACCTCAAAGGTGACTCTCAAATCTGCTTTTCCTAATCTTTTTTCTCTAACTTCAATCTTGGATCTTAAACTCCCTGCTGTGCCTAGTAAACAGAATAATATGCCACCCAGAGTCAGCTGGGTTCAAATCCCAGTTCTGCTACTTACTAAAGGTGTGACCTTAGGTAAATATTACCTGCTATGGTTTGAATCTCTCCTCCAAAACTCTTGTTGAAAATAATTGCCATTTTGACAGTTTTAAGAAGTGGGACCTTTAAGAGTTAATTAGGTCATGAGGGCTCTGCTCTCATGAATGGATTAATGCTACTAATGTAGGTATGGGTTCCCATTTAAAAGGGGACATTCTGAGGCCGGGCACAGTGGCTCACACCTGTAATCCCAGCACTTTGGGAGGCCGAGGCAGGTGGATCATGAGGTCAGGAGATGGAGACCATCCTGGCTAACACGGTGAAACCCCGTCCCTACTAAAAATACAAAAAATTAGCCAGGCTTGGTGGCGGGCACCTGTAGTCCTAGCTACTTGGGAGGCTGAGGCAGGAGAATGGTGTGAACCCGGGAGGAGGAGCTTGCAGTGAGCCAAGATTGCACTACTGCACTCCAGTCTGGGCGACAGAGCGAGACTCCGCCTCAAAACAAACAAACAAACAAAGGGTACATTCTGGCCTCTATTCTCTCTCCATCTCATGTGCTTGTTTGCCTTTCTGCCGTGGGATGATGCAGCACAAGGCTCTCACCAGATGCCAATGCCATGCTCTTGGACTTCCAAGCAACTGGAACTGAGCCAAATAAACTACTGTTTATAAATTACCCAGTCTGTGGTATTCTGTGATAGCATCAGAAAACAGACTAAGACGTCCTTTGCTTCTGTTGTTTCATTTGAAAACTGAGGGTGATAATATTAGTATTGACTTTATAGGGTTATAAGGATTAAAAGAGTTACTACATGTACTCATTGCAGTACCTGACACATTTTAACTACTCAATAAATGTTTTGTATCACCAATCACATCTCCTTCCAACCCCGACATTTTAATTTGATGTTTATTAACATGGACGGTGCCAGCCACTGGAAGACAGAGTTTCTATCTAACAACATAATTCTGATCAAGTCATTAGTCAAAAAATTTCAGTGGTTCCCCACTGATTCCAAACTTAACAGCACTGGAAACCTTCTATAATGTGTTCTCTAATATAAATTTACCTCCCATTTTCTCTTCTCCTGCTCTACTTCTTGTAGCTTATGTTCTGGCCAGACTGGACTAGACTACTCTCTGTGACAATAACCTGTGCTGTTCTATGTCTGTCTTTCCTCACATAATTCTAATGTCTCAGGTTTGAAGGCAATAATTTTGTCTATGATTATTCCCCTATACATGGCACCCCATAAAACATACACATTTCAATCTTACCTAAGTCACATACTTACTTACACATCAATTCACCTCCATATTTGCTCAATTTGTGAGAACCTAATATTGGCCAGATACTGTGCTAGGACCTAGGGATATTAAAAAAAAAAAAAAAAGCAAAGCAAGAAAAAGAATGCATAATGGCCCTGCTCTCAAAATCAAGGTCTAGTACTAGAGAGAAACATGTAATCACATAAATGCCATTCACTGTGGAAAGTAAAATCATAAGGGGAAGGGACACCAAAGAATGAGCAGTTAGCTCAACTTGAACAGTAACATTAAGCTTTTCAGAGATGTTATTTGGGCGTACATAGATTGGGGAAAAGTCTACTCCATATAGAAAGTGCACATGTGTAAAACACAGAGGCATGAAACAAAATGATGTGTCTGGGAAACAGTTCAATACAGCTGGAATATAGGGCCCAAGAGGAAGTGGTTAGACATGAGGCTGGAAAGCTAGGCAGACTGTTTTGGCAAACATAGGAATTTGGACTTTATCACATAGCCAATAAGGAATAACACAGAGTTTTAAAAAGAGCTATGGCCAGGGCTATATTTTGGAAAGCTCTCTCCTGGCAGTATTGTGGCAGAGGCAGAGAGGAAAGTCTAAAGCAGCACTGTCCAACAGAACTTCTTGTAATGAGGCCGCGCGCAGTGGCTCACGCCTGTAATCCCAGCACTTTGGGAGGCTGAGGCGGGCGGATCACGAGGTCAGGAATTCGAGACTAATTTGGCCAACATGGTGAAACCCCGTGTCTACTAAAAATACAGACACTAGCCGGGTGTGGTGGCAGGCGCCTGTAATCCCAGCTACTCGGGAGGCTGAGGCAGAATTGCTTGAACCCGGGAGGCAGAGGTTGCAGTAAGCCAAGACTGCGCCACTGCACTCCATCCTAGGCCACAGAGCAAGACTCCGTATCAGGGAAAGAAAAAAACAACTTCTTGCAATGACACAAATGTTCAATAATCTGTGCTTTCCCATATGACAGCCACTAGTCACATGTGGCTACTGAGAACTTAAAATGTGGCTAGTGTATTGAGACACTAAATTTAAAATTGTATTAATTTAAATCCAAATAGCCATGTGTCTAGCAAATAATTTAGGAGACTGTTGGTATAGCTCAGGTGATAGAATTAGGACAGAAGGGTGAGTTGATGGATAGTTAAGAGGCAAAATTATGAGTCTGTAAGGGTGTGAGAAAAGGAAATCAAGAACAGGCTCCCAGATTACAGACTTTGTGGTTAAACAGCCACCATTACTCAGGACAACAGAAGAGAAAGAGCAGGTCTAGAGTGTATAGTGATTTCATCAATTTTGAACATACTGGTGTCTGAGAGTTATCCCAGTGGGAATATTTAGTAGAAAGTTTAGCTTAGAGAGCTGTCTGAACTAAAGATTCAGACTTCAGAGGCTTTGAGCCATGGAGTCAGATTACCTAGAGAAGTTGAACAAAATTAGAAGCAAACAAGAATCACAGCAAATATCAACACATAAAAAGGGGCTAAGGAAGAAAAATCTACTGAGACTGGAGAGGAACAGTTACACAAATAGGAAAAGAAACAAGTGAGAGTGGTATAGAAGTCAAGGGTAGAGAGAATGTCAGGAAGGAAACATGATCAAATGTCGAATGCCTCAGAGGTCAAATAAAGTGAGAACTGTAAAGTGCTTCCTGACTTTGCCAGTTAGGAGGTTCTTGGTGACATCTGCCAGAAAAGTTTTGGTGGTAGCAGCCTGACAGAGGTAGCTTGAAGAGTGGGGATGGGGAAAGAGAATGTGACAAAGAATTGAGATAGTAAGGATAATTTCAATTTCAGGTCTTGGCTGTGCAAGGAAGCCGAGAGACATGAGTCTCTAAGAGGGCACGATATTGAGAGGGTTGTTATCTTTCTGTCAGCGGGGAAACCAAGAGAAAAGTTTAAAAAGGTCAAAAGGGGGAGAAGGGAAGACAGCTTCCGGGTAACAGAGAAGGTTGACCAGGTCAATAGTAAAGGATTTCCTCAAACCGAAGGGAGGACCTCTAGTGAAATGAGAAAGGAATACACAATTGACCCAGTTTGCAGGTGGGAAATGGGAAGCCAGTTCTGCAAATTGGCCTTTCTGTTCTGTGAAGTGCCATCTGTCGGTGAGGAGAGATTAGGGTCTGCAGCGTGAAAATCTGGACCATACTCTGGGTAATCAAGGGAGAGGTTATCGGCTAATGACAAATTAAAGGCTTACTTTTTAGCTGGCAACTGAATCACCATAACATTTTATGTTACCAGTTCCAAAATTTTGGGGGGAATTCACTCAAGCTTGGGAGAGGAGAGATCATAACTTTAAGAGTATAAGAGGTTTAAACGGTCCACTACGAAATAAATAGAGAAGGAAAAGTTATCAGCTGGTAAATATCGTAGAAGGTAGAGCGGTCCAGGGACTCACAGGTCTCACTAAAGAAAAGTCTAGCGTAGGTTCACGGCACGGAGAGATTTTAAGGCTGCCTAAGACTAAAGCCAAATACGAAGTCCACATCTGCGGTCCGCACCTTATCTCTCCGCGCGGCAGGCGCGACGAGGGCGAGAAACTCCCTCTCCAGTGGTCGCACCACACGACACCAGGGAAGGGGCCCCTCTCTCCAGACCCTCATATCTCCAGGTCCAGGCCCCATTTTCCTCCGCTGACAGCTCAGCAGCGTGCGCTTCCGCTGGATTCAGGCCAGGACCAGCGAAGCCGCACCTTACACCCACCGAGGAGGAAACAAGCCTGGCCACCCGAGGCTACCCCGCTAGGCCGCGGGTAGTGGGGGAGGGGGCGCTGAGGCAGGAGGTCAGCACCCGGGCGCGGGCTCCCGCCCCACGAAAAGCGCGCGCTCCAAGCCCCGCCGCCGGAGATGCGGTTCCGGTCCGGACGCCTGCGCACTACGGCTCTCCCCGCAGCCTCTGGCCCTCCTTCCCCCTCCCCCAGTCAGGGCGCACCCTTGCGCCTGCGCTGTGTGTGTTCCTGGTCTGCGGCAGCCATGCTGAACTCGTATGGAGAGGCGAGTGGGGGGGACAGAGTCCAGGACCGCGGGATAGGAAGCTGGGGATATGGACAAGCAGCAGCGTTATAGCGCTCTGGGTTTCGGGACATAGGCCTGGGCCATGCGGCCCCCTTGGCCCCTTGGCGCGACCCCCAGGAACGTTCGGAAAGCTGGTCCTCGTGGCTGGGGGAAAGGCGGGGGGTGGGGGGGAAGCGGGCACGTGACCCCGGTCAGCCAATCTGGGTGCTGCTGACGTGGCCGCGCGGCCCCGATGCTCTCCCCACCCCCCCAGCCCGTTCGGGAAGGGAGGGGCTGGGGGCTACGCCCCCTCCCCCAGCACGGCTTCGTTTTCTGGGGGGGGGTTGACACCCCGGATTACATACCCCGTACCAAGCCGAGGGCAACTTTGGAGGCCCCCTGGAAGGCTTTAGGATCCAGGTGAGAAGGGGCCCTTGTGGGGCGGAGATGTCAGTCAAGTGCTTAACCAATGGTGGGGAGTCCGGGAGGGGGATTCTTGGGGTTCAGGAAAGAATCCTGAGAGTGGGAAGATTTGTCCTTCAAACCTTTTACAGCCAATGGGAGCGTGGAGGGGGGGCGAGCGGGAGAGGGCCATGGGGGGGGAGGGGAATGGCCAGCCTCATGCCTCCGTACCCATTGGAGGGCAAAGGGGTTAGGGGGCGGTGTGGCCCCCCCTATTCCATTCGTCCCCTGGGGGTACAGCAGCCGGGAGCCAGGTGAGAAGGGATCCATCGGCGGCCGAGGGAGGGGTGACCTGGCGGTGGGCTGAGGAGTGGTGGCTGTGGCCCCTACCCGTGGATGTGAATGCTTTAGGAGTTGGCCACCCATGTTGTGAACTGAGGTTGTTCCCAGGCGCCAACTTCCTTTCTCCCCAGAGCCTCTGGAGGGAGCATTGCTGTGCGCCCTTTGTGTCCGCGGTAGGGGAGCTCCAGTCGTCACACCGCAGGCTGGAGGTTACGCTTCGAGTCGCTTACCGAATTTGTGTGCATTCACGTGGACACGGCCTGTGGGGCCTTTTGCCCCTGTAGGGTCTTTACTGAGCACGTGTCTACTCCAGGCTGGGGTGCTTACAAGCTGAAAGCTTGAGGTCTGCTTAGGAACAGAAACCAGGCCCAAGGTGGGTGCTGGCAGTAGGGGGTCTAGACAGCATGGTCTGAGATGCGAGGGAGGCTCGGGACCTGGAATGATTTCACAGCTCCCAAGGTTTCGGGTTTCTCCAGGGTGGCCTCTTCCATCGCCTCCCTCATCCCCTCCCCCAGTCCTGAACAGTTCTCTCCTTGTGTACTGCGGGGGAGGGAACGGAAAGGAGGAAAGAGTTACTTTCCCAAATTACTGAGTAGCAGTAGCCTCCCTGGTGACTCATGTGGGGGAAGGGAGGATAGAGGATCGGGAGGCAGTGATTTTCCGGAATGCAGGGAATAAACGAGAGCAATGTCTGGCTGCCCTTTTCCTAAGGCCTAGTATTTTCTCAGCCTCCTAAGTTTTTATTCCATGGCCGGCCCCCTGATGGGCCTCTGTCCTGGCCTGCAGAGCCCCGGTGGAGAAAAGCAGATTTGGGAGGTTGGGCCGCTAGGGGGAGGGGAAAAGGCCTCTGCAAAGTTGCTGTGTCATTGCCCTCCATGCTGCAGCCACCCAGACGGGGCCGCTTGTACTTTTGGGGGCCAGGGCCTGATCCCTGGCTGGGGGAAGGGGACTCTGCTCTCCTGACGCTCATTTTCCCCCGCCCTCCCGGGGTTTGCCCTACTCGGGGGGTCAGAAGACAGGAGATTGGCGGCCATTTTAGACGCAGTAACCGAGGTTGGAGTTGAAGGGCTACTGCAGAGGAGGGAGGGTGGCGTGGTTGCAGCTCAAGGACCTAGGCCCTTACGAGCCCTTCCCGGGCGAGGGGGAATCTTACCGTATATTTGTTCACCTACGTTGATTATTTTTCCCAGATACGTACACAAGTTTGTTTTCTCCCTGGTAGCGAAGAAAGGGGAAACGGGGGAGGGGACGCCCCACCAAAGCCCAGGTTTTCTCGGGTGGGGGAGATCCTTTCACTCTCTTGTAAGGGGGCGGGGACGGCCCCAGAGATGCTCTGGAGATCCTGACTCTGGGCTCTGGTTGATTCACAGAGTCTGCACCCTTATTTAGATAACCAAGTTAGGAGGAAGACTTAAGAGTAAGTTGGGGGGAGGGGGCGAAACTGAGCTCCCAAAATGGCTCCTGCCCCTCCTCGGAGGCGGACGGCCGGGGGGAGGGGAGGAGGGGAGGAGGGGGAGGGCTAGTCTGAGCCGCAGCCGCCGCCTCCTCCGCTCGCCCTCCTCCCTGGCGCTGACCGATGGACCAGCCGCTCCGTGGGGAGGACTCCGGACCCTGGTGGGGGGGCGGGGGGGTTCTTTCGCCCCCGTGGCGGAGGGCCCCTGAGAGGCGGATACGGGTGTGCCTTTGGGGGTGATGTGGCGTGTGGGGGGAAAGGTCCGAGCTCGCCTGGAGGGGGAGGGTTTTTCCCTTAAGTCATCCCTCCCAGGACTTGCTTTTTCTGCTCTGAGCCGGACGCCGGAATGGAGTTTGAGGAAGAGGTGAGGTGTGTTGCATTGTATAGGGTAGATGGATGCGTTTGGAGATTTTAATCCCACTTTTAGGGTTGCCGAGGATTTTTCGAACGAGCAGAAATGTATTGGTAACTGTAGGTGTGAGTGGGGAGGGATTAGAAAGGTGCTTGGACGTGCAAATTTGGGAGACGTATTTTAGCTTTTGTGGTCTTTGGGACTAAACAGTAGTAAATAATGTTTTGCTCGTCTTTCCATCGTTTGGCTTGAGGGAGGGAGTGGAGTATTATAAGACTCTGGCAACACTGTTTTAGACTGTGGGGCATGGGAACGTTAGATCCCCTCATCGCCGTTCTGAAGCCCGTAGCTGTTCGCCATAGAGGAGCAGGCCGCGGCTTCTAAGATGGCGTCTTTTTCCTCGTTTCAGATTCTTCGCTGCTGCTGCCTTACCGCCGAGAACCACCACCCGCCAGGCGTCTTGCGGCCACACCCCTGGCGGGTTCAGGCAGGCTACGCCCACGCGACCCCTCCCGTTTCCCTGCTTTGGCCAATGGAGGAGCTACGAATGGCACGACCTGCTCGAGCTTGGCAGTCTCCAGTTGGGCTGTGCATGGAAGCTTGGGAAGACTTTGTTGGAAGGGGAGGCGGGGAGAGAGTGCTGGAGGCTCTGGGGCGATGGCTTCCGCACCTCTTCCAACCACCCTCTTTCCCTGGAGTCGGCGGACCACAGCTCAGCCAATTGGCTTGGAGATGTGGCGGGTTGCCACTTCCCTGTGGGTCTCTGCGGCACTCTTCTGCCTGGTGACTGACACCTTGGAAATGAAGTTTATGACGTCATCGTTGCGGCTGGCCAATAGAAAAAGCTCCCGCGGAGAGGTGTTCCTTCCCCTTCGACTCAGCTTCTTCACCCGCGTGAGCGAGCGCGCGCGCGCGGAGGGGGTGGGGAAAATCTCAAGCAGGGTGGCGCGCATGAGCGGCGAAGCTCCTCCTCCCCGCCTATATATAAAGGGCTGGCGCGGGGCTCGGCGGCGCCATTTCGTGCTGGAGTGGAGCAGCCTCTAGAACGAGCTGGAGGATTCTGCCTACCGATACAGAGCCTTCGAGTCGTCCGGGGCCGCCATTACAATCCACCTCCATCCGCTTGGAAATGGCCTTCGTCCCGGCCTATGACTGGTCCCAGCGGGCAGTACAGACCCCCTAGAAGCCCCTGGAGCTCCCCTTTTTCGGGCCCCGCCCAATCCTCGGAGTCTGTCCACCCCCTCTACTCCGCCCTCAAGAGGATTTCAAAGATGGAGGCGGCGGCTCCCTAAACCACTTTTCGTGTTCATCCGCCTCCATCCGAGATCGAAACGGGACCTCGTCGGCCCCGTAGGGGCCCGACAAGAAGAGGGAATCCCTGCAGACCAACAGCGGGCTATATTGACGACGGTGTCTGAGATCGGGGACCGTCTTTTGAAGAGTCAGTCCCTCCTTAGTTGCCCGCCTCAGCTGAGGCCGCCGCCATTTTCTTGCTGTCCGCCGTCTGCAGAGCGCGCCAAGCTGCCCGGAGCTCTCCGAGAGGCCCCAAAGAGACTGCTTTCGTGCCGGCCAGGCAGGGGGTTTGTCGCCTGGAGGCCCAAGAGGAACGGCCTCCCCCCAACTTAGCGGGTTATGCTGGACCGGGCGGTGAGGGGAACCGAGGCCACCCGGACTTTCCGCGGCTGAGGGCAGCGCCGGTTCCTTGCGGTCAAGATGCTGCAAAACGTGACTCCCCACAATAAGTACGTTTCCGCGAGCCGCGTGTGGGAAGGGGATGTTGCAGGGCGGCGGCACAGGGGTGTGGGGCGCCGTGTTGGGAGTACTGAGCGGCCCCGGCGCGCTGCTGTTGCGGCGCAGCTGTCGACTCGGTCGCGCGGAGGGAATTGAGCGACGGTTTTGGAACGGTGGTGGCGGCTCGGCTACTGCTCGTGGAGGGGAATACAGGTTGTCAATTTATACGCTATTAATGCCGCCGTGGCCCAGTCTTAACCGAGTCAGGCAGAGCTAGTTTGACGGTGGAGTGGAGTGAGGTTGAACAGCAGGTTTGGCGTTTGGTGGGTCTGGTATCTAGCGGCGGTCTGTTAGCCTTTTAGGGGGGATTCACGGACACCTCTAGCGCCCTGTAGGGTTGCCATGGTGACGGAGCGCTTAAGGGACTGGCAACGGGGATTCCCAGAGAAGGGTAAAGGGATCACTCTCCCGTGTGTGCAGGTTCCTAATGCCCAGGGCATGTCATTAAATCTTTTGCTTTCTTTGGGTGGGTGGGTTGTGTGTGGTGTTTGTTGGTGCAGGGATTGTTTTTTCCTAACATTAAAAGTTTGATTCAGGGCAGGAGGGTAGAGCTAAGGTTCCTAGTTCAGCTCTGCGATGTAAACAATGAGATTCCCATATGATGTTTTAATTCTTAGGTGGTAGGAAAGACTGATCGGAGGAGCACCAGAGGGACTGTAAATGAACCACTGTTAGCGTTTGGTGTCCGGAGTTGGTGCTACAGGGGGAACTGGTAGTGGAATCGTGTTGTGTAGTGGGTGGGTGGAAGGGGGCTATCACTTGGTGACCTTGACTGTTTTGTACGGCTTTTTGACTTCCTTGGAGTGAGGAGACTCTGATTTGGTGCGAATAATTTTGAGGGCCTGGAAGTTACGGGCTGTGAAGTCTGACAAATTCTTCCTTGTCTGAATTTGTTTTTAAGTTGATATGGTTCTTCCTCTGGGTTTCTAGTCTATGTTCTGTTGTGGCGTGAACTACCCAGACCTTGTGGAAGATGGTGCTCTCTCTTCTATCTAGGTGGATTATTCTGTGTCTTATCAGCATTTTATGGAATTTTTTATAGCCATAATTTGTTCTTTTCCTCCTTACCGGCGCTCAACCACCATGGCAACCACCAAACCCCTAGTGAGGAGGAAGCTTGGGGTTTGAGTTTCTTAACTCCACCCATTTTGCTTAAGCCCCATCCCCATAGGGCTGTAGTTCTGAGATGTCGTGCCTTGTCAGAAACAATTTGGGAGTTTTTTAAAATATGAAAAAGAACAGATAGAGCCTATCAGACTTAAGAAGGTGGGATCTAGATAGTATACTAAAAATATTAATAAAAGGAAGGCGGGGCCAGCAATAAAAGCTCCACAGATTGTTTGGATATTGTTTCTGCTTAAGAAGCACTTGGCATAAGCTTAACCACCTCACTAGGGCCAGCACCTGGATTCATCAGACTATTGTGCAGATGCACTTTTTCCTCATTTGGACGATATTGCCCTAATTTTGTTCCCATCTTTACAGGCTCCCTGGGGAAGGGAATGCAGGGTTGCTGGGGCTGGGCCCAGAAGCAGCAGCACCAGGGAAGAGGATTCGAAAACCCTCTCTCTTGTATGAGGGCTTTGAGAGCCCCACAATGGCTTCGGTGCCTGCTTTGCAACTTACCCCTGCCAACCCACCACCCCCGGAGGTGTCCAATCCCAAAAAGCCAGGACGAGTTACCAACCAGCTGCAATACCTACACAAGGTAGTGATGAAGGCTCTGTGGAAACATCAGTTCGCATGGCCATTCCGGCAGCCTGTGGATGCTGTCAAACTGGGTCTACCGGTGAGTAGAGACATTGGAGCCGGGGAGGTGTGGGATGAGCAAGAATGCGTGTGAATGGGGGTGGTCTGCCTAGTGTAGATGCTGCGGCCCCTAGGGAGTTCCCATTTCTCCCCTGTAGGGCAGTTAGCTACCAGATTTCTGGGTATCTTGGTCCTTTGTGATTGATCCGACCGCTTGCTGTAACTATCTTGGCATCTTTCCTTGTGCCCTCCATGTGTCCTTCCTTAACTTTTGTGCCCTGGCTCCATTTTACAGATTCCCACCTCGGGTTGGGAGAGGACCACGGTGGCCAAAATTCTTAGCTTCTTCCTTTCCCTCATGCAGCCCATGGATAGCCAGCCCCAGAGGTAATGTCACAGGATGGGAAGTTTCCAGAGTGGGTGGGAGGTGGGTGGTTAGAGAAAGGCAGCAGGGGCCTCCCTGTGGATGTCAAGAATCTTTTTTATTTATTTATTTATTTTGTCCCACAGTTTAATTGGGGCCGCAGTTTAAGTAACTGTTCCTTTGATGCATAGGGGGTGTGTGTGTGTGTGTGTGTGTGTGTGTGAGAGTCGGGGATCGGTAGTCTCCCTATAAGCATTTATTTTTCTGTGGTTCTGACCTAACATTTTTTTATTTAGGATTATCACAAAATTATAAAACAGCCTATGGACATGGGTACTATTAAGAGGAGACTTGAAAACAATTATTATTGGGCTGCTTCAGAGTGTATGCAAGATTTTAATACCATGTTCACCAACTGTTACATTTACAACAAGGTGAGTTTTTCTGTGTGTTCATTTAGTAGGTGGGGAGAAACAGTAACTTCTATTATTGCTGGATATGTTGTCTACATAAAGTTTAAATCCTTTGCTACTGAAGGTGTTATCCAGGTAGGGTAGTCGGAGTCTTAAAAACCTGACTCTAGATGGTACTATTGAACACAGTGATGTGACTTCAGAGCTCTAGTTGAAGGTTATTTAGAACACTTCATACTTGGGGGTGGTGGTCCTGTTTCTTAGAAATCACCAGAGACCTGAGTAGACCAGGGATCTGTTTTCTTGTCAGCTCTCAAGTTTTTTCTTCTTTCGAATTTTGGGAGACAGTTAGGAGAAAGTGGAAATTAGTAGTGGCCTGGAGTAGGAAATTTTCTTTAAGATTTGATGACAAGATGACTGGTGGGGGTATGGTAATGGCCTAGGGCCTGAATGCCTCTGAGAAAGATGGTGTGTATCTATCTTCTGTTGGCATTTTTTAACTTTCTTTATTGCTGTCTGTGTTCTCATAGCCCACTGATGATATTGTCCTAATGGCACAAACGCTGGAAAAGATATTCCTACAGAAGGTTGCATCAATGCCACAAGAAGAACAAGAGCTGGTAGTGACCATCCCTAAGAACAGCCACAAGAAGGGGGCCAAGTTGGCAGGTAGGAAGAGTGGGAGTTTTGCAAATGGACAACTAAAGATGGGGAAGAGAATCAAACTACACTTTTTTCCTTTTTTCTAGCGCTCCAGGGCAGTGTTACCAGTGCCCATCAGGTGCCTGCCGTCTCTTCTGTGTCACACACAGCCCTCTATACTCCTCCACCTGAGATACCTACCACTGTCCTCAACATTCCCCACCCATCAGTCATTTCCTCTCCACTTCTCAAGTCCTTGCACTCTGCTGGACCCCCGCTCCTTGCTGTTACTGCAGCTCCTCCAGCCCAGCCCCTTGCCAAGGTATGATCTGTGGATTTCCTCTGGGCAGCAGGGAGGCAAGGGTCTTAAGTAAAGTGGGCTTGGAGTGACAGGTTCCCTATCTTGTTTCTTTCTGCAGAAAAAAGGCGTAAAGCGGAAAGCAGATACTACCACCCCTACACCTACAGCCATCTTGGCTCCTGGTTCTCCAGCTAGCCCTCCTGGGAGTCTTGAGCCTAAGGCAGCACGGCTTCCCCCTATGCGTAGAGAGAGTGGTCGCCCCATCAAGCCCCCACGCAAAGACTTGCCTGACTCTCAGCAACAACACCAGAGCTCTAAGAAAGGAAAGCTTTCAGAACAGTTAAAACATTGCAATGGCATTTTGAAGGAGTTACTCTCTAAGAAGCATGCTGCCTATGCTTGGCCTTTCTATAAACCAGTGGATGCTTCTGCACTTGGCCTGCATGACTACCATGACATCATTAAGCACCCCATGGACCTCAGCACTGTCAAGGTACCCACTGCATGGGGCAGATGGGATGCTCAGGCAGTGATGGGAGCCTAGGTGCAAAACAATAAGTCTCCTTATGTGGGCACACAGCAGTCTTTGGTTCTTGGCATTTTACTTTTATAAAATAATAGTGGAACAGAAGGTCTGGTGTTTTGAGAATTTGTATTTCTTGGAGTTTGAAACAGTAGGGTGGGGTTTCTTTGTCTTGAGAAAAATACTGTCTATAATTAAGTACTAATGTGGCAGTGTTGGGTTAAGGAAGTTATAGGGTGGAAAGACAGGCATAGGCCACCTCTCTGTCACTTAGAAATGATTTCTTTTTCTAGACATAAATATTTCTTCAACCCACCCAAATTCCTTTGACTTCAAACTTGAACCCCAGGGCACAGATCCTTAAGGTCATCCCCACTGTGCTCTCAAGAGAGGGCTCTTCTTGTGGTGTCTGGGGTTGGCAGGGAAAGGTGAGTCTTCCTGCCTGTGCAGCTTCTGATGCTGCCTCCTTCTGCAGCGGAAGATGGAGAACCGTGATTACCGGGATGCACAGGAGTTTGCTGCTGATGTACGGCTTATGTTCTCCAACTGCTATAAGTACAATCCCCCAGATCACGATGTTGTGGCAATGGCACGAAAGCTACAGGTGAGTGGAAAGGTTGGAGTTTGAAAAATAAATGGTATGGGGAGTTATTTTGTCATGTGTGCTGCATAGCCTCAACGTGAGGGTCTCACTGTTCTGTACAGTTGTAAATTGGAGCTATATCACTTGGTGGCTGGGTATGTAGGGCACTGTTTATCAGCATAGTTTTGAGTTTGTGCCTCTTTCTAGGATGTATTTGAGTTCCGTTATGCCAAGATGCCAGATGAACCACTAGAACCAGGGCCTTTACCAGTCTCTACTGCCATGCCCCCTGGCTTGGCCAAATCGTCTTCAGAGTCCTCCAGTGAGGAAAGTAGCAGTGAGAGCTCCTCTGAGGAAGAGGAGGAGGAAGATGAGGAGGACGAGGAGGAAGAAGAGAGTGAAAGCTCAGACTCAGAGGAAGAAAGGGCTCATCGCTTAGCAGAACTACAGGAACAGGTATTTTGTCACTCTTGAAAGTTTTTATTGGGTAAGAGGTTCATGCCCTTTGTCCTCATTTTTTCTTCTTGTTATTTTATCTTTATTTACTTTTTCCACTTCATGTTTTTTTTCCTTTAGCTTCGGGCAGTACATGAACAACTGGCTGCTCTGTCCCAGGGTCCAATATCCAAGCCCAAGAGGAAAAGAGAGAAAAAAGAGAAAAAGAAGAAACGGAAGGCAGAGAAGCATCGAGGCCGAGCTGGGGCCGATGAAGATGACAAGGGGCCTAGGGCACCCCGCCCACCTCAACCTAAGAAGTCCAAGAAAGCAAGTGGCAGTGGGGGTGGCAGTGCTGCTTTAGGCCCTTCTGGCTTTGGACCTTCTGGAGGAAGTGGCACCAAGTGAGTTAGAGTAGGAAGCAGAGACTAGTTTGGCTATTTCTGTCTCTCTGGGGGATGCCATCTCTCTTTGCAAAGATAATTCTAAATGGCCAGTTAACAGATACAATAGGCTTTGAGCAGTGGTCCCCAACCTTTTTGGCACCAGGGACCAGTTTCGTGGAAGACAGATTTTACCACAGACAGGGTTTGAGGGGATGGTTTTTGGGATGAAACTGTTCCACCTCAGATCATTGGGCCATTGGATTCCCATAAGGAGCATGCAGCCTGGATATGTACCATGCGCACTTCACAGTAGGGTTCATGCTTCTATGAGAATCTAATGCTTCTGCTGATGTGACAGGCAGTGATGCCCACATGCCGGCTGTTCACCTCCTGCGTAGCCCAGTAACAGGCCACGGACTGGTACTGGTCTGGGGGTTGGGACCCCTGGCTTTGGGAGTCAGGGTGTTTCACAGCTACTCTGACAGTGAACTCAAAGTAGCCATAAACTAGAAACATGAAGATGGCTGTGTTCCAAAAAGACTTTATTTGCAAAGACACGTGGCGATCAGATTTGTTCTCTGGGCCATATAGTTTGCCTGTTGCTCTAAATCAATGAGTCTAGACTTGTTTTTCATGGCGTAGTAGTTTTTGGTTTTTTGGTGTGGTTTTGTGTTTTGTTTTTTTTTTTGTTAGTTTGTTTTTTGTTTTGTTTTTTTTAAAGACTCCAGGCTGGAGTGCAGTGGCGTGATCTCGGCTTACTGCAACCTCCACTTCTCGGGTTCAAGCGATTCTCCTGCCTCAGCCTCCCAAGTAGCCAGGATTACAGGCATGCGCCACCACGCCCAGCTAATTTTTGTATTTTTAGTGCGCAGCTAGTTTATGTAGTTTTAGTGGAGACGGGGTTTCGCCATGTTGGGCAGGCTGGTCTTGAACTCCTGACCTCAAGTGATCTGCCCGCCTTGGCCTCCCAAAGTGCTGGGATTACAAATCTGAGCCACTGCAGCTGGCCCATGGTGTAGTTTGGTAGTGTTTAAGGGAGCAGAAAGACCCATGTCAGTATACCTAAACAGGTATACCTTGTTTTATTGTGCTTCACTTTACGGAGTTTTTTTTAGATACTACTTTTTTTTTTAGTTGAAGATTTGTGACAACCCTGTGTGGAGCAAGTCTTTCAACAGTTTTTCCAACATGTTTGTGTGTCACATTTTTAGTAATATTTTTTCATTAAGGTATGTACGTACATTGTCTTTTTAAAGACATGTTATTGCCTACTTACAGTCAAGAGCAAAATGCTCTGTTTCACTATACAGTGTCCCAGTAGCCCACCTCTTACTTGGCCATTGAATGGAAAAACAGAAGCTCCACTCTGGGCAGGAAATAGGATCACTGAATTATAACAGTGGGAACATACTGGAAGAGGTTAATGAAGCTTCTTTTGCTGACAACTCTTTTTGCCCTTAGGCTCCCCAAAAAGGCCACAAAGACAGCCCCACCTGCCCTGCCTACAGGTTATGATTCAGAGGAGGAGGAAGAGAGCAGGCCCATGAGTTACGATGAGAAGCGGCAGCTGAGCCTGGACATCAACAAATTACCTGGGGAGAAGCTGGGCCGAGTTGTGCATATAATCCAAGCCAGGGAGCCCTCTTTACGTGATTCAAACCCAGAAGAGATTGAGATTGATTTTGAAACACTCAAGCCATCCACACTTAGAGAGCTTGAGCGCTATGTCCTTTCCTGCCTACGTAAGAAACCCCGGAAGCCCTACAGTACGTATGAAATGAGGTTCATCTCATGGTTCTGAGGACAGTTGAGGAAAGATGGTGGGGTCTGTTTGCATTCAGGATTGTCAGCTCCCAGGATAATGGGATGTGTTGGTTGGCAGCTGACGTTCAAGAAGGGAACTTGGGAACCTTAGGGGCCCATAATAAGATGCTTGGGGCAATCTTAATGTATCCTGATAAATTTCTTTCATTAGCCATTAAGAAGCCTGTGGGAAAGACAAAGGAGGAACTGGCTTTGGAGAAAAAGCGGGAATTAGAAAAGCGGTTACAAGATGTCAGCGGACAGCTCAATTCTACTAAAAAGCCCCCCAAGAAAGGTGAGTATATACTTTCATGCCACTACAGATTGACTCCATCCTGCCTTCTTGACTGTCTTTTATTGACAAATGAAGATTCAGACTTGAACGTCTTTAACTTTCGAATTTGTTCTGCAGCGAATGAGAAAACAGAGTCATCCTCTGCACAGCAAGTAGCAGTGTCACGCCTTAGCGCTTCCAGCTCTAGCTCAGATTCCAGCTCCTCCTCTTCCTCGTCGTCGTCTTCAGACACCAGTGATTCAGACTCAGGCTAAGGGGTCAGGCCAGATGGGGCAGGAAGGCTCCGCAGGACCGGACCCCTAGACCACCCTGCCCCACCTGCCCCTTCCCCCTTTGCTGTGACACTTCTTCATCTCACCCCCCCCTGCCCCCCTCTAGGAGAGCTGGCTCTGCAGTGGGGGAGGGATGCAGGGACATTTACTGAAGGAGGGACATGGACAAAACAACATTGAATTCCCAGCCCCATTGGGGAGTGATCTCTTGGACACAGAGCCCCCATTCAAAATGGGGCAGGGCAAGGGTGGGAGTGTGCAAAGCCCTGATCTGGAGTTACCTGAGGCCATAGCTGCCCTATTCACTTCTAAGGGCCCTGTTTTGAGATTGTTTGTTCTAATTTATTTTAAGCTAGGTAAGGCTGGGGGGAGGGTGGGGCCGTGGTCCCCTCAGCCTCCATGGGGAGGGAAGAAGGGGGAGCTCTTTTTTTACGTTGATTTTTTTTTTTCTACTCTGTTTTCCCTTTTTCCTTCCGCTCCATTTGGGGCCCTGGGGGTTTCAGTCATCTCCCCATTTGGTCCCCTGGACTGTCTTTGTTGATTCTAACTTGTAAATAAAGAAAATATTATTCAAGTTTTGAGTTACCTTAATATTTGCTTTTGTAGTGTTTCAAAAGGAACATCATAAGAATTGTCTTGATAATTTTGAGGGAAATATTACTGCAGTGAGAAAAGGCAATAGCTAACCTATAATTGGATTGTCTTAATTTTTAAACCAGTAGGCTTTTGCTGTGTTTTTAATAAAGTAAATATGACTTTTGTAAATTGAGTCCTTAGAAGTAATCTTTAGGTCTACAATTTGCTCTTGTTTAAATGAAAAATAGTACTGTGGCTCATTCATGCTTTAACCAAGAACTCAAAATTTTGAGGTAGGCTTTAGGTTTTTCCCTGTGGCACTGGATGTGTGAATTTTCTCCTGAGCAGACTTAAAATATGAGAAAAGGGTGGGAGGTAGCCGAACATAAGTACTTTATGCATTGAGTTTATTGCCTTTTAAAAGGAAATTGGCCTGTAATCCCAGCACTTTGGGAGGCCGAGGCGGGCAGATCACGAGGTCAGGAGATCGAGACCATGGTGAAACCCTGTCTACTAAAAAAAAATTAGCTGGGCGAGGTGGCGGGTACCTGTAGTCCCAGCTACTCGGGAGGCTGAGGCAGCAGAATGGCGTGAACTCGGGAGGCGGGGTTCAGTGAGCCGAGATCGCGCCACTGCACTCCAGCCTGGGTGGTAGACACTCCGTCTCAAAAAAAAAAGTAATTGGGCCTACTACATTGTTAAACATTGTTAAATTTTGCTGCCATGGTCACACACAAATTTACAGATAGTTTATTAGTAGAATACTAAAGAGTATTCCAACGATTAAATCACAAAACTGCTTTCTGCATACCCCCTTGTCTTGCTAAGGGGAGAGAAGGGTTGTATAAAAAGTTTAGGGGGTTGGGATGTGTGCATTCTGGAATTTGGGGCTTTAATACTGGAAAAGTGAGACATTTGCTTAGTATAGTGTACCATAGTAGGAAACCTGGATAGAGACGTGGAAATTAGAATCAGGAATGTAGTAAAGCAAATGGTTTATTTTGCTGTAAATGACACCACAAACTAAGTGTAGGGCAACACCACAAACTAAATGTAGGAAGCAATAAATTTTACTAGTGATGCTCAGCCCTCTTTAGGAATTCCGGCTAAACTGGGGCTTGAGCAACAATTTTCAAAAGCTCGGGAGATGGTAATAAAAAATTAGGTTTGTGAACCACCTGCTACTGTTTGCCAAGCACTTAGAGGGAAACAAACCCTTGTTTGGGCTTTCTTGCTAACTTGTGTGCACCAGTGAAAGCTCTTGAGCTCCCTTTGAGCTCTGGTTCCCTTTTGAGAATAACAGATGTTGAGGATTCGTAAGTACTTAATAGAGACGCGTTGGGCAATAGGTGATGAGATACAAATTAAAGTTCTGAAAATCGGAGTAAATAGATTTAAGCTAAGTGCATGTCTATGTCAAGGATTACATCTCATTTCAGAGGGAATTGAAGGATTTAGTTGGATTAGTTTTGGGACAAAATATAGAATATTTTGTCTGACTGCAGCCCCTTCTGCTCATGTACTTTTAAGGTTTGTTTTCTGTAGTTCGGAAAAATAAAAGTTTCAACCTGACATTGGAGGCCCCTGAGTACTTAATTCCCTGTAAATGGAACCCAGACCGCCCTAAATGCTTTAAGAGAGAGAAGGGCTGGCTGACACAGGGGCTTCAGACCTGCCTTAAACCAATTGGACTAGTCTCTTAATTGACTTTAGTTTGAACTTATTTCAAGCCTGTCTCACTTAGGGATTGTAATTGTTTCAGGAGTTTGGTTGAGTTCCATCTTGGTTGCCAAAGGACTTTATTCCAAAATAGCAGTCTCCAGCACAACTCAAAGGACTAGTGGAGTCCTGTGGGCATTATTTCCCCCTATGCTCCTCTCAGCTCTTGGAATCATGGGTTCTATTGCTGCTGCTTTTTCCCTCTCCCCTCATGCTGCCATTTACTGCCTTTTATTGCGTCCATAGGAAGCCTTTTGTTGGGTTGTGGGGGAAGGTGAGAGTCGGTCTTATTTACTCAGTCACACATTTATTGAGTTCCCTTGATTGCCTTTTCAGCAAACTGTTAGGCCTGTAGACCTGGACGTTGCCAAGCCAGAGGGTATAAGGTGAAGATAAGACAAGGTCTTATCATGGAGTTTGCTTAGCACGAATAGGGTGCAATTATTAACCATCATGGTGTGGTAATTATACTGATTGAATCCAAGATATAGGCATGACTTGGTCTTCACAGACCATCCTTATTGTGCACCCATATGTGGACCCCAGTTCCAGCCTGCCTGTAACCTTCCCCAAAGTCCTGCTCTTAGGTTCACTCGGGACTACCTTGATTGGAAGGCCCTGCTTCCATGAGTGACCAGCATGAAGGACTCCCAGGACAAGGACCAGAGGTGACTGGTGTTACTCTGGGGCTTAGTGCAAGACTGGAGGAAGATTTTCCTGAGCAATTAGAGAGTGGCTGTAATGGAGAGCTGGGAAGGAGATGTGGGAATGGTAGCATGGAACTAATGTGTTGTCACCATGATTTCATTTTTTCCTGGGTCATCACCCTAAAGATACTCACAAAATCCCACCAGCTGGTCTCCAGCACTGAATGAGACGACAGCTTCTTGCTCTCAATTTATATTCTAGGATCGGGGAAAGGGGCAGCATTAGACAACTAGTCACACGATTTTTAACAAAAATAAGTAATTCTAACAGGACAATGTGCAGAGGTCTAGCAAGAATTTAGAAAAGAGGGTTCTCTGGTCTAAGCTGAGAGCTATTCAGATATCTCAGAACGATGAGTTCCTTCCTGTTTGTAAGGGGTGGATGGGTGGGAGCAGGGAGTAGTGAACATTGCCAGCAGAAGAAACAGCAACTGAGAAGGTAACTAGGTGATGCTGAAGCAGCAAGGATGAAGGTGAGTGCTTTGAGATGCTTTGAATTTACATCTCAAAGACTAATAGCTAACATTTATTGAGCACTTACTGTGTCCCATGCACTGTGCTAAATAAAAACTTACCCTGTAAACTCATTTGGTCCTCACTATAATCCTGTGAGGTACATCTTGTCTGCATTTAACAGATAAAGAAATGAGGCACAGAGAGATTAGTCAATTTGCCCAACATCACCACATTGTCAGTGAGCACTGGAGGTGGGTTTTGAAACCAGGCGATCTGGCTTCAGGGTCCACATTTATAACTACTGCACTAGACTTCCAGTGCTGTGGGCCAGTAGGGAGCTAGGAGATAGACATGCTTTAAGGAAATTGCACTAGGGACAATCATGTTAGGGTTGGTGGGGTGTTGAGAGTGGATAGTTTAGAAAGCAATTGCAGCAGTTAATCCCAGCCAGTGAGAATAGTGGTGTAGAAGAGAAAGGCAGCAATGTAGATGAAGAAATGTAGATAGATTTGAGAGCTATGTAGGAGTTAAAATAGATGGGACTTATTCTCAAAAGGTTCTTGTCTCCACACGTTAAAGGAACAGCAGAGCACACGTGCACTTGCAGACATACAGCTCTCAGAGTCCCTAGCACAGAGCTTTCCAATAGTGGAAGCTTGATATTTTGTTGACTAAAGGAGTGCCACCTGGCTGACTGGCAGATTTGAATGGAGCTCCCTCCAGCATGGCTTGCCGAAGGGGCAGGGGTTCTGAGGCTCTTGTAGACTGCCACTGAAGGTATTTGGCGCCACCTGTTGGGCGTGTTACCCACGATTGCCTCCTGAATCTATTGTCATTTTTGTGTCCTGCCCCCGAGGTTAGGTGGTTCTTCCCTTCTTACTTTCCTAAACTTCAACTCTTAAAATGTGAGCCTTCATTTTTATGACCCAGAGGGTCACAAAAGAAGGAGATTAGGCCTTTTTAGTCCTTATCTCCCTTTACCTCTGAAGCATCCCATGGGGCTTCCCTAGCATTTTATTTTATATTGATTTATTTATTTATTTTTAAGAAAGAGGATTTCTGTCACCCAGGCTGGAGTGCAGTGGTGTGATCATAGCTCACTGTAGCTTCGACCTTCTGGGCTCAAGTAATGCTCTTGCCTCAGCCTCCTGAGTAGCTGGGATTACAGGCATGAGCCACCGCACCCTGCATCTCCTGACTTCTTTGACTTGACACCACTTGTTCCTAGCTCTCATACTTTTCAGACAGCCATTTCTTAGTCTGCTTCTTTAAAGTCTCTGCCTCTGCCTCCCATAATATATTGTCCCTTATGACACCTTTCTTTGTCCTCTTTTTATTTGCACAGTATTTTTAAGCAAGTTTACCCATTCCTCTGGAGGCACCTCCCACCCATAAAATCTGTGTCTCTGTTTAGACCTTGTATTAGTCCATTCTCACATGGCTATGAGGAAATACCTGAGACTAGGTGATTTATAAAGGAAAGAGGTTTAATTGACTCACAGTTCTGCATGGCTGGGGAGGCCTCAGGAAACTTACAATCATGGCGGAAGACACCTCTTCACAGGGTGGCAGGAGAATGAGTGCCAAAGTGAAGTGGGGAAGCCCCTTATAAAACCATAAGATCTCGTGAGAACTCACTATCACGAGAACAGCATGGGGGAAACTGCCCCCATATCAAACCTTGAGTCAAAGTTCCAAGTGCCTAATGCAATGCCTAATGGCAAGGTCCCATAAGCTCGTGCACACATTTTTAGAAAAGATTCTACCTTTTTCCCCAAACATGTCCCTCGCAGTGAGTTCTCTAAGTCAGCAGTCCCCAGCTTTTTTGGCACCAAGGACTGGTTTTGTGGAAGACAACTTTTCTATGGATGGAGGCGGGGAGAATGGTTTCCAGATCAAACTGTTCTACTTCAGATCACCAGGCATTAGATTCTCAAAAGGAGTTTGCAACCTTCCCTCGCATGCTCAGTTCACAATAGGGTTTGCAGTCCTGTGAGAATCTAATGCCACTGCTGATCTGACAAGAGGCAGAGCTTGCTCGCTGCTCACCTCCTGCTGTGCACCCCAGTTCCTACCAGGCCACGGACTGGTAGTGTTCAGTGGCCCAGAGGTTGGGGGACCCCTGCTATAAGGAACAAGCACTTATATAGAGTTTACTATGTACCAGACACTTATGAGCACTTTTGCAATTTAGTCTTCATAATAATCCTAAGAGGTAGGTACTCATCACCATTTTATACATGAGGAAACAGACATTTAGTAACAGTTCTATAGCTGCCTAGTTTCTTCCCCTTATTCTCCCCCAACTCCCTGTTCAGCCATTGAGGTCTGTTGAGCCTTCCTCTGTCCCTTCTCTCAGTGCCCCTCATCAGCCTGGACTCTCACACGACTCTGTCACTAGTCCATGTCTTTCAGCTATACTGTGTTGTTTCAGGGCCCATCACTCACCTCTCCCTTCATGCCCTGCCCTATCCCCACCACACCAGTGAAGACCTCCCTTCCTGGGTTATCATCAGACCTGTCACTTGCAGTGAGGCCTCACCTCAACTAAGGAGGTCAAAATAAGAATAACCTCTCATGTGAGTAAGAGGAACTCATCATCCTTGCCAAGCTTTCCAACCAACCCCAAACTTCAAGTATTTTTGTGTCCTTGTACAGTAAGTGAATATTTCTACATAATAAAATATTTCTTTCATCTCTTTGCCAAATGAGGACCTTGCTCATTTTGTCAGACAAGCTAATGTTTGATTTGAGATTGAAGGAGAAAAGGGATTTATTCTCCAGCGATAAGCATTTTTGCTGGTGTTTGACAAACAAAAAAAGAGCAGTTCTTCTATTAGCTGCCACTGTCAGACCTCATGGAGTCAGTTGCTATTCTAATTGCTGAGACTATGAGAAGGTAACACTGGTTAATTGATGAATACTTTCCCCTCTTCTGCCCCTGCAGAAGATGTGTTGGAACTGGCTTCTCTATGAAGGCAGGTTGTAGAGACAATGACAGTTCTTCCAAGAAAGACAGTTATTACCTTGTCTTCCTGCATGGTTTTGTTTCTCACCCAGAGTTCCTGCAAAAAAAAAAAAAAAAAAGAGACATTTTGCAGTTTCATCTACCGATTTTCTCCTCTCTCTCAAAAATAATGTTTTTAAAGACAGAGTCTTGCTCTGTAGCCCAGGCTTGAGTACAGTGGCACAATCTTGGCTCATTGCAACCTCTGCCTCCCAGGTTCAAGCAGTTCTCGTGCCTCAGCCTCCCAAGTAGCTGGAGACTACAGGTGTGCACCACCGCACCCAGATAATTTTTGTATGTTTAGTAGAGATGGGGTTTCCCCATGTTGGCCAGTCTGGTCTCGAACTTCTGATCTCAAGTGATCCGATCCACCCGCAACTGCCTCCCCAAATGCTGGGATTACAGGCATGAGCCACCATGCCCCACCCAAAAATAATTGTTTTAAAGCAGTTCTCAAGGTTTTCTAAGTTTACTTATACTCTTTTAACTCTTAAGTAACCCCAGGTAAGTGGAAGCTGAAAAGTTACAAAATGATAGTTACAAGGGCCAAGCAGTCCTGCATCCCTGTCAGAGTGAAACTTCATTCTCTCTGATGCAAAATAAAATGATGCTTGTTCTTCCAGATCCATGGTTACCATGACATATTATTCTGTATTCTTGATTTAAGAAAGCACTGGCACTGCCCAATCTCTGTGCCCTTTGATTGCTATGTCAAGCTTCAGGTTGCACACCCTGCCTTCTGTAAGGAACTTTCCTTACTTGGCCCCCAATTCCCTGATGTCTGGTCTGTGACCTGGTGTTGAAACTGGCTATGACACTGTGCTTAGACTTCCTCTTAAAATTCTGCATTCTGTTCTGGACCTGTTTCCAACCACAATAACACAACCCACTGATTTACTGTTCTTAAATCCATCTCTGCTATTCAGGCTGATTCCCAGTGATCTCATGTCCTTCTATCACTGCCTTTGGTCTTGCAAATAGACCCTACAGAGCCCCACAACTATTTAACCAATCATTTGGCCAGGGAGTAAGGCAAGAGACAAAAATTGAGGGAAGGAGAGAATGATGAGCAACTGAGGGAGCAGCTTGGGGTTGAAAAGCTACCTCAGAAAGCAGTTCTGTGATTGGGAGGAAGGTGGCTGATGTTACTGCAGGGGGTATCAAAAGCATCTGTCCTGAACTTCAGAGTCAGGTAGAAAACAAAACAGAAAGAATCTTCTTTTCCTCTGAGTCTGGGGAAACTGAGAGAGAAGGAGAAAGCCAAGGAAAGGGAACTGACACTCACTGAGCCGTTGCTATCTGCCAGGTGTATATTGATGGGCACTTTTCATAGTCATCTTTTTTGGTCCACATGACGTTCCTACCACACATATGTTATTATTTTTATTTTAGAGAGGAGGAAACTCTAAGTTAATGTGCATAAGATCACAGAGCTAGTGAGACAAGATAAGGCTAATTTCAAAGTTTATATCTTTACATACCAAACATTTCTAGTTATATTCTAGATATAAGCAAACAAGGAATTCAGAAGTAAAACTTAGCAAAAACTTCCAGATATTGTTAACTCCACCAACCTGAGCTAAAGAATGAGGCTAGAGATGAACACACACACACATGCATGCACACACATACACACAGTCACACACACACCTCAATCTTTTTAGAACTTTATTTATTTATTTATTTATTTATTTTGAGACACAGTCTTGCTCTGTCGCCTAGGCTGGAGTGCAGTGGCACGATCTCGGCTCACTGCAACCTCCACCTCCTGGGTTCAAGCAATTCTCCTGCTTCAGCCTCCCAAGTAGCTGGGATTACAGGCACCTGCCACCATGCTGGACTAATTTTTGTATTTTTAGTAGAGACGGGTTTTCGCCATGTTGGCCAGGCTGGTCTCAAACTCCTGGCCTCAAGCGATCCGCCCATCTCGGCCTCCCAAAGTGCTGGGATTACAGGCATGACCCACCAGGCCGAGCCTAGAATTTTATTTTTATTATTTTTATTTCGATAGCTTTAGGAGTACAGGTGGCTTTTATTTACATGGATGAATTGTATAGTGGTGAAGTCTGGGCTTTTAGTGTACCCATTACCCAATAGTGTATATTGTACTCAGTAAATAATTTTTCATCCTTCACCCCACTCCCCACTTCTGTGTCTCCAATGTCCGTTATACTACTCTGTATGGCTTTGCATACCCATAGCTTAGCTCCTACTTACAAGTGAGTGTTAAATTAGGTTTAGCCTAAAGCTGCTTCCTTACATGTTTTAAGTTCAGCCTAAAGGTTTCTCCATACATAGTAAACTGAAACCTAACTTGATGTGTAATCAGACTGAAACCTACTCTAGTGCCAATCACTGAGTTTTGGCCAATCAAAGGTGATCAACTGTTCAAACTGTGTTCAAATAAGACAAATGCCAAGCTTCAACCAATCCTGCTGTTTCTGTACCTCATGTCTGTTTTCTGTACATCACTTTACTTTTTCTGTTCATAAATATTCCACCACTTGGCTGTTCTGGAGTCTCTCAGCCTACTCTGGCTCAGAAGGCTCCCCAATTCACAAATTGTTCTTTGCTCAATTAAACTCTGTTGAATTTCATTCGTCTAAGGTTTTTTTTCTTTAACAATGAGAACACGTAGTACTTGGTTTTCTGTTCCTGAGTTACTTCACTTAGGAAAATGGTCCAGTTCCATCCAAGTTGCTGGAAAATATATTATTTCATTCTTTTTTATGGATGAGTACGATTTCATGGTATATACACATCACATTTTCTTATCCACTCATCAGTTTATGGGCACTTAGGTTGATTCCATACCTCTGCAATTGTGAATTCTATGTCTTTTTGATATAATGACTTCTTTTCTTTTGGGTAGATACCCAGGAGTGGGACTGCTAGATCAAATGGTAGAACTACTTTTAGTTCTTTGAGAAATCTCCATAGTGTTTTCCACAGAGGTTGTACTAATTTACATTCCCACCAGCAATGTATAAGCTATCCCTTTTCACTGCATCCTTGCCAACATCTATTGCTTTTTGACTTTTTAATATCAATGATACTGGCTGGGATAAGGTAGTATCTCATTGTGGTTTTAATTTGCATTTCCAGGCTGGGCGCGATGGCTCACGCCTGTAATCCCAGCACTTTGGGAGGCTGAGGTGGGAGTTCAAGACCAGCCTGACCAACATGGAGAAACCCCATCTCTACTAAAAATACAAAATTAGCTGGGCATGGTGGCGCATGCCTGTAATCCCAGCTACTCGGGAGGCTGAGGCAGGAGAACCACTTGAACCCAGGAGGCGGAGGCTGCAGTGAGCCAAGATCGCACCACTGCGCTCCAGCCTGGGCAACAAGAGCGAAACTCTGTCTCAAAAAAAAAAAAAAAAAATTGCATTTCCCTGATGATAGTGATGTTGAACATTTTTACATATGTTTCTGGACATTTGTATATCTTCTTTTGAGAAATGTCTGTCAATGTCGTTTGCTCACTTTTTAATGGGATTATTTATTTGGTTTTTTTTTTCTCTCATTTGTTTGAGCTCCTTCTAGATTCTGGATATTAGTCCTTTGTCAGATATTTGCAAATATTTTCTCTCATTCTGTGGTTGTCTGTTTAACTCTTGATTATTTCCTCTGCTGTGCAGAAGCTTTTTAGTTTAATTAGGTAGGTCCTATTTATTTATTTTTGCTTCTGTTGGATTTGTTTTTGAGGTCCTATTCATAAATTCTTTGCCTAGGCCAATATTCATAAGAGTTTTTCCAAGGTTTCTTCCAGAATTTTTATGATCACAGGTCTTAGATTTAAGTCGTTAATCTATCTTGAGTTAATTTTCGTATATGTTGAGAAACAGGGATCTGGTTTCGTTTTATTATTTTTATTTTTATTTTTTTTTGAGATGGAGTCTTGTTTGTCACCCAGGCTAGAGTGCAATGGTACGGTCTCGGCTCACTGCAACCTCCACCTCCTGGGTTCAAGTGATTCTCCTGCCTCAGCCTCCCAAGTAGCCAGGACTACAGGTGCACGCCACCACTCCTGGCAAAATCTTGTATTTTTTAGTAGAGACAGGGTTTCACTATGTTGGCCAGGCTGATCTCAAACTCCTGACCTCATGATCCACCCACCTCAGCCTCCCAAAATGCTGGGATTACAGGCGTGAGCCACCACGCTCGGCCCTAGTTTCGTTCTTCTACCTGTGTCAATCCAATTTTCCCAGCACTATCTATTGAATAGGGTGTCCTTTCTTCAGTGTATTGTTTTGTCTGCTTCGTTGAAGATTAGTTGGTTGTAGGTATTTGGTTTTATTTCTGGGTTCTCTATTCTGTTCCATTGATCTACTGTGTACTTTTATACCGGTACCATGCTGTTTTGGTTACTCTAGCCTTGTAGTGTAATTTGAAGTTGGGTAATGTGATGCCTCCAGATTTATTCTTTTTGTTTAGGATTGCTTTGGCTATCCAGGCTTTTTTTGTTGTTGTTCCATATGAATTTTAGGATTGCTTTTTCTAATTCTGTGAAAAATGATGCTGATATTTTGATAGGAATTGCATTAAACCTGTAGATTGCTTTGGGCAGTATGGTCATTTTTCATATTGATTCTTCCAATCTATGAGCATGGCATGGTTTTCCATTTGTTTGTGTCATCTATGATTTCTTTCATCAGTGTTTTGTAGTTCTCATTAGGGAGATCTTTCACCTCCTTGGTTAAGTATATTCCTAGACATTTACAATTTTTTTTGTAGCTATTGCAAGTGAGATTGAGTTCTTGATTTGATTGTCAGGTTGGTCGTTATTGGTATAGAGCTGTGTTATTGATTTGTGTATGTTGATTTTGTAACCTGAGACTTTACTGAATTCATTTATCAAATCTAAGAGTCTTTTGGAGGAGTCTTTAGCGTTTTCTAGGTATAAGATTATGTTATTGGCAAACAGAGATAATTTGACTTCCTCTTTTCCAATTTGGGTGTGCTTTCCCTTGTCTGTTTTCTCTGGCTAGGACTTCCAGTACTATGATGAATAGGAGTGGTGAAGGTGGGCATCTTTGTCTTGTCCAGTTCTTAGGGGGACTGGACAAGTTCCCCTGGACAGTTTTTGTTTTTTTGTGTGTGTGAGACGGAGTCTCACTCTGTCACCCAGACTGGAGTGCAGTGGTGCGACCTCAGCTCCCTGCAACCCCTGCCTCCGAGGTTCAAGCAATTCTCCTGCCTCAGCCTCCCAAGTAGCTGGGACTACAGGCATGCAGTCCCACCATGCCTAGCTAATTTTTTTTTTTTTTTTTTTTTTTTAGTAGAGATGAGGTTTCACTATTGTTGACCAGACTGGTGTCGAACTCCTGACCTCAGGTGAATTGCCCACCTTGGCCTCCCAAACTGCTGGCATTATAGGCGTGAGCCACTGTGCCCGGCCGGCTTTCAACTTTCATCCATTCAGTATGATATTGGCTGTGTGTTTATCATATCTGACTTTTATAATTTTGAGGTTTGTTCCTTCTATGCCTAGTTTGTTGAAATTTTTTATTATAAAGGGATACTGGATTTTACCAAATGCTTTTTATGCATTGATTGAAATGATCATATGACTTCGTTTTAAATTCTGTTTATGTGGTGAATCACATTTATTGACTTGCATATGTTGAACCATCCTTGCCTCCCTATGATGAAACCCACTTGATCATGGTGATTTATCATTTTGATGTGCTGATGGATTTGGTTTGTTAATATTCTGTTGAAGATTTTTGCATCTATGTTCATCAGGAATATTGTTCTGTAGTTTTCCTTTTTGTTGTGTTCTTTCCTGGCTTTGGCATCAGGTAACACTGGCTTCACAGAATGAGTTGGGGAGGATTCTCTCTTTCTTAATCTTTTGGAATAGTTTCAATAGGATTGGTACCAGTTCTTCTTTGAACATCTGGTAGAATTCAGCTGTGAATCTGGTCCTGGGCCTTTTTTTTTTTTTAAAAGATTTTTTATTACTGATTCAATATCAGTACTTGTTACTGGTTTGTTCAGGATTTCTATTTGTTCCTGATTCAAGCTTAGAGGGTTGTATGCTTCCAGGAGTTCATTCATTTCCTCTAGGTTTGTTCAGGATTTCTATTTCTTCCTGATTCAAGCTTAGAGGAATGCTTCCAGGAATTCATTCATTTCCTCTAGATTTTATAGTTTGTGTGCGTAGAGGTGTTTATAGTATTCTTAGATGATCTTTTGTATTTCTATAGTGTCAGTTGTAATGTCTCCATTTTCTTCTATGTTCTTAAATGCAGCTTCTACACAAGATTCCTGCATACTGTAGAAAATTTTATTTTTTTCACCAAGCCCAATTAATTTAGCTTAGCTGGAGAACTATTAAGAAGTGTGAAGACACAAATAAGAAACGAACGACTTCATTCCATAAATATAAGTAAAGGAAATTCCAGTGATGGCTTTTGCTGCACGAAGAGAAACCAGGCTAAGTTGAACTATTAATATTCGCTTTAGACTGCGTAATTTCTAAATGGTAACTATTCATACCTACCATTCATCCTAACCATACCTTCAGGCTTGGCTTAGACACTGGGACCTTTGTGAAGGAAGAGAGGCCTGAGGGAACTGGATTGTAGGAGATGGATGGTGAGAGGAAAGCTGGGGGTAAGGGTAGGCGTGCGTCTGGGCTTGCGTTGACTACATAAGAAGGAGATTTAAAAACTATAAAGACTTTTTAAGATTTTGGAAACTTAGTACCTTCTTCATTTTTACTTTTTTTTTTTTTGGTTTTTTTTTTTTTTTTTTTTTTTTGAAATGGAGTCTCGCTTTGTCGCCCAGGCTGGAGTGCAGTGGCGGGATCTCAGCTCACTGCAAGCTCCGCCTCTCGGGTTCACGCCATTCTCCTGCCTCAGCCTCCCGAGTAGCTGAGACTACAGGCGCCCGCCACCACGCCCGGCTAATTTTTTGTATTTTTAATAGAGACGGGGTTTCACCGTGTTAGCCAGGATGGTCTCGATCTCCTGACCTCGTGATCCGCCCGCCTCGGCCTCCCAAAGTGCTGGGATTACAGGCGTGAACCACTGCGCCCGGCCCATTTTTACTATTTTTTATTCCTCTTTTCTGTTTTCTGATTGGGATTGGCAATAAAATCTCAAATATGGGGAAAATAATTTTTTACATAACATTTTTATGTTTTATAATTTTATATAACATTTTAATGTTTTATAATTTTTTATATAACATTTTAATGTCTTATAAAAACAAAATTATATGACATTTTTCTAGGTGAACTTATTCTTGGTGTTCCTGGGATGTCTATAGACAATGTTACAGTAACTTTTGACTACAGATCATTTTTTTCAAATGATATAATATTGATAAAGTAATTGTAGGGCTCCCAAAATAAAATGAGTTGGTTTTGAGCCTATGGATGAGAAATCTGCTGGGGAAATGGTCAAATTTTATGTCTGTATTTAATAGCCATGTAGTGGAACAAAAATTTAAAGGCATTACATCATGTTTATTTTATTTTAATTAAAACAAAAGAACAACCCATTTACATTATTTATTTAAATTATAAAATATTACAGAACAGGCTGGGAGCGGTGGCTCATGCCTGTAATCCCAGCACTTTAGGAGGCTGAGGTGGGTGGATCACCTGAGGTCAGGAGATCGAGACCAGCCTGGCCAACCTGGTGAAACCCTGCCTCTACTAAAAATACAAAAATTAGTTGGGCGTGGTCGTGGGCGCCTGTAATCCCAGCTACTCGGGAGACTGAGGCAGGAGAATCACCTGAACCCAGGAGGTGGAGGGTGCAGTGAGCTGAGATTGCACCATTGCACTCCAGCCTGGGCAACAGAGCGAGACTCTGTCTCAAAAAAAAAAAAAAGTTATTCAATTGGTGACATACATCAACTTGTGAGTTCAGGAATCTAGTGCTCTCTCCTTTAATTTCCTGCTATTTTCAAGTATAATAAAGCATTACACACACACACACACACACACACACACACACACACCTCTTTAATTGTGAAAATTTCCAAACCTGCAGAAAACTTGGAAAAAATAAAATAATACTTGAAAGCTGCTATGGTTTGAATGTGTCTCCCAAAGTTACTAGGCTCTTCCTTTTGCTAGAGCTAGGACATATATATTAGTAAATCATTAGTTAAAACTGACATTTCTAGTTCAAAATATTTTTCTAGTTCAAATTTAATATTATTGTTTTAATTCAACTACGTTTACTTGCTTTTCATACATTAAAAATCTCAGTTCTGAATTACATGAACATAATCACTGATTTGCTTTATTTTATACATAACAAAAAGTTGTTATATATAAAACATTGGAAACTTAATCCCCAATGCAACAACGTTGAGAAGTGGGACCTTTAAAATACGATTAGGTCATCTCTTAAAGAGATGGGCAGAGCCCTCATAAAGGGCTTAATGCCATCATCTCTAGAGTGGATTAGTTATCTCATCTCAGGAGTGAATTCCTGATGAAAGGATGAGTTTGACTCCTTTCCTCTCCTTCATCCTTTCTCTCCTCCTTTTTTCTTCTGCCTTTTTTCTTCATCACAGCAAGAAAGCCCTTGCCAGATGTTGGCACCTGACATTAGGCTTCCCAGCCTCCAGAACTGTGAGAAACAAATTTCTTTCTTTTCTTTTTTTTTTTTTTTTTTTTTTTTTTGGTAAATTACCTAGTCTGTGGTATTCTGTTATGGCAACACAAAATGGACTAAGACAAATACCCATCATATAGATTCAACAACTGTCAAGATTTTGCTGTGTTTGTTTGAACTGTGTGTGTATTCTGAATTCATTCTGAAGTAAATTAGAGATCTAGCATTTCATCCCTAAATACTTTAGCATAAAGATGACTTGATACATAACCGTGGTACTGTAATCATACTAAACAAAACTGAAAACAGCTCTCTAATATCATCGATTACCAGTTCATATTCAAATTTCCCCATTTGTCTGAAAAGTGCTTTTATATCTGTTTTTCCTCAAAGATATTGCCAAGAATCATTCACTAAATTTGATTGTAATGTCTCTTAATTCCCACTATTCCACCCATTTTTTAAACAGCATCTTTTTAGAGAGACAAGGCCAGTAGAATCTCTCACATTTTGAATTTGTGTGATTGGTTCTTTGTGGTTTCATTTGACTTATTCCTCTATCCAATGTATTTTTTTTATAGACTAGAACTTTTTGAAACAAAGGCTTGACTAGATTTAGATGAAAGATTTTTGACAATAATTCTTCATAGGTATTGCTGTGTACTTTGCATTTCATCTTATTAGGAAGCATATGCTTAATGTCTTGTCCTATTATTGGTGAGGCTAAACTTGATCACTCAGTCGAGGTGATGACAGCCATCACCTCTGTAAAGGTATTTCTCCCATTTGACAATAGCAAATAATCTATGACCATGATACTTTGGCATGATGTGACTCTCTTGTTCCTCACTGTCTATTCTCCTAATGGTTTTAACATATATGATGCCTTCCCTGAATCAATGATCACATTAGGCTTACAAAATGCTGGTTTTCTAATTCTGTTATTTTTCCCAACATTTATTCACTGGTACTCTGAAGGGTAGACCTTTTTTCATCAGTGGAACATTTCCTTGTGAAATGTCAGGATATATACTTGTTTTCTTTAAGCACCAATTTCCTGTGTTATGAATTGGAAGATCACATCCAGTGGTAATATCAATGGGTTGTTGTTGCTTACTTTTTAAAATCTGTATTCGACTATTAATAGGAACCCATGGATTTTTATATACTCAATGTGTTTAATTATATTATAGTCATCTTTTTGATGTCTGAGTTGTTCCAGTTTTGGCCAATGGAAGCTCCTTCAAACTGGCTGACCTGTTTTTTTTGACATGACTCTATTAGTCTTTGAACAGTGCCTTGTTTTATGAAAACAATGAGATACTCACACTTGCTTTGTATTTTCCATAACTCAGGCCTGGAACTGGTCACTTCTCCAAGAAGCTCTATTTCCTTTGAGTGGGAAATGATATTTACACACTACAATCTGTGCATTGAGGATGCTCATTGCTACAGGGCTACTATTAGGCTCTTTCATTTGCTGGAGCAGGGACATATATGTTAGTGAATCATTAGTTAAAATTGACAGTTCTAGTTCAAATATTTTTTCTAATATTATTATTTTAATTCAGCTACTTTTACTTGCTTTTTATACATGAAAATCTTAGTTCTTTTTTTTTTTTTTTTTTTTCTTTGAGATGGAGTCTCTCCCTGTTGCCCAGGCTGGAGTGCAATGGTGCAATCTCCGCTGACCTCAACCTCTGCCTCCCAGGTTCAAACAATTCTCCTGCCTCAGCCGCCCGAGTACCTGGGATAACAGGCGCCCGCCACCACACCCAGCTGATTTTTTGTGTGTTTTCAGTAGAGACGGGGTTTCACTGTGTTGGCCAGGCTGGTCTTGAATGCCTGACCTTGTGATCCGCCCGCCTTGGCCTCCCAAAATGTTGGGATTACAGGGATGAGCCACTGCCCCCGGCCTAAAAATCTTAGTTCTTAATTATATTAACATAATCACTGATTTGCTTTATTTTATATATAGTATAGTTTCAAATAAGGATACAAATATTACTTAACCATAAAACAACTGAATGATGTTCAAAGTTCTGATAGTTCTTTTTGTCCTTAGAATATATTCTATTAAGTCAGCTGGGGCAACATAATGAGACCCCATTTCTATTTAAAACATGTATTTTAATTAACTGGGTATGGTGGCATGTTCCTGAAGTCCCAGCTACTGTACTTGGGAGACCGAGGTGGGAGGATCACGTGAGCCCAGGAATTTGAGGGTGCACTGAGCTATAATCACACCAGCGCACTCCAGCACTCCAGCCTTGGCTGGCAACAGAGCAAGACCCTGTCTAAAAAAACAACAAACAACAAACAACAACAACAACAAAAAATAGAGAGAGAAGAGAGAGAGTAAATGTATTCCACCAAGAACATACAGTAGTATCTTTTAATATCACTTGGGATACTTATTTTTTCTGTGTGGTTCAGTTCTATTTGTTTTAAATTTTAGAGGTTTTTGTCAATTTTTTATTAACATTGTAAATTATTTATACGTTTCAAAGGTCAATATTCACTTCTCACTTCTATTCTCCCTTCCTTCCTAAAAGTAGCCATTTTTATTAATTTCTTGTTTATCCTTCCAATGCAGCTTTTTTCCCCCTTTGGAGACATGGTCTCACTCTGTTGCCCAAGCTGGAGTGCAGTGGCACCATCATAACTCACTATAGCCTCGAACTCCTAGGCTCAAATGATCCTCTTGCTTCAGCGTCCTGAGTAGTTAGGACTACAGGGGGTACCACCATGCCTGGCTAATTTTTTTATTTTATGTAGAGACAAAGTCTTGCTATGTTGGCCAGGCTGGTGTTAAATTCCTGACCTCAAGTGATCCTCCCACTTCATCCTCCCAAAGTGTGGGGATTATAGGCACAAGCCACCACATCTGACCCAATCCACCTTTTTGAAAAAATATGTATCTTTCCTCTTTCTTACCCCAAAGGCAGTACATAGTTTAATCATTGTATTGCACTGTGAATTTTCCACTCTAACCTAGAGATTCCTCCGTATTAGTTCAAAGAGATCTTTCTCATTCCTTTTCGTTAGACTTTTTCCTTTAATTGATACATGATATTTTACATATTTTATTTATGAGGTACATGTGAGTATCTGTTACATGCATACAATGAGACTAATGATCAAGTCAGGTATTTGGGGTATCCTTCACCTTGAGCATTTATCATTTCTATGTGTTGGCAACATCTCAAGTCCTCTCTTCTAGCTACTTTGAAATATACTATATATATATATATATATATATGTATATATATATATAGTTGCTGACTACAGTCACCCCAGTCTGCTATCAAACATTGGAACTTATTTTTTCTATCTCCTCATTCTTTTTAACAGCTTTGCATTACTCCATTGTGCAGATGTACTATAATTTTTTCAACTATTGTACTCTTACTAGGCATGTTTCCAATAATTTTCAATTGTTACAAATAATGACATATCATTTTTAAAAGGCAGATTACTATATAATAAAGATACATACTTCACTTTGGGAGGCCAAGGCGGACGGATCACAAGGTCAGGAGTTCGAGACCAGCCTGGCCAATATGGTGAAACCCTATCTCTACTAAAAATACAAAAATTAGCTGGGTGCGGTGGTGAATGCCTGTAGTCCCAGCTGCTCGGTAGG
Organism: Homo sapiens; assembly: GCF_000001405.40. NCBI lineage: Eukaryota > Metazoa > Chordata > Mammalia > Primates > Hominidae > Homo > Homo sapiens. Next base: position 4,411,645 of record NT_113891.3, read on the forward strand.
CTGAGGCAGGAGAATCACTTGAACCCAGCAGGCGGAGGTTGCAGTGAGCTGAGATGGCACCACTGCACTCCAGCCTGGGCAACAGAGCAAGACTCTGTCTCAAAAAAAACAAAAAACAAAAAGATACATATTTAAGTTTGGCATTTCCTTACATGTATTAAAATATGTTTTAACAGAAAAATATTACTTCTATTGATTTGTTTTTGGTTAGGTTATTAACACTCTCCTAAACACTTCGGTTTCATGCAACAATTTAGGAAATATCTGGTGTGCTTCTTAGTGAATGTGGAGATACTGGATTTGACAAATATCAGTTGGTTAGACTAGTGTTTGGCACATTGGAAGTGCTCAATAATAATAGTCAATACTATTATGAAAGATAATAGTATTAACAAAACAATACTTGTTAATATCAGAAAAACAAATTTTAATTTATTTTTCTTTATGCGGACATGTCATCAGGGAATTTGAGAGCAGGGTGACTACATTTTGTTTTAGTCAGCTGGGGCTTTAAACATTAACCATGTTTCAGGCATTACAGTAAGAACTTGTACCTGAAGCAGATCCATATACTGAAGGCCCGAGGAAAGGAATAAAGGGCAACTGGGAACCTGACCAGGTCTCAAGAGCGGTGTTGGGACTCTAGGGAGGAGGCAGCAGAACGTTTCCAGTGGACGGAAGTGCCGGGGAGTCCACCTTGGGAGACCTTAGGCTTACTCAGATTTGGAGGCTCCAGGTGGGGTGGATGCAAACCACAAGATGGAGCCAAATTACAAGTCATAGGTAGCAACCTCCTAAACCACAAGGAGGAGAGGAGAGGAAGTGAAGTCGCTCCTCTGCGTGCACGATCACTTGTCTGGAAGCTTTTCTGAAGTCAGAGAGAAAGGAAAGCCTGAGAAGTGGGACATCATTCATTGAAAGGCATCTGTGTGTAGAGATAAATAGGGTAACATGATAGGGAGAGATTGGAGATAGGTGGTTTATTTAGCAAAGTTGGTCAATGAAGCTTCTCTGAATTGGTGCCACACGAGTTGTGAATGGGTGATGAATTGGAGGCATTAATGTTAAGGAGAATTCTGGGGAAGATAGTGTGGCTATTGCTTAATGAAAGAAGGAAGAGTAGAGGGAAGTAAAGATGAAGACACATGCAGCGCCAGATCATATAGAGTCTTGTTGACCAGGAGGGAATTTAGACTAAGCAAGAAAGAAAGTCTGAACTGGGGGAGTGCTTCGACTGATCCAGGAGGGAGAAGAAAATCTCTTCAGTAATTCCATCCCCAGTCATTCTTCAAGCTCACCTCATTCCCTGCAGCCTGTTGCTGCTGAAGCCTCAGAAGAAGTTTGTTCCCAAAGTTGGGAATACCTCCTCCTACACATTTCCTAGTAATGCTGATGTCTGACCCTGTTCATCCTGCCTCATGTCTCACAAGCTGGTCTCCATTCGCTGCTGAGTAGGACAGTGCAGTGGAAAGAACATGGGCTCTAGCATCACACAGACCTTCCAACCACCTCCTAGCTGTTTGACCTTGGGCAAGTTAGGTAATTTGAATCCTAGCTTCCTTCTTTATAAAATGAAATCATTATACTTAACTTGCAGATTGGTCATAAGGAAGAAATGAAATAATTCATGTATGGCAGAATGATGCTTTTCTTTTTCCTTTGTTTGTATTTAGGTTTGTCACACAAGACAATAGCACATGTCACCGCCAAGGCCTTTCCTCTTCTGGCTTTGGATTTCCCAAAATCTGAAGCTCACTTGACATTATGCCAGGTGTCCCAGACATTGTGCCAGAGAGAGAGAGGGGAATGCCTTTGACAGGCAAAGGGGGAAGGTTCTCCCAAACTGAGGAAGGCACAGTGGCCTGTGGGTCTGAAAGAGCCCTGCTTCCTTGCAGCAGCCAAGGCAGGTGGGGAGGCCTCCCAGGGACGGGGAAGTTGGCCGTATGGTGCATCTTTGCAGTCCTGCTCCCAGGCACTGGGGATCACTCCTCACTAAAGATTCCCCTGCCCCAAGCCTAGTGCAGAAGCAGCAGAGCTTCCACTTGGAAAAGAGCATACAGGTTAAGCCCTAGGCATGCTTGGAGTAAACAGTCTGGACTGGAGAAGACAACAGGGGCTTCTCCAAGGCCTCAGCACTGTGTCAGGGCGCAGACCCTTGGAACAACTGTAAGAGACCAGAAGCCCCAATAAAGACAGATTGAACTTAAAACCAGCCTCATGGCAGGGGTTTTGAATCAGATTTAAGATTTTTTAAAGAGCAGGTTTTGAATCAGATTTTCGATTATTTAAAGACATTTACTATTTTTTGCACTCTGTGCACTATCTTATTAATCTTTTGGACCAAGATTCAAATCCACTACACGTGAAAAGCATTAAGGCCAGGCACATTGCATGTGTTGGGTAAACGGTAGCCAATGTTATTAAAACCAGCTGCAGACAGTCGGACCAGGCTGGATTTGAAGCAAACAAAATTGAATTAAATAGAATTCTACAGTGTTTCAATGCCCATTATGTTCTGGGTGTTGGAACTATAAGACACAGCCTTCTCTTGCTTTAGAGGAGCAGTTAGTGGCAAAGGCAAATTCATACACAGTCAACTGACACAGGGCGGAATGTGGTATGCACTGCAGGGACAGGGTGGCCAGCATATTGGGGGCTGGGATTGAAAATGCTTCACAGAAGAGGTGACATTTAATCTGGACCCTGGAAGGACAGGTAGAATTTTGACTGGTTGGTGGAGGAAGGCAGGTCCAGCACAGAGAATAGTTTGTGCAAAGGCAGGGAGGAGTAAACATGCGACAACAGTTTTCTGTGACTTAAGCATTGATCATTTTCAGGAGGAGCTATTATATGGTTAAAATAGGCCAGGTGCGGTGGCTCATGCCTGTAATCCCAGCACTTTGGGAGGCCAAGGCAGGCGGAGCACCTGAGGTCAGAAGTTCGAGACCAGCCTGGCCAACATGGTGAAACCCGGTCTCTACTAAAAATAATAAAATTAGCCGGGCATGGTGGGGGGGTGCCTGTAATTCCAGCTACTCAGGAGGGTGAGGCAGGAGAATTGCTTGAACCTGGGAGACAGAGGTTGCAGTGAGCTGAGATTGCACCACTGCACTCCAGCTTGGGTAACAGAGTGAGACTCTACCTCAAAAAAAAAAAAAAAAGAAAAGAAAAAAAGAAAAAGAAATACCCTGAGGACAGTTTGAGAAGGGTCTTCATCTTGTAGGTAATGGAGCACCTATAAGAATTTAAAGGAGGAAGGGAAAAAGCAGATATCCTATAAGCTTCTGAGAGAAAAAAACAACAACGATTACGTACAAAGTTTCATGACACAATATCTTTTGGATTATCAACAATAACGCAGGAAGCTAAGGGATTATAGAGAAATGCCTTAAAAATTCTGATGGAAATGATTTCCAATCTTGAATTTTATAACCGTGGAAGCTATTATTCAAGTGTGAGAGTAGAATAAATATATTTTCCGACATACGAAGCATAAAAAGTTTTCCTCATATGCACTGTTTCTCAGGAAGTGGAAAGAAGAGGTGCCTCATTAAAATAAGGCAGACCACAAAAGGGCAATGACTGGATACAAGAAGCAGAAGATCCAACTCGGAGGATAGGTAAATCCTGACGAGGATGGCGAAGAGTGATCTCAGAGTGACCGCTGTATCATCAAGGGCAAGGAGTTAAGAATGGAGCAGACAGAAGGTTCTGGGAGAGTTATATCTGGTGATAAAATTGACAGAATACCTGATGTGTTTGATTGTACTGTGAGGAATTTTGTGATTCATTAATAATAAGTACAAATACAGCCACACAAAGGAAAACAGGACAACTATATACTCCAGAGAAAACGAAGTCGTCTAGAAAAGGAAGAGTGAGCATGGCTTGCTCTATGGTTTGCCATTACATGGTCATATTGATAGAAACATAGTAAACACAGTAACTTTTACTATATTGTAAAAATTACAATATAGTCACATTAAAAGAAAGGGCATGGGAAAGGGGGCATGATGTTCTTTGAGGATGAAAAAAATCTAAATCCCCCTCTTCCACAGCAGGAGGTAAAGAGATAAAGCCTAAAGCTGAAAAATCTAGATGTAGCAACACAAACATGTTATTTAGAGATGGGAGGTTAATACCAACAAAACATATTAGAACAATTGAAAGTTATTTTCTGTAAGGGTGAGGATATGGTGGGAGATGGGGCTGGAAACTGGTATTTCTGTAGCAAATATTGTAGAAATATTTGACTCTTTAAACTATAACATAATTTGGTTAAAAATTAAAACCGAAAGAGAGTGGATGGGAAGAGGGGATCTGGAGGCAGTCCACGTAGACACTCTCAGAGAGCGTGACCAGGAGCTTGGGTGGAAGGGAGACTGGGTCAAGGACAGACAGAGGATTTGATGTTCTTGTTATATAGGAGAGATGACATGCTTATGATTTGTAGGATGACCCTGCAAAAAGGGAGAGTTTGGATACAAAGGACAGGAGACTACTGGATGTCTGTTCTAAAAGAGAGTGAAAGATCAAGAATGCAGGAGGACAACTTGTTTTTTAAAATAAAAGACTACGTACCTTGAGACTAGAAACAAATGTGAGTATACACGCAGGTGCATAAATCTAAAAGCTCTGGAATTACTCCTAGAAGTTCCAGTGACTTCAGGGTAGTATATGCAACAGTAAAAAAAAAGCATATTTCTTTAGTCAAAAGAACACAATTTTAATGACTTTATCAAGCCTTAGGACAGAGATGAGAGAAACACCTTTCCAATGATGCATCAAGTTAACGTCTAAGCAAAAGATCAGCAGAGATCAGAGATTGTTGGGTACACACGTATCTTGTGATGTCTTCTGAGAACCAACTTATTCCTCTTTCTCTGAGAAGAACTTGACCCCTCGCCCCGGGGCTGAGTGCTTGGCAGCCACATTTGTGTTGAGATCTTGATTCCTGCTCTAACTACACAGGGCTGGGATGGACACCTGCTCCAAGTTTGGCCAGTCATTTATTTTTCCAGTAATTTAAAGCTGTGACTAGGAGACACAGCCTCTGTGGGTTGTGAGGGTTGAGATGATATAAACTCAGGAGCTGTCGGGTGGACATGTTCACTGAGAAGGACAGTCAGTCCACAGAGAGAGAACACCGCTAACATGCAGGGGGGTCTAGAGAACACAGACCATGTGGATCCGAGAGTGTTGGAGGGGCAGCTCTAGCTTCTCTGGGCTTTTCGGATCCGAGTTCTGTTCCTGGGAGGCCTGGCTAAAATCTACCCTTGGGCCCTGCACTCCTCCCCATGGCTATATTGCAAATATCCTATACTTTGCATGTGATCACACAAAGAGGGTTTCTGTTACTGGCACACAAAAAGTTTGCCTGAGATGATTCTCCTCCACTTCCATCAGGGTCTTCTGGTCATTGATTTCAACTTATTCTCTCTTAAGAAGCCCATTGAGTCCCCATAATCTCTTGGTTTCTTTCTTTTCCAGGACCAACTGCTCACAGTTCAAACCCTCATTTTGCCTCTATTTACTTGTACCTTGATTGGCTGATGCCCTAACAGACCCAGGTTCTTCAGAAAGCCTTCCTAGTCCACCTCAGACCTTGGGGATCCCCCTTTCCCATGACCCCCGATGGCACCTGATTACGTCACTGGGTTCCAGTTACCAGACCACAGCCAAGGTCCAGGATGGCTGCATCAGAGTCATCCAGAGCCGGTTAAAAATGACAGCCTCGGCTGGGCACAGTGGCTAATGCCTGTAATTCCAGTACTTTGGGAGGGAAGGTGGGTGGATCACGAGGTCAAGAGATGGAGGCCATCCTGGCCAACATGATGAAACCCCGTCTCTACTTAAAATACAAAAATTAGCTGAGTGTAGTGGCGCACACCTGTAGTCCCAGCTACTCAGGAGGCTGAGGCAGGAGAATGGCTTGAACTCAGGAGGTGGAGGTTGCAGTGAGCTGAGATCATGCCATGGCACTCCAGCCTGGTGACAGAGTGAGACTCCTTCTCAGAAAAGACAGCCTCCCTGTTGCTGCCCCCTGCACTCCCGAGATTCTAATTCAGTAGGTCTGGGTGATGACTGTTATTTTTATATTTTATTTATTTATTTATTTAGAGACAGGGTCTCACTCTGTCACCTAGGCTGGAGTGCAGTGGCGCAATCTTGGCTCACTGCAGCCTTGAACTCCTGGGCTCAAGCACTCCTCCGGCCTCAGCCTCCCCAGTGGCTGGGAATACAGGTGCGAGCCACCATGGCTGGTTAATTTTTAAATCTTTCTTTGTAGAGATGGGGTCTCTCTATGTAGCCCAAGATGGTTTCCACCTCTTGGCCTCAAGCAGTCCTGTCCCCTTGGCCTCCCAAAGTGCTGGGATTACAGGAATGAGCCACTGCACCAGGCCAATGCCTGTACTTTTAAAAGGATCCCAAGCAGTTCTTATGTGCATTCTGGTTTGAAAACCGTAATCTGTATTGCTCATTTTGGTCTTGACATAAACTATGTGGTATGGTGATTTATCTCTTTGTATGTTTTAAATTCTGTTCACAGAAAAGTAGACCAAAATCTTCTAGGCCACATATTTAGAGTGTGTCTAGGTGGACCTCCCCTCTTACGAGATACCTTGCAGACCGACTCTACCACCTCCTACCTAACATGACTGACTCCACTGAGGGAAGTGGCCACCTTATCCAAGCCTTGGGCCTCTCTTTATCATGCATGGGACTCTAGGGAAAAGTAGAAAAAGGAGATAACATCATGGCAGGATACCAGTGGCCTCTTCATACAGAGTAAACCCAGGCAGGAGTGGAGTCCCCATGAGCCTGTCCTGTCCCAGCACCCTTCAGAACTGTTGTTAGCTGAGGGGGTCGTGAGGAACAGGATAATCTGCATCCCTTTCAGGGTAAACCTGAACTCAGGAGGCAAATTTCATGAAGTCCATGTGAAATGGCTCATTCACAAAGTAACACACAATGGGCCAAATGGAGCAAGACACACCTGTGTGGGCCCCAGGATGGCTGCCAATCCCCAGCACCACATGCCTCACCCCTGGAAGAACTGGCCAAGGCCTGGAAAGGACACAGTGCAAATACCACCAAAGCATTTAGTGCTGCCAGCCAGAGCTTTGGGTAGAGCAAGAATGTGTGTGTGTGTTGAATGGGAAGGGAAGCTAGTAGGTGTCCAACAAACCCTGCCATGAATACTGGGGCCAAAAAAGAGGGGACCCGTAGGACAGATGTTGATCCCACTCAAAGTCAGCACAGCGGGATGCACTTAAAGGGCACTGAGCACGCAGGGGCTGTCACAAACCCATGAGGATCTGCAGGGTGTCTCCCACAAGTCATTTCTCTCAGAAGGATCATTACCTAAAATAGCAGAAAACATACGATCGAGGTTGCTCAATTTCAATATGCTGGGATCCTATCTCTGAGTGCCCACCTCCCCCAAAACCTCACTCTCTCACCCCACCTCTGCTTCTTTTCTCCCTGCCCATTTCTTTTCTGACTTCTTTCCCCACAACAGAATCTCTGATTCTCCACCCACGTCCTGTTCAGAGTCATCCACTTTCCTCCCCCACCCCCCAGACTCCCGGGGCCTCTGCACCTGGGGACACTGGACACATATGTGCCCATGATGATGAGGACGGTGCCCACGAGGAAGCCCACCAGGCCGATGGCCAGGCCCAGGGCACAGACCAGGGTCTCCATGGCATCTGGTGGTGGAATAGGCACCTGGAGCTCTAGGAGAGAAAGGAAGGAGTTGGTGGTATATGAAAGGATTCTAGAGTAAAGGAAACCTGGGGCCAGGAGGGTGCATGGGGAGGGGGCTCCGTACCCCAATGCCTGAGGAGTGGCGCATCCAGGCCCCAGTGCTCCACCTGGCAGTCATAGACGTCCTCGGCTGAGGGCACGAAGGGCAGGTAGTGGAACTTGCGGAACAAATGGTCAGGCTGGGAATAGAAGCTGGTCTGGGCCACTCCCTCAGTGACAGTTTGGCCGTTGCGCAGCCAGGTGATATTGATCACAGGGGGGAAGATGTTGTCCACGATGCAGATGAGGATGTTGGGCTGGCCCAGCTCCACCCGAGACTTGGGGAGCACGGTCACCCGTGGAGGCACTAGGAGGAACAGGCCCTGAGTCCACAGGCTCATCCCTCACCCCAGGGCCTTACTAGGACTGGGATTAAGGGACGTTCCCCCTTTGTAGCCATCTGTGGGCAGGGGATGCTCTGGGGTATCCACTGGGGCAGGAGAGGAGGGAAACAGAGGGAGAGGAGACTGGGGAGGGAGTGGGGACGCCAGGAGCTCCTATATTTGACTGGTCCCTGGGCGGGAGTCCGGGTGAGAGGTGTCATTCCTCAAGGAGAGGGGTGCCAAAGGGGTCTGGGAAGACCTGGAGCCTCCTGGGAAAGAAAGGAACAGGGCATGACAGGCGCGGGCGCTGAGAGCGCGCCCCAGAGTGATGGGAGCCTAGGAACTGGGAGGAAGTTTCTCTGGACCTTCCCGCCTGACTGGGTGGGCAGAGGGAGGGCCGGTACCGTTGATGGCTCTGCTGCGGTTGGAGCGCTCCACCAGGATGTCCAGATGGGCTTTGATTGCGGCGATGCCGGCCAGCCCGCCCTGCGGGTCAAAGCGGGCAAAGTCGCCAAACTCAGGCAGACGCCACACGGCCTCGCTTTTCTTCAGGTCCACAGAGAACAGCTGTTCCTCATCAAATTCATGGGTGAACTGGCCCGAGGCGCCGTAAGACTGGTAGAAGGCGGGTCCGTAGGAGCCCATGTGGTCAGCTGTGTTTGGCGAGTTCAGGGTCAAGGAGAGAGAAAAAAATGTGTCTGTCTCATCCACAATATGTGATTGTTGAGTCCCTGAGCCTGGGCCCCGTCCTGGGTTCTGTGTGGGGACAGAGTCCTGTTCTGACACTGGGCTGGCCCTGGGAGAGAGAAAGGGAGAGAGAACAGGAAGAAAGAGGCTCATCCCAGCACACTGCAGTCGGCACAGAGACAGTGCAGTCTGGCATATCAGGATGGGAAGAGGAGGGACTGCCTAAAATCATGCTTGGGGTTCCAGAATTTAAATCTTGGCTGTGGTCATCTGCCCTGGCTGTGTTGTCAGGCCCTGTGTTGTGAGCTGGTGGGACTGTGGGGGTGGGATGAGGAGGAATGATTAAGGACAGGAGAGTATGGAGCTTTGCACAGAGATGCAGTGCAGGTGGGTGTGAGGGGAAACAGGCCACGGCTGGCAGGGGTAAGAATTAAGGTTAGTGACCCAGAGACCAAGGGGATAGGGAGAGGCAACTCAAGGCATTACAAAGAGCACTGGACGAGGAGTCAGAAGTCAAGGTTCATGTCCCAATTCCTCCATCTCAGAGCATTATGACTGAGTGTGGCTCTTCCATAACTGTTGTCTAGTTTTCTGGAAGTTAGGGATTAAGTTTTAATTCTTGTAGAACTCTATGAAGTTGTTTGAGCAACAGTTATTGAGGAACTAGCATGCACCCAGCACAATGGTGGGCCAGGGAAATAAAAGAAAAAAAAGATGAACCATCTGTAGACCCGCACCCCAGCTCATGTCTCCCGAAGAACAAAGACAGGTAAATAGTTAACTACCGGCATGGGCATAAATACTGCAACAGAACTGGACTTGATCGGGCACATTCCAGGCCAGGGGTGGTAGAGGAATCAGGGTGCTTGCTGGCATCTGTTGGGTGGAGGTTTGGGTCTCAGGAAGGAGGAAGGAATGAGGAGAAATCTGAACGTCAGCAAAGGCTGACTGGGGCACCTGCGCAGCTGACCGAGCTGCATCTTCATTTAGGTCCAGAGTGGATGTGACAGAGATGAGGGGGATTGGGTGTCTCTTGGTGAAGGAAGTTGCCCATAAACCAGAGAGCGAGAGGAACAAGCATCCTCCATGCCACCTCCTCATGTAACCCAACTCCGTAAATCTCTGCTCCCCGCCGCACCCTCCTCGCCCTCGCACTCACCCTTGGTGGCCCCTGCCTCCTGCGGGCTCAGGAGGGTCATCAGGGTGTGGAACCCCAGGACCAGCCCTGCTCTGAGGGCCATTGCACTCTGGTGCTTTAATCAAATCAGTCTCAGTCCGTGTGGTGAGGACAGGAACAAGGCGGAGGTAAAGAAGAAGAAAACAGATTCGAGGATGGGGGCGACCCCTGCTGTCTTCAGCCAATCACAGAAATTCTCTGAGTGAATGTATCTGTTGCTGGGTAAAGAGGGAAAGAGCCGGGGTGAGAAGGTGGAAGGATTCACTGGGCCCCCAGGAGAGGCCAGAGGAAGTTTTGGAGGATGGGAGGGGCTTGGACCAACTATTACCACGTCCTCCAAGAAGGGACCCCCTGAAGAGAGAGAAAAGGCCGTCAGAGCACCGCGCAGCTGAGCTCCAACAAATCCTCTCTCTATGTCCATCTGCGATGCAGGGAATCCTACTTTCCCAAGAAGTTTCCGTGGACAAATTTTGAGTTAGAAAGTAAAATAAACTTTACCAATAATCTTTAAAAGGAAAACATTGGCTACACAATGGAATAAAAACCTCTTAAAACTTTAAATCACTTTCAAAAATGTTATTTTATTTTTCTTTTATTATTATTTAATTTCATTGTGTAAGAAAAAATGTGTAATTGTTGGAGTTGTTTGGTCTAAAGCAAAGTGTAAAGAGCTCCCGTGGACTCCCCGAGGAGGGCAGAGGTGCTGGTCCTCTCTGTTGGTCCCTCCAGGACCCGGGCACCTCCTCCAGGCTGACACAGGCTGGAGGACGGCATCACCCTTGCCTTTGGCTTCTGGTTGGGCTCGGCTAATAAGAGGCACTGGGAGAATTTAGTCCAGTATATATATTTAAAAAACAAAACAAAACAAAACAACAACAACGTAAAGCTAACGTCTGTGTAAAGAGAAATCTAACCAAATTAGGCCATGTGTCAAAGACCATGAAATCGATGATTTTCAACTTGGAGGGAGCTAGGAAATCATGCGGGTCTCTGGTTCCAAATGAGAATCACCTGGGGGGTTCGTTATAATACGTGTTCCTGAGTTTCCTCTTTACTTAATGGGTTAGATTAGCCTTTCCAAGGCAGGGCCAGGGAACCTGTGTTTTCAGCATGCTCCCCAGGTGGTTCTCGGGTAGTCTGTGGACTGGTAAAACCTGCTCCAATGCTCTTTCCTCAATGAATAAGGGATGCCTATTTTAAGTGGGGCAGACACAGCTTCTGACTTCAAATTAATCAAATGACAGCTAGTAATTGATTTGCATGGCCCGGTTTATGGGGAGCCCTAATCTTAGTTTTTTCGTTTCTAGTCCACAGTGTCTACGTAATGCCTAGCACATAATAGGCGCCTAGGAGACACCTGCGCATGAATGAACAGTGTCTTCACTGCTTTGGTCCTGCCCTGGTTAGGACCCTTGCCACCTTCACCTCCCCCCAAGTGAGGTGGGAGCTGGAGCCATGAGATGAAAGACGGGAAAGCCATGAAAAACTCATGATAAAGAATGTTGCTTCTTTGGTTAATAACAGTCGAGTATCGGGTGTTTTTTTTATTTGAAAACATACATAGATTTTTTAAAGTATGTTTTTTGTTATTAACTTATAATTTAATTACATGATAATCCTCTATGGCTTGGAGTGTGGTGAACTTCTGTAAATATTTCACATGGGCTCTAATAAATGTGATGCAGAATTTTATACATGTACATGTTTATTGGATCAAGCATGTGGATTTTGTCATTCTAATTTATTACGGTTTTCTTTATCTTTGGACTGGCCTATACATAACTAAGAGTGGTGCATTTATTTATTTATTTTTTAGAGACAGGGCCTTGCTCTGTTGCTCAGGCTGGAGGGCAGTGAAGTAATCATGGCTCGCTGCAGCCTCAAACAGCTGGGCTTAAGCGATCCTCCTGCCTCAGCCTCCCAGAGTAGCTGGGACTATAGGCATGCCCCACAATTCCTGGCCTATGAATGGTATATTTAAATCTCTAACTGTGACTGTAGGTTTTTCAACTTGTTTCTAATTTTTAAATCAACTTTTGCCCTCTCTGCATTTAGGTTATTAAGGTGTTTACTCTTGGGAATTATTACAGTCTTGGTGAACTGAGCCTTTTCCCAATTTGTCCTGAGAATCTTTCTGTCCTACTCTGTCTTGTCTGATAGTAATAAGTTCTACAGCTGTCTTTGGGTATTTGTTCACTGTATCTTTTTCTACTCTTTTGTTTTTACTCTTCCTTTGTACTTATGCTTTAGATGTAGCCCTTGAAATGTCATAAATATAGATTTTTGCTTCTGATTCAATCTGACGATCTCTGTCTTCTAACCTATGTTCAATTCATATGGTAGTCAAAGTGAGCAAACTTGTTTCTGCAAGAGACAAACACTGAAGCCTCAGTGGTTTAACAAAACACAGGTTTATTTTTTAGCCACGTCTAGTTCAAGGCAGGTTGGGCACTCTGTAGCTCTTTTCCAAAACATGCCTCAAGGTGGCTAAGCTCCACTTTGCATCTCTATTATTGAAAAGCACTTCATGAACTCCTAGCTTTGCAGGTAGGAGAGAGAACCTGGGAAAGGCACATTGTTTCCATGGTTTTGGACCAGAAACTATTTGCCATCTCTGCTCACATTCCATTGGCAAGAAGTAAACAATGACCCCACATAGGCGCACGGGGATGGAAAAATGTACGTTACCTATGTGTGCAGGAAGATATAATGGTTTGGTGAGCACATGGCACTGTCTTTGCTGCATTCTGATTGTGTTTATTGTGAATATTGATGCACTTGGGCTTGTTTGTAATACCTTATTTATTTCAATATTTCTATTTTTTAAAGTTTTTTTGTTTGTTTGTTTGTTTGTTTTTGAGACGGAGTCTCGCTCTGTTGCCAGGCTGGAGTGTAGTGGCATGATCTGGGCTGGCTCACTGCAACCTCTGCTTCCCGGGTTCAAGCGATTCTCCTGCCTCAGCTTCCCGAGTGGCTGGGACTACAGGTGCATGCCACCATGCTTGGCTATTTTTTTTTTTTTTTTGTATTTTAGTAGAGACGGGGTTTCACCGTGTTGCCCAGGCTTATCCTCCTGAGCTCAGGCAATCTGCCTGGCTCGGCCTCACAAACTGCTAGGATTACAGGCGTGAGCCATCACACCCGGCCAAGTTTTCTTTTTTAATCTTCATTGCCTTTTTTTTTTTTTTTAAGTGTTACCGATACCTTCTCCATCTTCCCTCTGACTGGATAAGAACTTTAGCATGCTTTCAAATTTATTCACATATTTTCTCCTTCACCAAATTATTTGGTCAACATTACTTTTCATATCTTTTGGCACCTTCTAGAATGTGTTCTCTGATTAGAATTCTTCTTCCAAAACCTTTCAGATGTGGGAATTTGCATAGCAAACCTTCTAAAGTCTTGTATGCTTGATAATTTTTTAAAATTATACCAGCACTTTTGAATAAAGTTTAGCTGTGTATTACATACTATTTGAAGTATTTTCCCCTTTAATATTCTAAATAACATCATTCCAAATTTTTTTTTTGCATCCAATGTCACAGTTAGAAAATCCCATGTCAGTCTTTCATGCTGGAATCTTCTAGAATTTTCTCATTGTCTTTGATATTTTTAAATTTTGCTAGTGTGTCTAGAGTGGGTTTTTCCTTCTCTCTGTAAGACATTATGGATCTTCTCTATCTTTTAATTCTGGGAATTCATCTTTTTATTTCTTTAACTATTTTTCTCCTCTATTTTTTGTCTTTGTGAAACTCATATAATCTATATTTGGATAATTCTCTCCTCCTTTTCCCCTGACTTTTCTATTGATGACTTCTCAATTCTTCCCTCTTTTGTTCTGAACTAGCTCCTCAGTGTAGTCCTCCATCTTTCTGTTTTGTTTTTCAGTTGCATCTCTCCCACTATTTATCCCATTAATGTGGCTTTTACTTTGACTATTATATATATTTTTTACACCTAGAACTTCTAGGTGTTTTCCCTATATTCTCTATTTTTTCATATTATAATAGCTTCTGACTTTTAAAGTGCACTTTTAATGCTCATTTTAAGCGGCTGGTCTATATTTTCTACCACTTCTTTCAAGGACATAGATGGTCCTGTTTGCTGTTTTTCTTTTGAGGTGTCGGCACTCCCTAAAGGTATTATTTTGACCCACTAGTGGCCATCTGTGTTGGTGTCATGTGTGTAAAGAGAAAGGAGGGCCAGCTGGAGTCCTAGGCCAGCGCAAAACCATAGTCACTACCCTTTGGGTGTCACTTCAGGTCAGGACTTCAGGGTGGGAGCACTAGGAGGCGTAGGGAGCACTGATAGCTGGGGTGGCAGAGGAGGCAATGACTAGGGCAGTCCCCAGCTCCTCCCACTCCAGCAGGATTTCAGCTTGGATTTTCTCACCCACCCCTCAACAGCTGGACAGGCAATCAGGATCTTGCCATCGTTTTTTGCAGCAGGGAGCAGGCAGTGATTGCTCAAGGCCAACACCGGGGAGGCAAGAGCAGAAGGTTCCAGGAACCTTCTCATAGCCACAGCCAGCAAGCAACCCAGTTCAGAACACCTTTCAGTCTCACCAGGGCTTCCTCATTATTTGTTTTCTTGGAATGTATATGTATGGTCCACATTCCCTCCTAGATGGAAAGGGCCTGTAAGAAGGGATCATGGATGATTGAATCTTTGTTACACAATCTTCCTTTTCCCCCTAAACGCTAGCACGTTATTAAATAAATAAGTCAATGATAACAAATAAAAGTGAATAAAGTGGATAACCCTGACTCTAGGGAGAGGTACTGTTATTGGGACTAGAGTCTAATAATGAGGCAAACACAGATTCGACAAAAACTTACTAAAGTGTCCTTTAAAAATGACACAAATCCAGTTGTTCTAAATTGTCTAAAATGCTGACTTTGAGGTAAAGTTGTATCTGTCATGTTCTTTGGAGCATGACAAGTTCAGGTAGGTGTTGGGGGATATTCTTCATTAAATACATGTTTATAGGACACCTGATGTGACTTAGGCACTGTGTGCTGCTCTGGGAGCACAGAAGAGCAGGACATGCTCCCCTTCCTCAAGGACTGTGCTGTCCTGTGCAGTAGCCACAAGCCACCTGTAGCTATTAAGCCAAAAAAAACTCTAAGTATAAAATGCCCTGGGATTTGAAGACTTAATTAAATGTATATACATAATCTCAGTAATTTCTATATTAATTAATGTTCAGTTTGCAATTTTTTGTATATTTGCGGTTTAAAATATGTATTAGATTAATCTCACCTGTTTCTTATTGCTTTTTAAATGTAGCTACTAGAAAATTTGAAATTGAATTAAGAGGCTCCCATTATATTTCTACTGGACAGCGCTGCTCTGGGTGCTCTTGGTTGGCTACCAGTTGGCCACTGGCTCCTTTTCTGAGATTTTTACATTTAAGTAGCCAGCTTGCCAGAGTCTTCAAGTCCTTTCCTGTTACTACCTAGATATTCCACCAGAGGGCGACCTTACCATTGAATTTTTCCATTCTGGACCTTAGATCTGACTGTTTGCTGGTGCATCGCTCTGTTTTAATCTATTTTGCTTTAAGTGCCGTGCTAGGCTTTGGGACCACAATTATGGTTCCTGCCAACAAGAATGGCTGTCTTGGAAGTCTGTACACAGAACTAAATACGTGGTGGAAAAAGGAGAAGGTCTATTAATGTGCAATATAAATGTTCATGTGGCCTGCAACTTTCTGGGGCAATCCTTTCCCTAGTAATTAAGCAGTTTCAAGTGCCTGTCTAATTGCAGGAATTCAAATGGCTCACTGCTGTCACCAGAATGTCTGATAATTCCTGGACAGAGAAGTGATGCAAATGTGTGCTTACGTATGGAGTTGATGGCATCTCCTGCACCAGCCTCCTGCCCTGGGCAGACTGTTGTGGTCATTTGGGGGCAGCTCCCCAGCACAGCAGATTTCTTGCTGGCCATCACTTTTCAAACTCTGGACTTCTGCCCTTTGGCTGGGAACTGCTCACTTCCCTTAGAACTTTCCCCTCCCGTCTCCTGACTTCTCTAAATGCCAGAGTTCCAACCTCTGTCTCCTGGGAAATTCTAAGCTAAAATCACTCTTCCTTTATATCTGCAGATAGTTTGAAATTTATACATCAAAAAAAGTAACTTTAAAAATATATAACTGGTCTCATTACACTCTGGAGCAACAATTCCAAATGATGGTAGGAAAACCCCAAAATTGGCCATCGAAAGACATAGATACAGCCCTTCCTGTTTAAAAGAGGTATTTTTGAAAAACTTCAAATGTCTTCTGGGAAAGGCACAATCTTTCACGGTTTCTTCTCTTCCCCCTCTTCCTCCCCCTTTTGGGAATGACATCCTGGGGCAGAGGATGAACTTACAGAGCGTGCTGGCTGTGGGAAGCTGGGTCTAGGTGGCATTTTTTCTCTTTTCTGATGGTTCTCTGCCCCCAGTTCCTTGGCCTGTCCCCATCGCTTGCCAACATTTCCGTGGCTGGTCTAATCTGCGATCGATTATCCCTGACGAAGGCAGTGGGGCTCAGCCACCTTGCCTGCTGGTGGCCCCAGCGTGGCTCTGCTACTACTCACATCCTTCCAGTTTGGCGAGGCTGCAGCCTGATCCTGGGCCCGTGTGTTCTGGGCTGTGGCCTCTGGCTCCAGGCCAGTTCAAGCCTCTCCATGACCATCCTGAACACCAATTTACTGCACGTCAACTCACTAAAATCAACCCATCAACTAATCAGAAATTAATACATCAAATCATCAATTCCCCAATTTTATCAATTTGCCAAAAACTTGACTTTAAAGTTTTGTCCTTTTATATTGAATTTAATGGTTTTTACAACTTTTGAAGACTTCTGAAAATGTTGGTTAATTTGCCTTTCCTTTTGTTTTCATAGTAGCTTATAAGTAATATTCGATTTGTCAGATGTTGGTGATACAGGGAGAAGATGACAATGGTGACAGAGTGTTTTTCATCTTCCCAAGTGTCCTCACAAAAACAGAGAGTGCAATTGGGATAGCAAAGGAAAATATCCACAGGCAGTGTCTCTTTATCAGACCAGGGATATCCCTAGAAGATCCCGTGAGACTCTAGAATGTGTGTGGGTAGATCCAAGCTGTAGATCCAAGGTAGATCCTGTGGGCTCTAGTGCCATGTGGAGGTAGCAGAGGGTTGAGAGGAGAGGGTTCTGGTGTTTCTAAGATCTCAGGAACACAGAAGTGGCCAGTGAGTGCCCACCTCCCAAAAGAGGTGATCTCAGTCTAGAATGAATCCCCAGCAGAGAGCTCTAAGGACCTAGACTTTTGTAAATTTAGAAACTCCCTTTTCTCTTACCAATGTCTAATTTTTAAGACTATGACTTTGATATAGCTGTCAATATTCTGTTTTGGAATATTGTTTGCTTTTGGTCTTCTGTGATAAAAATCCAAATTTTCCCCTGGGTGAATAGGCATAAGGTCACATCTAAAGAAGTGCAAAAGGAAAACATTAAGACCTCTAGTAAATTAATGTTTTTATAATAACATATATCTCCATATGCTTCACAGAAACATGTAACTTCTGTCTATACAAGCTTTGGGTATTTCATTTATAATGAAATGGCGCATTAACGTGTTTTTCTAAATCAAAAGTCAATTTCCTCCTTGAGATTAATTACATCTCCAGAATATGAAAGCAGCTTCTGACACTATGTATTTGAAATAGCAATTTCCCATGTTTGCTATAACAACAATAAATAAATTGTTGTGTAATACACAAAAGGGAATTCTTAATTCTGCCCTAGGTAGGAGAAGCTAGAGAGAAGATGACATTTGAACTGTGCCTTGGAGGATAAATACAAGTCTACTGATGCGGAGAAGAGGATGAGAGCCTTGCAAGGAGAGAAGATGGCCTGGGCAAAGGCACAGAGGCCTCAAAGTATATGGTGGGCAGGGGACTGCTGCATGGCCAAGTAAACGAGGAGCCGGAGGAGACGAGGCTTAGGAAACAGGCTGGTGTCAAATTGTGAAAGCCGCAGATGTCCTGCTAAGTAATAGGGTTGTGCCTTATCTACGATTAATGGCAAGCAGGCACAGTTTTTGCCTTGGAGCCCGGTGAAAGCAGGATTGACTTGAATTGATAGAAAGAGAAAAGAGGCAGCAAACCATTTAATTGATTGACTGATCAATTAATTAATTACCCGAGTCTCCTTGTGAAAGTTCCAAACCTTCTCACTCTCCTCTCACTCCACATTCAGTTCTACATAGCAGCAGGAATTCCTTGGCTCTTACTTCATCAAGAAAATTGGTCAGGCACACCCTTCATCAGCGACATTCTGACCATTTGGAGACCCTGGTTTCTCTTTCTTCTTCTTCCTGAAGTCTCAGAGGCTGGGGCTCTTCCTGCTCCAGGCTAACCCTGACCTCCAGTTATGCGCTCGAGACCTTCACTCCTGCCTCCACTGGGAGCTTGTCTCAGCTGTCCTCCCTTCTATCTCTCTGTTAACTCTAATCAGCCCCCTGCTGCCAGATCCTTCCCTTCAGTTTAGAATTTAGGCTCAAATCTTCCTTGTCCCTAATGCTCTTCTCATCTCCCTAGCTTCCACCCTCATCTTTCTTCTTTACTCTTCCCATGTTCCTTAAAGAAAATGTTACACTTCTGTGTTTCCTCTTTCTCCCCTCCCACTCATTCTCAGCCCCACTGCAGTCTGACTTCCTTGTCCATGACCTCAGTGGGACAGAAATTGATTGCCAAGGTCACCAAATCTTTATCTTTGTGGAGTTTTCTGCTGCTTTCATCACAGTAGATCATTCCACTTTCTTGAAATCTCTCCTTATTCAGATTTCAAGACATCACACTCCTCTGATTTTCCTGACACCATTCAGATCATTCATTCTGGGGCTTCTGCTCCTCTGGGAATCTCTAAATGCAGAGTGCCTCTAGGGATCTGTCCCCAGCTAACAATGTCTCCTTGATCAAACATTCATTTGTATAGCTTCAATTCTTAGTCATCTAATTATACCTAACATAGCAAAGAACAATCCTTGGCATCTACTAGGTGCTTAGTAGCTGTCACATCTTTTCTTCTTCTCAGACCTTTTGAATACAGCAACCTGGTCTTCTATTAATGGAGAGCAAAATCTAACCATTCCACCTCCTCTCTCCTCAGGGCCACAATTTTATTCTTCTAGATATCTCTTCTTTCTCTACATTAATCCACTTCTTTTTCCATTTCTGTACACTCACTTTCCTTCTTTGGCTCTCTTCATCTGATCAAAATGAAAAATTAAAAGATATTTCAATGTTTTTGTGTAATAGCTAATCTATTATAAAATATTTATATTCTTAGACATGCAGCTTTATTATGCAATCACAAATGTTTTACACGTTTGACTTTTCTCAAAACCAAAAATCAGTTTTTAAAATTGCTTTTTACCTATATGTGGTTCTTGCTTGATGAAAACAAGCAACTAGAAAAAACTGGTCTACTTCCACTCAAACAGTGTCTCCAACTATGTGGCTTGCCCAGCTACCAGACCCTTCTTGAGAAATATTCTGCCAGACACAAATGAACACTCTTAGTTCACACTGCCCATTGGCACACGAGGGCATGGAGAGTGTTCTCTATGGAGAAGTAGGTGCTTACAGCAGAAATAGCCTTCCATGAGGTTGCGTCGGTTCTGCTTTCACTTTCCCGTCTCATGCAAAGTGGCCCAGAAAACAGCAGCCCCTCCCTGGAACTATTTCCTTCCTTTCTCAGAGAGTTGCATCTCCTGCTCTCTGGAAAGTTTCATGAGGAAATGGATTGCCTCTGTTCTTGGTGAAAATTAACTCCATTACTAAGTTCTTAATCTTTTTTGTTTATATAGCTCTCATTCCAAAAGACAATCTCCCTGACTGGGCTAGAAAGTCATATGTTTGTAAATAATCAGAGAGAGGCCAAGGAAAAGGACAGAGCTGGCCACTGAGCCCAGAGGGCTCTGTTGTCAATCCCATGGCAATTCACTGCTAGTCTTCTGCAAAAGACACATGACCCAGAGGAGACCCTCAGACACGAGGAAAGAGGAACTCTGTAGGGGACTTAGAGGCAATCTCTTTAATTGGAGGGGCTAAATAGCTTTCCTCTCATGGTTTGCAGCTCAGTGTAAGGCCAGGCAAGCTCCCAGGAGGCCATCCAGGCTGTGAGGTCCCTAGAGAATCTCAGAGACCACACCAAAGGGTCACTCCTGTCTTAGCAACTGAGTAGGAAGCATTGTTGCCACCAAACTGTACAAATCTGAGAAACTTAGTCAAGGAGGGAAGGGAGGACTTTGGGGCTTACAGTTAAGCAGACTACTGCCCAGACAGGCGATGGCAAGGACAGGCAGAGTCCAAAGTGTCCTTTGAGACAGAAGCAGCATCAATGGTGTGGTGATAATCCAAGGACATGATAGAACTTCAGGGGATAAACACACACGGATTCTAGAGAAAAACTGTATACACGGCCAGCGTGGATTAGTCTCAAAGCCAAGGGGAGGTTTGATGGGACTGAGATGTCTTCATGAGGCCAACCTGGAGTGGGACTGCCCTCATTTCCAGAGGATTTAGTAAGTAGGTTTGGGCAGAGTCAGGCTGGGACCAGCTATAAAGGCTTTGCCAATCTGACTTGACTTAGTGCCATAGGAAAGTGAAGGCAGGAAACTGATGCTAATTGATTCTGGGCCTCTTGTTTTCTGCCTCAAAATAGAGAGCTCTGGGATTGAGGAGGGAATCATACTAGCACCATAAATGGTTTGAAAGGTGTAAAGGGGAAAATGTGAAAACATTTTTTATATGTCATGTCAAAGTCCAGTCTTTCTGGAGCACAGCGTGTTTGTAAGGACACAGAGGGAGGTCAGGCTGAGGAAAGACTGTAGACAACTGCAATGCCAGGCTCAGGATGTGGGACTTTGCAGGCAGTGGAGAGACAGTGATGGTTTTTGAGGAGGAAGTGAGATGATCATGGTTGTGTTCTAGGATTATTAACCTGGCACTAGTGTAGCAAATAAATTCGATCTGAGGGTGGCAGGAAGGTTAAAGAAAAAATAAGAACAGCCTTAGCCAACTGCTTTGGAGAACAACAGGGTAAGCTCAGAAATGCCCAATTCGATACAATAATTATCACAAAAGGAGTTGCATTTGTAACGTACGTATTACTTTTTAATGTGCCTTTTCATCTGTCACATCATCTGGTGCCTCTGGTGTGACCTTCCAAGTCCATCCTCCTTCCTGACCCTATCCATCCAGGCTCAGCCCCTGGGAGTGTGCCCACTGCTCCTACAGTGCCTTCCACCACTGGTCCTGAGTTTTGGAGAAGACATAGGGAGATGACAAAACTTTAGAAACAACGGAAACAATTTAGGGAATGGGGTGGTCACTATGAGAGGAATAAAAGATGTCCACTGTAGACAGCATATATGGTGCAAGTCTATAATCTTGGAAAAAGTCAGACTACATTAATCTTGTTCACCAAATCCTGAAATACACAACAGGGAGAGTCTTTTAAACTTTGAAGATGGTAAGTTTAACATAAGTAGAAAAGCAGACTCTCTCATACCAAGGCTAACAAACCTATGGGAACCTGTTAGTCCCAAAAGTGAAATGTGTAAATTCTCAAAACATGTACATATATATATATAATCTACTCACACACACACAAGGGTGACAGAAACTTGAAGGACTGCTAAGAGAGCTCAAGGATATTTATGGCCTATTTAAACTTATGAAGCTTCTGTGGAGGAAATCTGTCCTTCTACACTTTGTCCCTGATGAAAGAGAGAAACCCTATGCTTACAGCAATATCCACCAGGAGTGATTTTGCCTCACAGGGGATATTTGCCAATGTCTGTAAACATTTTTGTTCTCACACTAGGAGAGGGGAGCACTATTGATATCTGGTGGGTGTAGCCCAGGGATGTTGGATGTTGCTAAACATCTTGGAATGCGTAGGACAGCCCCCAGCACAAAGAATTATTCAGCCCTAAATGGCAATGGTGCCAGGTTGAGAAACCATGGCTTAGGGTCATGCTCCTGCCCTAAAGTGCCGTTGCTATTGTTTGCAAGTTTAATTATTCCAGGAGCTATACCTCTGTTAAGGACTGAATTTTATCCCTCCCCACAACTCGAAATTCCTATGTTGAAACCTTAACACTAATGTGAATGCTTTGGAGACAGGGCCTTTAAATAGGTAATTAAGGTGAAACGAGGTTATCCAGGTGGGGCCCTAAGGCCCCTTATAAGGACTGGTGTCCTTATAAGAAGAGGAAGAGACACCAGGAGAGCAAATGTACAGAGGCCCTGTGAGGACACAGTGAGAAGGCAGTCATCTCCAGGCCAGCGAGAGAGGCCTCAGAATGGAACCTACCTTGCTGGCAACTTGATCTTGGACTTCCAGACTCTGAGAAAATAAGTTTAAGTTTAAGCCACCCAGCCTGTGGTATCTTGTTATGGTGGCCCTGGCTAACTAATCACCCTTTCTCACTTACCTTTAGCTCTTCCTTACTCAATAAGTTTCCACTGAAAACTAGATGCTGGTGTGGACCCCTGCCCGATGTGCACACGTGGCCCACTGCAGATGGACCTACACAAGTGGCGCTGGAACCCCGAGGGGCTGAGGGGACCCCGCGTCCAGGCCACCCAGGTGCGGGGTGAGGGGGCACCCCAACTTCCCTGGATCACATGGGCTGCGGTGGCCGGTGGATCAGGGAGGAGAGGCGCGGGGAGCTTGCTGCAACTCCTCACCAGGGCAGGAGGGAAGATGCCCCCCACCTCCTCTAGTTCACCCTCTGGATTCAAGTTTGTCAGCCCCTGCCGCTGAGATCAGGGTATGGCACCAGATAGAATTTTAATTCAAAAGGAAGCAGAACTTAAAGATTAAGAAAATTCTTAGCCTATCCATATTGTGAAAACTAAGAAATCATGTTCAGGACAGAACACCAGTGGTGTGTCTATGTAACCATCGGATGAGGAAATTAGTATGGATCAACCATCTCAGTGGAATCTGGGTGCTATTCATCAAGGCAATGAAAGAATGACCCAAAGACATTTCAGATCAGGGCTGCCACTCCTATCCGAGGTGCGGAATACAAGGGCATGAGGGACAGAATGATTTCAAAGGAGGGGCTGCAGGTACTTGTGGGGCTTCAGCACTCACTATCATGGGCCACCTTGAGGCTCTGCTCTCCACATTCCATCACAGGGCTCCTAGGCTACCCCAGGTATGGCTCCAACAGATCCTGGTTTAGTGAGTGCTGTGCTCTGAAAAGCTGTGCGGGCATGGTAACCTCCACCTAGATTTCAAAGGATGCTCTGGAAAGCCACAGTGCGTAGGCAGAAAGCCACCATGTGCAGGGCCACCATGGAGAGATTGCACTGCGCAATGCCCAGTGAAGCAGTAGGGTAAGGCCACCCCTGAGGCCCTAGACCAATTGAACCACTGGTATACAATTTCAGCCTGGGAGAGCCTCGGGCACCCAGCTGCCTCAGAGGTAGGGCCACCAAAGGGAGCAACTATGAGGGCAGGGCTGCACAAAGCCATGAGGCAGAGGCCACCTCCCCAGTGTGCCTGGAGGGCAGAACCTTGATTCAAAAAGATTATTCTGGAAACTTGACTTGCTCAGGACCTGGTACACTTTTCTTCTCTCCCATTTCTTCCTTTTGGAATAAGAATTTCTATCCTATGCCTGTCCCATCATTATATTTTGGAAGCAAATAGCATATTCGATTTCACAGCTGGTGAGCAATTTGCCTCACAATGAATCATACCTTGAGTCTCATCCATATCTGATTTATCCTCTTAACCCTTTTATGTGTATAGCTCAGTTGGGTAAATAATATTCACATTGTTGTGTGACAACTCTAGAACTTTTTTATATGCAAAATGAAACTTTATCCTCAGGGAACAACTCCCTATTTCCCGCTCTTCCCAGCTCCTGGAAACCCCCACTCTGTTTCTATTATTTTGACTTTAGATATCTCTTATAAGTGTAATCATACAGTATTTATCTTTTTGTGACTGGCTTATTCCACTTACCATAATGTTCATCCATGTTGTACCATGTAAGAGGATTTCTTCTTTTTTTAAGGCTGAATAATATTCCACTGCATATACATATATATATATATATACACACCACATTTTCTTTATTCATTTATCTGTCAATAAACTTTTCGGTTGTTTACACCCATTGTCTATTGTAAATAATGCTGCAATGTACATGAAAGCAGAAATATCTTTATTAAATGCTGATTTTGTTTCCTTTGGGTATGTATCTAGACATGGAATTGCTGAATCATGTGATAATTTTATTTGTAAACTTTTTAGGAAATCTCATACTGTTTTCCATGGTGGCTGCACCATTTACATTCCTACCAACAGTGCACCAGGATTCCAGTTCTTGACATCCTCGCTAACACTTGTTATTTTTTTTGTTGGGTTGGTTTTGTAGTGGCCACCTTAATGGCTGTGAGATATCTATCTCATTGTGGTTTTGATTCATGTTTCTCGAATAATTAATGGTGTTACACATATTTTCATACACTTGTGGGCTATTTGTATATATTATTTGAAGAATTATCTGTTCAAGTCCTTTGCCCATTTTTAAACCAGGTTATTTGCTTTTTTAATTGACAAAGAAAAATCATATATACCTATCATGTACAACGTGATGTTTAAAATATGTATGCATTGTGGAATGGTTAAATTGACCTAATTAATATATGCATTATATACTTCTATGGTGAGAACACTTAAAACCTACTCTCTTAGCAATTTGCAAGAATACAATGCATTGTTATTAATTATATTCACCACATTGTACACTAGGCCTCTTGAACGTATTCCTCCTATTTGGCTGAAATTTTGTAACCTGGGACAAACATCTTTCCAACCAGCAGCATTTTCAGCTCCTAATAACCACCATTCTATTCACTATTTTTATTAGTTCAACTTTTTTGGATTCACATATAAATGAGATTATGTGGTATTTGTCTTTCTGTGGCATATCCACTTAACATAATGTTCTTCAAGTTCATCCATTTTTGTTGTGAGTGACAGGATCTTACTCTTTTTTAAGGCTCAATAGTATGCCATTGTGTGTATATACCACATTTTCATTATCCATTTATCTGTTGATACACACTTAGGTTGTTTCCATATCTTAGCTATTGTGAAAAATGTTGCAATGAACATGGAGCATAAGTATCTCTATGAAGTGCTGATTTCATTTCCTTTGGGTGTATGCTCAGAAATGAGATTGCTGGATCACATGGTAGTTCTATTTTTAATTTTTTAAGGAGCCTCCATACTGTTTTCCATAATGACTATATAATTTACATTCCCACCAACAGTGTACAAGGGTTCCCTTTTCTCCACACCCTTGCCAGCACTTGTTACCTGCCTTTGGCAATAGTCATTCTAACAGTTGTGAGATGGTATCTCACTGTGGTTTTAATTTTCATTTCTCTGATTAGCTATGTCGAGCATTTTTTTCATATGCCTGTTGGCCATTTGTATGTCAACTTTTGAGAAATGTCTTTTCAAATCCTTTGCTCATTTTAAAATCAGGCTGTTTTCTTGCTATTGAGTTGTTTGGATTCCTATACCCCTTATCAAGCATATGGTTTGCAAATGTTTTGTCCCATTCCATATGTTGTCTCTTCACTCTATTGATTGTTTCTTTGGCTGTAAGAAAAACAAGGTTTTTAGTTTGATATAATCCCATTTGTCTATTTTTGCTTTTGTTGCCTGTGCTTTTGGGATTATATCAAAAAATTATTGCCCAAACTAATGTCATGGAGCTTTTCTTCTATGTTTTCTTCTAGTAGTTTTACAGTTTCAGGTCTTATGTGTAAGCCTTTATTCTGAGTTGATTTTTGCATATGGTGTGAGATGACAGTCTAGTTTCATTCTTCTACATGTGGATATTCAGTTGTCCCAATACCATTTATTGAAGAGACTATGCTTTACCCATTGTTGGTTCTTGGCACCTTTGTTGAAAATCAATTGACCATGAATGTGTGGATTTGTTTCTGGGCTATTTTGTCAATGCATCTGTTTTTATGTCAGTACCATGTTGTTTTGATTACTATGGCTTTGTAGTATATTAGTATATTTTGAAATCAGATAGTATGATGCCTCCAGTTTTGTTCTTTTTGCTCACAATTGCTTTGGCTATTCAAGGTCTTTTGTGGTTCCATATGAATTTAAGGATTTTTTTTTCTGTTTCTGTGAAAAATGTAAGGAAATTTTGATAGGGATTGCATCAAATCTGCAGATCACTTTGGGTAGTACAGACATTTTAACAATATTGATTCTTATAATCTATAAACACAGGATATCTTTCCATTTGTTTGTGACTTCTTCAATTTCCTTCATCAGTGTTTTATAGTTTTAAGCGTATAGGTCTTTCACCTCCTTTGTTAAATGTATTATTTTACTTATTTACTTATTTTTAGCTATTGTAAATGAGATTGTTTTATTGGTTTCATTTTCAGATAGTTCTTTGTTAGTGTGATGCTACTGATTTTTGTATGTTGATTTTTGTATCCTGCAACTTTACAAGATTCCTTTATTTTTTTTTCAGTACAATCTGTATTCTGTTGCAACTAGATTTCTTTATTACTTCATAGTTTTTAAGTGGAGTTATTATGGTTTTCTATTTATATAATCATGTCATCTACAAACAGTGACAATTTACATTTTTCCTTTCCAATTTGGATGATTTTTATTTCTTACTCTTGCCTAATTGCTGGCTAGAACTTCAGTACTATGTTGAATAGAAATGGTTAGAGTGGACCTCCTTGTCTTGTTCCTGGTCTTAGAGGAAAAAAATTTCAACTTTTCACCATTGAGAATGATATTAGCTATGAGTTTGTCATATATGACCTTCATTGTGTTGAGGTGCATTCCTTATTTGTTGAGAGTTTTTTTTTAAATCACGAAAGGATGTTGAATTTTGTCAAATGCTTTTTCAGAGTCTATTGAGATATTAATATGGTTAGTATTCTTCATTCTGTTAAAGTGGTATGTCACATTTTTAGATTTGAGTATGTTGAAACATCTTGCATCCTTGGAATAAAACCCACATGATCATGATAAAAGACCCTTTTAATGTGCTGTTGCATTCATTTTGCTAGTATTTTGCTGAGGATGTTTATAGGCTATTTGTCATTGTTGCTGCTGTTGAGTTGTAGAAGCTCCTTATATATTCTGGATATTAACTTCTTACTGAAAAGATAATTTGCAAATATCTTATTTCATATTGTTTTTCACTCTGTTGATTGTTTTCATTGATGTGCAGAAATGTTTAAGTTTGATGAAGTTGGATTTGTGTATTTTTTGTTGCCTGTTTTTGGTCATATCCAATAAATTGTTGCAAAATTTAATGTCATAAAGTTTTCTTCTATGTTTGATAGAACTTCTAGGAGTTTGATACTTTTAGCTCTTACATTTAGGTCTTTTATCCATTTTGAGTTAATTTTTGTATTTGCATATGGTGTCAGGTAAGAATCCAACTTCATTATTTTCCATGTGGATATCCAGTTTTCCCAACGCAATTTGTCGAAGAGATTGACCTTTCCCCATTGTATACTCTTGGCACCCTGGTGGAAGATCATTTGACCATATACTTGAGGGTTTACTTCTGGAATAGACAGTTGACATTGGGGTACTCAGAAAACAGCAAGAATCTAAGAGTGTTTGAGGGTCTATTCTTAGAAAAAAACCTTTTTCATACCTCATAATCTCTGCTTTTGTGAATCCTTTCTATCTTTGAAAACAAAATCCATACTTATTCATTCATTTATCATTCATTCATTTACTCACTTACTTAACTCGATTTTATTGAGCACTTAGTGGCAGGATTCAGAGTAAAGACCCCCCTGTAGGACTTACGTCCTTCAGTTATCCTCAGTTTTTAATGATTCATGTTTCATCTTAGCTCCTGTAACTCTTCCATATGGTCGTTCATTTACTGTACCCATAGTGTCCCGTATTTGCATGGGACTCAAATATATATGTCTTGAATCTAGACAAGGGATATTGTGTTTTAAGAAGTTATAACAATGAACAAATTCCATTCGCCCAGAGCAACTTTCTAATGGATTATATATATATATATATATATATATATTTTTTTTTTTTTTTTTTTTTTTTTTTTTGAGACAGAGTCTCGCTCTGTCGCCCAGGCTGGAGTGCAGTGGCCCGATCTCGGCACACTGCAAGCTCCGCCTCCTGGGTTCACGCCATTTTCCTGCCTCAGCCTCTCGAGTAGCTGGGACTATAGGCGCCCGCCACCGCGCCCGGCTAATTTTTTGTATTTTTAGTAGAGACGGGGTTTCACCGTGGTCTCGATCTCCTGACCTCGTGATCCGCCTGCCTTGGCCTCCCAAAGTGCTGGGATTACAGGCGTGAGCCACCACGCCCAGCTCTAATGGATAAATTTAAGACACAACTATAAGATGGGAGTGGCTGAAAAAGCAGGGACTTCCTAATGCCCTGAAATCATGTGATAACTTTTTATCTTCTCTAAGACTGTCTGGCATGGTTTTCTCTTCTATTATTTTTGACAAATGTGGTACCTCTAGGCGTGAGTTTTTCTTTCACTTCTCATTTCTCCAACCACAAATGCTGTCACAGGCCAACAGGGAGAATTCAGTGATACATCATACTCATCCCTGAGCTGTGATGTTGGCTCTCCACCTCTATCAGCCATCAGATTTTCATATTATCTTGTCTCTCTCTTCCTCTTTCCTTACACCAAACATTGATTCATCAAGGAGTCTTACCACTTTACTATACTTCCATTTCAACTCACACTCAAATTCATCACTGATAATGTCTACTTTATAAAATATTCCTTCAAAGCAGCCATTGGCCTAATCCCCAGATGATGCCATTGATCCATGACAATAGGGAGAATAATGTCTCCATCATTACTTTCTTCTCATAGTCTTTTAATTCCTTATACAGAGGCTAGTTTCAACTGCAGAAGTAACATGGGGTCCTTTGTCTATCAAACACTCCCCTTGTAACATTCATATCTGCTCTGGGACAGAAATCTGTCCTTTGGACACCAGAGTAGGAGGTTTAAGAAAGGCCAAACGTTGATACAATCCAACTGATGTAGAGTGATAAGGAAGGCAGTCAGGCAGCATGAGGAAGTGGGAGGATGGGAGTTACAGAGAATTTCTGATGTAGACAATGAGCTTCTTTTCTTTTTCTTAAGGGATTTCCACAATCCTCCACTTTGTGGTATTGGGGACAGTGGTAATGACAGGGTGGGAAGGGCAGAAGAGGCTTATTTCAAGAGGAAGCAGTAAAAGGTGGGCCTGTGAGGACCTGTTTAGCAGGCTTTAACATCCTATGTACAAGTCCTTATCTTTTGAAGTGCTCTCCTGATCCAGGCCCTGCTTATCATTATTCACAAATTTCAGTGTCTGAAATAATCCAGAAGGTGGACAATCAGACATCCACAGATTAATTGATGATTTATACTTATTCTCCCTCTCTCCCCACTCTCTCTCCCTTTCTCTTCTCTCTCTCCCCCTCTCCCTCCCCTCCCTCCCTCCCCCTCTCTCCTTCTCCATCTCTCCCTCTCCATCTCTCCCTCTTCATCTCTTCCTCCCCTTCCCTCCCCTCCCCTCTCCCTCTTCATCTCTTCCTCCCCTTCCCTCCCCTCCCCTCTCCTTTCTGTCTCTCTCAGCTCCAAAAAAGAATGATACAGAGATGCATAACACTCCTCTCTCTCCCATCTGAAAATTTAGGGATGGGGTGGGGTCCTAAGAAGCTAGCCTTAGAATCTCTTCCTCTTACTGTGGTTTCCTTAACCCTCCATCATCTCATAACTAATGATAAGTCTGAAAATGAGCTTCCGTATTAATTCTCATTATTCTGACAACAGACTCTAGAATCCAGCCATATTCTACTGTTTGGAGCCAGCCAGGGACTTTCCAAGTATTCACAGTGAAACACTGGCTTCCATGCCTGGGTCTCCCCACCCACTGCCTCTGCACTTGGTGCCTTTGAACCTCTCTTGTTCCTCTTGCCCTTGCTACTTCTGTATAGATCACAAGCTCCCTCCACACAGCTTCAGTTACACACATCCGTGCAGCAGGACCTTCTCAGGGGCTTAGTCTGCCAGAAACTAGTGACACTGCCTTTCACCCACTTTTTATTGGATAGAGAGAAATGTTACCAGAATTTCCCAGGAAAAGAGCTTCTTTGAAGTCTCTACATGCATTCAGATAAATCCTTTCCCCTGATATTTTCCCTCCATCCCCCTCCTCACAGCCCTGTTCAGAAGCCTGAACATGTCATGATGGCTGGGGCCTCAAATCCAGGGGACAATCTGAGGTGAAGGTGAGCAAGGAGACAGTCTACAAAGAGGCCGTGGAAGCTGTCGGGGAAGGAGAATGTTCAAGTAGCACAGGCAATCAAACACTTCCTATTGCTCCAGGTGCCAAAGCAGGAATGAAAACCTGTCCCCTCTGTTGAATACTCTTCTTCTTCACTCCTAAAACTACACACCTGATGTTAGTCGTCAGCCCTCTTCTTATCACTCTACACCTGCTGCTCTGGAGAACTCATCCAGGCCTGTGGCTCCCTGCACGTCTACACTAGTAACCTCTGAATCCACGGTCTCCAGCACTCCCTCCTGCTCCCATCCCCAGGTGGCAGTCAGGTGCCTGCACTTGGCTATCTCAACATCAACATCACCCCAACACCTGTTTTTTCATGCATTCAAGGGAGATTTTTTTTCTCCCCAAGTTTCTTTCACCTTCCCTTTGGGGTTCCTGGAATAAATAATACAAAACTTGAGGTTCTCTTGTGATGCTGTTTGGAGTCGAGAGAGAGACAGAGAGAGAGAGATACCCCCAGGAGGGAGTTGTCCCGATTCTTTTCCATCACTCGGGAGCTAGCCCTACATCTAGTCTTACTGTTTGGAGCCTTATAAAAAGATCTCATGAGCAGCCCCCTGGGAATAGCATGTCTTTGTTCTCTGAGAGGCAATGATTTTTATCTGGACCCCACATAACTTTTCCCCAGAGAGCATCACAGTAAAAGCACATGTTTATCTTCTCTCCTTAACTTCTGACATCCTTAAATCCCAAGGAAGGGTATGGAGGGAGACAGATTGATGATTCTGTGTATTTGGGTAAACCAGGTTCCTGGCTAAAATCACTTAGTCAAAAATGCCAAGCATGGTCAAGGGAGAAGGGTTAGAGAGTCTAAAAGAATGAAATTTGGAGACAGGTAAACTTGAAATTTATTCTTTCCTTCACCTATTATTGTGTATGTGATTTGGGGTCATATTCTTAACTATAACTACCTATTGTCTCATCTTAGAATAAGGATAAATAATATCTATGTTGAAACACTGCTGTGAGCATTAGTGCTCAATAACTATTACTACTGTACTAATGCAGGTTCTTGATTTTAAACAATAGAATGCAAACTTGAATAATTAAGCAGAAAAGGCATTTATTGGAAAGGAACTAAACAGCTCATAGAGGATATGACAAAGGCAGGAGTTCTTCATAGTTGATATTGTATCTCCGTGCATTGAATCAGGAGACACATGATGTTGATTTGTTCTGTTATCAGTGATGCTAATTTTGACTACTTGATTTTAGTGGTAACTGACAGATTTTTTCAACCATAAAGTTACTATTTTCATTGCTTGATTTTCGTATATTAAACTTACCCTGTGATGCTAATTTTGACTACTTGATTTTAGTTGTAACTGACAGATTTTTCAACCATAAGTTACTATTTTCATTGCTTGATTTTCATATATTAAACTTACCCTATGTTCATAGAATAAACTCAACTTGGTCATTATTTTACCTAGTGTTATATTTAATTGACTAATAGATCTTTTAGGAGTTTTGTATCTGTGTTTAAAAATGAGATGAGCCTTACTTTTGCTTTTTTGTTTTTGTTTTTGCTTCATGCTTATGAGGATTTGGCATATTGCTGCATGAGTTGAGAAATGTTCCTTTATTCCCCCGTCTTTTGGAATCGCTTGTGTAAGGTTAGCAAATGCCTTCACTGAATATTTAGAAGAATTCACCCAATAAGATCATCTTTGCCTACAGATTGCTTTGTGGAAAGTTTTGTAATTACCAACTCAATTTCTTTAATAGATACAGGATTATGAAAATTTTTCTATTATTTCTTGAGTTCATTTTAGTAAGTGGTGTTTTCTAGAATATGTCTATTTCATCTAGCTTTTCAAATTTGTCAGCATAAAGTTATTTATAATATTTTCTATTGTAATTTTAATGTCTACAGGACCCATAATGACAGTACCTTTTTCATTCCTGATATTGGAATTTCATGCCTTCTGTCTTGTTTTAAAATCTTCCACAGTCTTGCTAAAATTTTATCAATCCTATTAGTCTTTTCAAAGAAACAAGCCTTTAGTGTTGTTGATGTTTTTCTACTGTATTATTATTTCCTATCAAATTATTTTCTTCTTTTATGTATATAATTCCCTTACTTTTACTTTTCTTGGGTTAAATTTGACATTCTTTTTCTAAGTATATGATTGATTTTCAGTATTTCTTTCTTTCCAATTAATTATATGCACTTAAGGTTGCATATAATTTTTGTCTAGACCTGACTTCAGCTTCATCTTATGTTATAATATTTTGTAATGCAAGTATAATTTGCAATATTTTCAGTTTTCTTTCTTCCTTCCTTCTTTTCTTTTTCTTTCCTTTCCTTTTTTTTTCTTTCAAGACAGGGTCTCACTCTGTTGCCCTGGCTGGAGTGCAGTGGTGCTGTCATATCTCACTGCAGCCTTGGACTCCTGGGCTCAAGTGATCCTCCCACCTCAGCCTCCTAAGAAGCTAGGACCTCAGGCATGCAGCACCACACCAGCTAACTTATATTTTATTTTTCGTAGAGATGGGATCTTATCATGTGGTCCAGGCTGGTTTTGAACTTCCTAGGCTCAAGCAATCCTCTTGCCTTAGCCTCCCAAAGTACTGGGATTACAGGCATGAGCCACCACACCCAACTGATATTTTCAATTTTTTATTGTCAGGGATCTGATAATAATTAGATTTAATCTCTGATTATCTTCTTTGATCTATGGATTATTTTAATTTGTATTTCTTAATTTCTAAACTCTTCAAAATTTTTTGGTTATCTTTCTGTAATTGATCTCTAGCTCTGTTCTATTTTTGTCAAAGAACATTATAAAAGATAAAATACTTTGAAATATTGTATTCTTTTTCATTGTTTTAGTAGTTATGTTTTTCGAGAAATTTGTCTTTTTTTTTTTTGACAGGTTGCTATGTTGCCCAGGCTACAGTGCACGATAACCCCATACTCCTGGGTTCAGGCAATCCTCCTGCCTCAACTTCCCTAGTAGCTGGTACTACAGATGTGTGCCACCCTGCCCAGCACAAAATGTGTCCATTTTATCTAGATTATCTAATTGTTGGCACGCAATTGTACACAGTATTCCCTTATATTGTTTTTCATTTCTGTAAAGTGGTAGAAAGGTCTCATCTTTTATTCCTGATTTGAGTAATTCAATTCCTTTCTTTTTTTTCTTACTCAATCTAGCTAAAGTTTCCTCAGTTTTGATTCTTTAAAAGCAAAAACTTAGTTTTGTTGATTTTCTCTATCTTTTTCTATTTCCTAGTTCATTTATTCCCATTCTAACATTCCTTTCACTAGTTCTGGTTTGTCTTACTCATTTCTAATTTCTTTTCTTTTCTTTTCTTTTTTTGTTTGTTTATTTGTTTGTTTGAGACAGGGTTATTTTTTTGAGATGGAGTCTTGCTCTGTCACCCAGGCTAGAGTGCAGGGGCCTGATCTCCACTCACTGCAACCTCCCCATCCCGGGTTCAAACGATTCTCCTGTCTCAGCCTCCCGAGTGGCTGGGGTTATAGGTGCCTGCCACCACGCCAGGCTAATTTTTGTATGTTTAGTAGAGATGGGGTTACATCATGTTGGCCAGGCTGATCTCAAACTCCTGACTTCAAGCAATCCACCCTCCTTGGCCTCCCAGAGTGCTGGGATTACAGAGTGAGCCACCGCACCCGGCCTCTTTTCTAATTTCTTAAAGTGGAAGGTTGTTACTGATTTGCAATTTTTCTTCTTTTTTAATGTAGGTATTTACAGCTATAACTTTCTCTTTTATCATTAAAATGTCCTTACTTTTCTCTAGTGGTATGTTTGTATTAAGGTCTATTTTGTCTGGCATTAGTGTAGCCACTCCAGCTTTCTTTTGGTTGCTCTTTGCATGGTGTATCTTTTCCTGCCTTGTACTTTCAACCTCTTTGTAACTTTGTATCTAAGGTTTGTCTCCAGCAGAGAATATATAGTTGCATCATTTTTATTTTATCCATTCTGCTAACCTGTCTAAATTGAAATGTAATGTATTTATATTTAGTGTGATTACTGTAACATATTTTTATGTCTGCCATTTCATTGTTTATTTTCTATTTTTCTTATATCTTTTTTGTTCCTCTATTCCTCTATTACTGCCTTTTGTTGTGTTAAATAGACATTTTCTATGTATCATTTTAATTCACTTATCATTTCTTTTACTCTACATTTTTAGTTCCTCTACTTTTTTGTCTTAGTGACTACCCTACAGATTAAAATTAGCATATTAATAATCTAGTTTGTATTAATACCGACTTAATTTCAATAGTATACAAACACTTTATTTCTATACAGCTCTGTTCCCTATCCCCGTGCTGTTATTGTCATACAAATTATACCATTCTTACATGTGTGCCTATCAACACAGATTTATAAATATTGTTTGCTGAAGTTTTAAATTAAATAGGAGAAAAAGTCATTAAAAAGTACATTTATATTGTCTTTTATATTCACCTATTTCAGTTACCTTATTGGTGTCTTTATTTCCTTACATGGATTTGACTATATTACACTATATTCTAGTGTCTTTTCACTTCAGCCTGAAAGTATTTTAGTACAGCTGTCTTGCTAATGATGAAATCTCTGTTTCTTTTTACCTGAAAATGTCTTAATTTCTCCTTCATTTAGAGTTTTTGGCTGACAGCTTTTCCCCTCAGCACTTTGAATAAGTCTTTCAATTGCATTCTAGCCTCCATGGTTCTCTTTCTTTCTCTTCCTTTCTTTCTTTCTCTCTCTCTCTCTTTTTATCTTCCTCTGTCTCTCTTTTTTATGTTTTTACTTTTTTCTTTTAAATAGGGATGGAGTGTTGAACTCCTACACTCAAGCAATCCTCCCACCTCAGCCTCCCAAAGTGCTAGGATTAAAGGCATGAGTCACCGCACCTGACCCTCCATGGCTTCTAATGAAAGATCATCTGTCAATCTTCTTGCTTGAATGTGATAAGTCATTTCTCTCTTAATGGTTTCAAGATATCTTTGTCTTCAACTTTCAACAGATTGATTACAATGTGTGTAGGTGTGGATCTCTTTGAGTTTATTCTACTTATAGTTCATTAAGATTCTCAGATATGTAGATTAACATTTTTTATCAAATTTGCAAAGTTTTCAGCCATTATTTCTTCAAATATTTTTTCTGGCACCCTTTTTTTCATTTTAGGACTACAGTTATACATATTTTGGTCTGCTTGATGGTGTTCTACAGGTCTCTGAGGATCTGTTCATTTTTCTTTTCCCATTTTTCTTCTTCTTCCTCAAACTGGATAATCAAAATTAACCTACATTTAACTTTGTTGATTATTTCTTCTGCCTTGCTCAAATCTGCTGTCAAGCCAGTCTGGTGAAATTTTCATTTCTGTTATTGTATTTTTCAACTCCAGAATTTCTATTTGGTTCTTTTCTTATATAATTCCTGTTGCTGTAGTCTCTACTGGGTGGTGAGACATCATTCATATGCTTGCCTTTAGTAAACATGATTTCCTTCCGTTCTTTGAATATATTTTAAATGCTTATTTAATGTCTTTGTCTAGTAAGTCTAAATGCTGGGCTTCCTTAGAGACATTTTTTATTTATTAATTTCCCCCCTATGTACAGGCCATGCTTTATTATTTCTTTGCATGTCTTGTAATTTTTGTTGAAAACTAGATATTTTGTGTAATATAATGTGGCAACCCAGATAATGAGATTCTTCCCTCGCTTTCCCTTCTAGGGTTTGCTTTCATTGTTTGTTGTTGTTTTATTTTGTGACTTTTCTGAACAAATCTTGCAAAGTCTGATTCTTTGTTATGTGTAGCTATTACATTTTTTCTCAGTTAGCTTAGTGGTCACCTAATGTTTGAACAAAGGTTTCCTAAAATGCCTGGAATAAACATATCTCCTAGTCTTTCCTGGGGAGCTTTTTCTTTGTTTTGTGTTCCTATAAGAGAACACCTGAGATGAAGTAATTTATAAAGAAAAGAGGTTTATTTTACTCATGGTTCTGCAGGCTGGAAAGTTCAATATTAGACAGCTGATTTGGTGGCTTCTGCTGAGGTCCTTGTGCTGTGTCAAAAAATGGCAGAGAAACAAAAGGAGAACGAGGTATATGTGAACAGGACAAAACAAGAGAGGTAAACTCACTTTATAACAACCCACTCTCAAGGGAACTTCATAACTAACCCAGTCTTTCAAGAAAGACACCAATCCAACTTAATGACCTAAGCACCTCTTAAAGGCACCATCTCCCAACACCACCAGATTGGGAACCAAGCCTCAAAATAAGTTTTGATGAGGACAAGCCATATTCAAACCACAGCAGGTTCTGTGTGCATGTTGGTGATACCTTCAACACTCAGCCAGACAGTTGACAACTCCACTTTACCCTTTATTTCCTCCTTGTACAGAGCACCAAGGCCAGTCCAAGAAGAAAGCTTACAATCTTCTCAGGTCTTTCCTAAGTATGCACCCCATCCTACATATGTACATGGCCTTCTAGATTTCCAGGAATATGATGGAAATAATCAAAGCCCCTTGGACATCTCATTTCCCAGATTTTCCCTTTAAGCTTTTTATTTAATCTCTTGTTTTCCTCAACTGTTATCCACTGCCTCAGGCAACTCGGTTGCCTTTAATTGTTTCCAATAAATATTTTCATGGAAAAGGATTTTTGCACCGGGCAAGTTCCCAATCAGGTCAAATGAGAACTACTTTGCAAATTGGGTATTCCAGGAAACCACCAGACAGGTAAAATAATGACAATTCTCTGATCACAAGGTTTTGGAAAAGCCCCAGCTCTGTTCTGCTCCCTCCAGGCCGCTGATTTTCACCATGATTACAGCTTGTTGGTTCTCAAGTCTACTGCAGAACCCGAGAGGACAGAATGGGAATTGTACAAGTTAAAATGTCACAAAACTGTTCTTATTGAGATTGCACCATTTTTCTTTAGTAAATGTTCTCTGGATTGCTGCAAGACTTTGGTTAATTTCCAGAGTTCTGAAAGAGTTGATTTTTTTTTCAATTTTTGTCACTTTTCTTGTTGCTTTTATGGAGAGGAGAGTTTTTGGAGGTTCTTACTTTGTTATTTTTGCCAATATTGACCCATCTATAGGAGTTTTTAAAAATTTATATCATCATTTTTTAGTTCTAGAATTTCTATTAATTCTTTTCTATACATTCTATTTCTTTAATAAAATTTTTCATTATGATTTCTATTATCTTTTTACATATTCATTATAGCTATTATAAAGTTTATCTCTAATCCAATAATTAAGTTATTCATTATTTTTCTCAGTGATGCACTTTTCCTCCAGAAGGAATTAGCCTTATCCTCTGTTAGGCATATAGAGTAGAAAATGATCCTTATTTTAATCTGGAATGGATCTGACTTGAAGCAGAGTTTAAGCTTTTTCTGGCTGTCATTGTCTACTGTTTCACTGACATCCTGATCCCTTAAATTTGGCAGCCCCAGATACCATTCTTTGTCTCTCCATGGCCATAAGTTGTTTGCTAGAATTATCAGTCTGTTGCTCTGCCCTAAAAATAAGATAATCTTTAGGAGTAAAGCAACTGGAGAATGTTGGCTCCTCTCTTGTTATTTTCTTTTCATGATCTTGTCTTCTCAAGCTGTCATCACCTTGAGAGTTTTATGATTCCCTCAAGCATATATTTTTTGTAGTTTTTTTTCCTTTGAGAGGGGGTCTTGCTCTGTCACCCAGGCTGGAGTGCGGTGGTGTGATCATAGCTCACTGCAGACTCAGCTTCCTGAGCTCCAGTATTCAAGCAATCCTCCTGCCTCAGATTCCCAAGTAGCTAGGACTATAGGCATGGGCCACCATGCCCAGTTGATTTTTTATTTTTATGGAGTCTGGGTCTTGCTATGTTGCCCAAGCTGGTCTTAAGACTCCTAGGCTCAAGTGATCCTCCTGCCTTGGCCTCCTGAAGTGCTGGGATTGCAGGTATGAGCCACTGTGCCTGGCCTATTTTTTGTATTTTATCTGGCTTTACTCATTATTATTGGAAGGAACATTAATACTGTACAAGCTATTCCATCATAGCCAAAAAGAGGAAGGCAATCTATGGTATTGTTTTTTATTGACAACTGGGGATAGAATTGGAAACTCAGGTCTTTCTACTAGTCTCTTCCTTCATAATCTCTTATTTCAGAAGTGGAAGTTGATATTGGACATCTTCCAGTAGCCAAGTGTATATATTGCATTAATATAGTATGGATCTGGGAGATAACCGAATGATGTGTTATGACTACCATAATCTACCACTTTGACCAGCAAACCATAGTCACTCCTTGTTGGGAGAATACAATGGATCAAACATACATTATGTCTGGGACTAGAAGAAAAATAATTTTATTCCTCTTCAGTTACTATACGGTAATCATTAATCTTAGATACTCCTAGAATTAATGACACTCATTAACCAGTTTATCATTGATGTCATTGTTGTCATAGTAAATTAGAAATGAGGGATTATCTTCATCAATGTCAGTATTTCAAGTAATACCAGCAAGAAATTAATAATAACCTGTATAGATGTGCTTGGGCAGATTCATTTGAGGCTGGGGAGAGAGAATAGCCAAGTACATCAAGTACATGGTCTGGTAAAAGTAAGGCGTCCAGTATGGCCAAAGTGTAGTGTACAATAGCGTGACAGAGAGTAAATGACTAGAATAATGAGTTGATGCCTTTTATTTACTACTTCTCTGCCTCTCGCTGGGTAGAGAGGAGGTAAACAATATCAAATGTTGGCAAGTAACAATATCTTATTATGGCTTTACATTGAAGAATCAAGGCCTATAGTGATTAGTAAGCACATAAAACACAATATTGAGAGTTCTAAGATCATTAGTATAAGAATCAGTCATCCTTAGTTTAAACCTATCTATGTCCCTGATTAAGCCCGTGTAATAATTTAACTATGCATGGAGTGAATGTAAAGCCATAAATACATTTTCTACCTTGTGTATCCCCAACTTAACTTTCCCTTATTTGAATCTCTGAAATATCTATGGTCACTCTATTGCCGCCTAACAAGGGGCAAAATGTATGATGGATGAGAAGTCAGAATGAAGAAATACAACAGTCTTAACAATTTGCTGTTAAATTATCTTACTTTTTGCAGATTGTACAAAAATATATGATGTTAAAAGGCTCCTGCAAGAAGGGGTCCCGAATATTAAGTCTTTTTAGATTAAAGGTAAGTCAGCCTCTGTATAAGGACAATTTCATTCCTATACTTGCTCCTATTTTCTTTCCTTTTTCTCTGGATTTGGCTCTCTCCTATCTTCTTTTTCTTGTCACTCTATTTATTCATCTTTTTTTTGCCTATTTACCAACTGGTTGTAATTTAGAAATGAAAAATATGTATCTTAATATTTTGATGTATTCATTTACGTAATAATGTAAGTTCTGAAGATTTGGAATGTATAAGTGAAAATGTCATTATGCTTTGTTTCTGTAAAATAAAAACTAAACTACATGTTTGGGTTGGGGGCTTTGGTTTTTGTTTTTAGTTCTAAAATTTTTTGATACATTATATTTGAACATATTCATGGGTTATATGTGACATTTTGTTACATGCATGCAATGTAATGATGAAGTCAGGGTGTTTAGGGTATCTATCACCCACAATTTATCATTTTTATGCATTGAGTACATTTCAAGTCCTCTCCTCTAGTTTTTTTGAAAAATACTATACATTGTTGTTAACTATAGTCACCCTACTCTGCTATCAAACACTGGAATTTATTCTTTATATTAGTATAGGTTCATAACCATTAACCAACATCTCTGTATCTCCGTCCACTTCCTAGTCTCTGGTATCTATCATTCTACTCTCTACCCTGATGTGATCAACTTTTTAAACTCCCACATACGAGTGAGAACATGTGATATTTGTTTTTTTGTGCCTGGCTTATTTCACTTAACATTATGACGTCCACTTCCATCCATGTTACTGCAAATGACATGATTTCATCTTTTTAAATGGCTGAATACTTTCATTGTCTATATATAGTACATTTTCTTTATCCATTCATCCATTCATGGACCCTTAGGTTGATTCCATATCTTGGCTCTTGTGAATAGTGCTGCAATAAAGAATGTGTGTATCCCTTTGATACATTACTTTCTTTTCCATTTGGATAAATACTAATTAGTGAGATTGCTTGATTGTGTAGTAGTTCTATTTTTAGTTTTTTGAGAAATCTCCATATTATTTTCCATAGTGGCTGTACTTACTTACATTCCAAGCAATGGTGAATAAGAGTTCCCTTTTCTCCATATCCTTGCCAACACCTGTGGTTTTTTTGTTTTGTTTGTTTGTTTGTTTTGTCTTTTTCATAGTAGCCATCCCAACTGGGGTAAAATGATATCTCATTGTGGTTGTTTGTTTTGCTTTTGTAGTGATGGGATCTCACTACTTTGCTTAGGCTGGTCTCAAACTCCTGGCTCAAGCGATCCTCCCACCTTGGCCTCTGAAAGTGTCGGCATTACAGTCATGAGCCACTGTGGCCTGACTTCATTGTGGTTTTGATTTGCATTTCCCTGATGATTAGTAATGTTGAGCATTCTTTCATGTACCTGTTGACCATTTATATGTCTTCTTTTCTTTCTCTTGCTCTCTCTCATTTTTCTTTTCTCAATGAAGAGAACAAATGCCTGTCTTCTTTTGGGAAATGTCTGTTCATGTTCTTTGCTCATTTTAAAAATGGGGTTATTAATTAATTAATTTAATTATTTATTTTTGAGACTAGATCTTGCCCAGGTTAGTGTGCAGTGGTCCCATAGTTCACTGCAGCATCAAATTCCTGGGTTCAAGCTATCCTTTTGCCTCAGTCCTTCAGCTGGGACTACAGGCTCATGTCACCATACCAGGCTATTTGGTTCTTTTTAATTTTAGTAAGAGACTGAGGTCTAGCTATGCTTCCTGGGCTGATCTTGAACTCCTGGACTCAAGAGATCCTCCTGCTGTAGGCCCCCAAAGTGCTGACATTACAGGCATTAGCCACCACACCTGGCCAGGATTATTTATTTTTTTACTATGAAGATGTTTGATTTCCTTGTATATTCTGGATATTCATCCCCTGTTGGATGAGTAGCTTGCATATATTTTCTCCCATTTAAGAGGTTTTCTCTTCACCCTGTAGATTGTTTCTTTTGCTGTGCAGAAGCTTTTTAGTTTAATATAGTTCCATTTGTCCATTTTTGGTTTTGTTACTGGTGCTTTTGAGATCTTAGTCATAAAATCTTTGCCTAGACCTATTTCCTGAAGAACTTTTTCTATGTTTTCTTCTAGCAGATTTATAGTTTCAGGTATTACATTTAAGTCTTTAATCTATCTTGAGTTGATTTTTGTATATGGTGAGAAGTAGGGGTCCAGTTTCATTCTTCTGCATATGGTTATCCAGTGTTCCCAGCACCATTTATAGAAAAGGATGTCATATCCCCAATGAATATTCTTCATAGCTTCATTGAATGTAAGTCAGCTATAAATATGTGGATTTATTTCTGGGTTTTCTATTCTGTTCTATTCTTTTTTAAAAAAAATTTATTTCTATAGGTTATTGGGAAACAGGTGGTGTTTGGTTACATGAGTGAGTTCTTTAGTGAAGATTTTTGAGACTTTGGTGCACCCATCACCCAAGCAGTATACACTGCAACCAATTTGTAATCTTTTATCCGTCACCCCCTTCCCACCCTTTCCTGCAGAGTCCCCAAAGTCCATTGTGCCATGCTTATGCCTTTGCATCCTCATAGCTTAGTTCCCACTTATGAGTGAGAACATACGATGCCTGGTTTTCCCTTCCTGAGTTACTGCACTTAGAATAATAGTCTCCAATCTCAAACAGGTCACTGCAAATGCCATTAAATCATTCCTTTTTATGGCTGAGTAGTATTCCATCATATATATATATTCCATCATATATATATATATATTCCATCATATATATATATATATTCCATCATATATATATATTCCATCATATATATATATATATTCCATCATATATATATATATATATATTCCATCATATATATATATATATATATTCCATCATATATATATATATATATATATATTCCATCATATATATATATATATATATATATATATATATATCAAAGTTTCTTTATCCACTCATTGGGTTACTTCCACATTTTTGCAATTGTGAATCGTGCTGCTATAAATATGTGTATGCAAGTATCTTTTTTGTATAATGACTTCTTTTCCTCTGGGTAGATACCCAGTAGTGGGATTGCTGGATCAAATGGTAGTTCTACTTTTAGGACTCTTTAAGGAAACTCCACACTGTTTTCCATAGTGGTTGTACCAGTTTACATTCCCACCAGCAGTGGAAAATTGTTCTCTGTTCACCACATCCTTGCCAACATCTATTATTTTTTGATTTTTTGATTAAGGCCATTCTTTCAGGAGTGAAATGGTATTGCATTGTGGTTTTGATTTGCATTTTCCTGATTATTAGTGATGCTGAGCAATTTTTCTTATGTTTGTTGGCCATTTGTATGTCTTTTTTTGAGAATTGTCTATTCATGCCCTTAACTCATATTTTATGGGATTGTTTGTTTTTTACTTACTAATTTGTTTGGGTTCATTG
This sequence comes from Homo sapiens, assembly GCF_000001405.40. Lineage (NCBI taxonomy): Eukaryota > Metazoa > Chordata > Mammalia > Primates > Hominidae > Homo > Homo sapiens. Next base: position 4,454,643 of record NT_113891.3, read on the forward strand.
TAGATTCTGGATATTAGTCCTTTGTCATATGTATAGATTGTGAAGATTTTCTCCCACTCTGTGGGTTATCTGTTTACTCTGCTGACTGTTCCTTTTGCCGTGCAAAAGCTCTTTAGTTTAATTAAGGTCTCAGCTATTTATCTTTGTTCTTATTGCATTTACTTTTGGGTTCTTGGTCATTAAATCCTTGCCTAAGCCAATGTCTAGAAGGGTTTTTCCGATGTTATCTTCTAAAATTCTTATAGTTTCAGGTCTTAGATTTATGTCCCTGATCTACCTTGAGTTGATTTTTGTGTAGAGTGAGAGACATGGATCCAGTTTTATTCTCCTACATGTGGCTTGCCAATTATCCCAGCTCAATTTGTTAAATAGGGTGTTTTTTTACCACTTTATGTTTTTGTTTGCTTTGTCAAAGATCAGTTGGCTGTAAGTATTTGGGTTTATTTCTGGGTTCTCTATTCTGTTTTATTGGTCTATGTGCCTACATTTATACCAGTACCATGCTGTCTTGGTGACTATGGCCTTATATTATATTTTGAAATCAGGTAATGTGATGCCTCCAGATCTGTTCTTTTTGGTTAGTCTTGCTTTGGCTATGTGGGCTCTTTTTTGGTTCCATATGAAATTTAGAATTGTTTTTTCTAGTTCTGTGAAGAATGATGGTGGTATTTTGATGGGAATTGCATTGAATTTGTGACTGCCTTTTGCAGTATAGTCCTTTTCACAATATTGATTCTACCCATCCATGAGCATGGGATGTGTTTCCATTTGTTTGTGTCATCTATGATTTCTTTCAGCAGTGTTTTGTAGTATTCCTGGTAGAGATTTTTAGCCTCCTTGGTTAAGTATATTCCAAGCATTTTTTAAATTTATTTTCGGGAAACTATTGTAAAAGGGATTGAGTTCTTGATTTGATTCTCAGCTTGGTCATTGGTGTATAGTAGTGCTACTTATTTGTATACATTTATTTTGTAACCTGAAAATTTGCTGAATTCATTTTTCGGATCTAGGAGCTTTTTGGATGAGTCTTTAGGGTTTTTGAAGTATATGATCATATCATTAGTGAACAGTGATGGTTTGACTTTCTCTTTACCTATTTGTATGTCCTTTATTTCTTTCTCTTGTCTGATTATTCTGGCTAGGACTTCCAATCCTATGTTTTGTCTTTTTTTTTTTTAATTTGTAACTTCCCTTTTCTTTTTCTTTTTTTATTTTTATTATTATTATACTTTAAGTTTTAGGGTACATGTGCACAATGTGCAGGTTAGTTACATATGTATACATGTGCCATGCTGGTGTGCTGTACCCATTAACTTGTCATTTAGCATTAGGTATATCTCCTAATGCTAACCCTCCCCCCTCCCCCCACCCCACAACAGTCCCCAGAGTGTGATGTTCCCCTTCCTGTGTCCATGTGTTCTCATTGTCCAATTCCCACCTATGAGTGAGAACATGCGGTGTTTGGTTTTTTGTCCTTGCGATAGTTTACTGAGAATGATGATTTCCAATTTCATCCATGTCCCTACAAAGGACATGAACTCATCATTTTTTATGGCTGCATAGTATTCCATGGTGTATATGTGCCACATTTTCTTAATCCAGTCTATCATTGTTGGACATTTGGATTGGTTCCAAGTCTTTGCTATTGTGAATAGTGCCGCAATAAATATACGTGTGCATGTGTCTTTATAGCAGCATGATTTATAGTCCTTTGGGTATATACCCAGTAATGGGATGGCTGGGTCAAATGGTATTTCTAGTTCTAGATCCCTGAGGAATTGCCACACTGACTTCCACAATGGTTGAACTAGTTTACAGTCCCACCAACAGTGTAAAAGTGTTCCTATTTCTCCACATCCTCTCCAGCACCTGTTGTTTCCTGACTTTTTAATGATCGCCATTCTAACTGGTGTGAGATGGTATCTCATTGTGGTTTTGATTTGCATTTCTCTGATGGCCAGTGATGGTGACCATTTTTTCATGTGTTTTTTGGCTGCATAAATGTCTTCTTTTGAGAAGGGGTGAAAGTCAGCATTCTTGTCTCCTTCCAGTTCTCAAGGGGAATGCTTTCAACTTCTCCCTGTTCAGTATAATTCTTTCTGTGGGTTTGTCATAGATGGCTTTCATTAAGTTGATGTATGTCCCTTCTATGCCAATTTTGCTCAGGGTTTTAATTATAAAGCGATGGTAAATTTTGTCAAATGTTTTTTCTGTGTCTTTTGAGTTGATGATGTGATTTTTGTATTTAACTGTGTTTATGTGATGTATCACATTTATTGACTTGCATATGTTAAACCATCCCTGCATCCCTGGTATGAAACCCACTTGATCATGGCGTATTATCTTTTTGACATGCTGTTGGATTCAGTTAGCTAGTGTTTTGTTGAGGATTTTTGCACCTATGTTCATCAGGGATATTGGTATGTGGTTTTCCTTTTTTTCTGCCTATTCCCAGTTTTAGTGTTAGGGTGATACTGGCTTCATAGAATGAATTAGGGAAAATTCTCTCTTTCTCTATCTTTTTGAATAGTTTCAGTAAGATTGATACCAATTCTTCTTTGACTGTCTGATAGAATTCAGCTGTGAATACATCTGGTCCTGGACTTTTTCTTTTGGGCAGTTTTTAAATTATTATTTTAATCTCACTACTTGCTATTGGCCTGTTCAGAGTTTCTATTTCTTCCTGATTTAATCTAGGAGGGTTGTATATTTCCAAGAATTTGCCCATCTCCTCTAGACTTTCTAGTTTGTCTGCATAAAGGTGTTCATAGTAGCCTTCAATGATCTTTTGTATTTCTGTGGTATCGGTTGCAATATCTCCTGTCTCATTTCTAATTGAGCTTATTTGGATCTTCTCTCTTCTTTTCTTGGTTAATCTTGCTAATGGTCTGTCAATTTTGTTTATTTGTTCAAAGAACCAGCTTTTCATTTCATTTATCTTTTGTATTCTTGGTTTCAATTTCATTTATTTCTGCTCTGAAATTTATTTCAATTTCATTTATTTCTTTGCTATTTATTTTATTCTGATGGGTTTGGGTTTGGTTTGTTCTTGTTTCTCTGGTTCCTTGAAGGGTGACCTTAGATTGTCTATGTTGACTTTTTGATGTCTAGATTGACTTTTTGATGTAGGCATTTAATGCTATGAACTTTCCTCTTAGCACCACTTTTGCTGTCTCCCAGAGTTTTTGTTTTTGTTTTGTTTTGTTTTTTTGAGAGTTTCGCTCTTGTTGCCCAGGCTGGAGTACAGTGGCACAATCTTGGCTCACTGCAACCACCACCTCCTGGGTTCAAGCAATTCTCCTGCCTCAGCCTCCCGAGTAGCTGGGATTATAGGCACACACCACCACACCCGGCTGATTTTTGTATTTTTAGTAGAGATGGGGTTTCATCATGTTGGCCAGGCTGGTCTCGAACTCCCGACCTCAGGTAATCCACCCACCTCGGCCTCCCAAAGTGCCAGGATTACAGGTGTGAGCCACCGTGCCCGGCCTTCCTAGAGTTTCTGATAAATTGTGTCACTATTATGGTTCAGTTCAAAGATTTTTAAAATTTCCATCTTGATTTCATTGTTGACCTAAAGATCATTCGGGAGCAGATTATTTAATTTCCATGTATTTGTATAGTTCTGAGAATTCATTTTGGATTCAATTTCCAGTTTTATTCCACTGTAGTCTGAGAGGGTACATCATATAATTTTGATTTTCTTAAACTTATTGAGACTTGTTTTGTGGCCTACCATAACATCTGTCTTGGAGGATGTTCCACATGCTGATGAAAATAATGTATATTCTGCTGTTGTTGAGTAGAATGTTCTGTAAATATCTGTTAAGTCCATTTGTTCTACAGTGATATGGTTTGGATCTGTGTCCCCACCCAAACCTCACCTTGTAGCTCCCATAATTCCCACGTGTTGTGGGAGGCACCCTGTGGGAGATTACTGAATTATGGGGGTGGGTCTTTCCAGTGCTGTTCTTGTGACAGTGAATGGGTCTCAGTTGATCTGATAGTTCTGAAAACGGAGTTGCCCTCACAAGCTCTCTCTTTGCCTGCCACCATCCAAGGAAGATGAGACTTGCTCCTCCTTGCCTTCCACCATGATTGTCAGGCTTCCCCAGCCATGTGGAACTGTAAGTCCAATTAAACCTTTATCTTTTGTAAATTGCCCAGTCTCAGTTATGTCTTTATCGGCAGTGTGAAAACAGAATAATACAGTAAATTGGTACCGGTAGAGTGGGGCACCACAGAAAAGATACCCAAAAATGTGGAAGTGACTTTGGAACTAGGTAACAGGCAGAGGTTGCAAGAGTTTGGAGGGCTCAGAAGAAGACAGGAAAATGTGGGAAAATGTGGAACTTTCTAGAGACTTGTTGAATAATGATATGGACAATGAAATCCAGGCTGAGATGGTTTCAGATGGAGATGAGGAACTTGTTGGGAACTGAAGCAAAGGTGACTCTTGTTATGTTTTAGCAAAGACACTGGTGGCATTTTGCCCCTGCCCTAGAGATTTGTGGGACTTTGAACTTGAGAGAGATGATTTAGGGTATCTGGCAGAAGAAATTTCTAAGCAGCAAAGCATTCAAGAGGTGACTGGAGTGCTGTTAAAAGCATTCAGTTTTAAAAGGGAAACAGCATAAAAGTTTGAAAAATTTGCAGCCTGACAATGCGATAGAAAATAAAATCCCATTTTCTGAGGAGAAATTCAAGCCAGCTGCAGAAATTTGCATAAGTAACAAAGAGCCAAATGTTAGTGCCCAAAACAAGTCCCTTCCGCTGCTTCCTCTACCCCTGTGTTTCCCTCAGCTTCTAAATGGACTCAGCTCCAGTTCAGGTCAGAATCTTCTCCCATGATCTACACCTTCAGGTTCCCCAGTGAGGTATGCATTCAAGGGTGGAAGATCCCCCTTTCCCACCTCCACAGTTTGGGCACTCACAGTATTTGGGATGTCTCCCAGGTCCTGCAGGAGCAATCTGCTCCCTTCAGAGGGTCTGTGGGTTCTCTCAGCTTTCCCAGTCATTCCTGCAATAGGTCTGGAGCAAAAGTTCATGATGCAAGACTCCACAAGCTGCTCTGTCCATCCAAGTTGGAGGGGCAATGTATAATGCCTCCCATCCACCATGATTCTGTCCCCTATTCTGTTGTATTCTATTGGTCTATGTGTCTGTTTTTTATACCAGTACTCTACTCTTTTGGTTACTACAGCCTTGTAAAATGTTTTGAACTCAGGTATTGTGATACTTCCAGCTTTGTTCTTTTTGCTCAGGATGGCTTTGCCTATTCAGGATCTTTTATGGTTCTATACAAATTTTAGGATTGTTTTTTATATTTTTGTGGAAAGTGACATTGGTATCTTGATAGGGATCACATTAAATCTGTAGATTGCTTTGGGCCATATGGTCATTTTAATGATATTAATTCTTCTGATCCATTAGCATGGAATTTCTTTCCATTTGTTTGTGTCCACTTCAATTTCTTTCATCAGTGTTTTGTAGTTTGCCTTGTAGGGATCTTTCATCTCTTTGGTAAAATTTATTCCAAGTATTTTATCATATTTTTTGTAGCTATCATAAATGGAATTCTCTTCTTCATTTCTTTTTCAGCTATTTCATTGTTGGTGAATAGAAATGCTACTTATTTCTGCATATTAATTTTGTATCCTGCCAAGTCTACTGAATTGGCTTATCAGTTCTAAGAGTGTTCTGGTGGAGTGTTTGGTTTTTCTAAATATAAGATTATTTTGGAACTTGCTTTATGAGCTCTTGCCAGGAAGATGGCAGATAGGAGACAGGGCTGATGTGCAGCCCCCCTTGGATAGATAGAATAGTACTATGTTGAGTAGGAGGGGTGAACATGTGTATACTTGTCTTTTCCCAGTTCCTAAAGAAAAAGCTTTCAACTTTTCACCATTCTGTATGATGTTAGCTGTGGGTTTTGTCACATAGAGCCTTTATTATATTAAGGCATGATCCTTTTATGCCTAGTTTGTTGAGAGTTTTTATTACGAAAAGGTGTTGAATTTTATCAAATGCTTCTTCTGCATTTATTGAGATAGTCATATGGATTTTGGCCTTCATCATGTTGATGTGATGTATCACATTCATTGATTTGTGTATGTTGAAATATCCTTGCATCCTTGCTGTAAATCCTACTTGATCACATTATATTATTGTTTTGATCTACTGTTGGATTCGGTTTGCTCCTATTTTGGTAAGTATTTTTCCATCTGTATGTATCAGGATATTCACCTGTAGTTTTCTTTCTTGGAGCATCCTTGTCTGGGTTTGCCATTAGGGTAATGCTAGCCTCACAGAATGAGTTTGGGAGAATTCCCTCTTCTTCAACTTTTTGGACCAGTTGGAGGAAAATCGGTGGTGGTTCTCTGAAAGTTTGGTGGAATTCATCAGTGAAACTATATGCTCTTGGATTTTTCTTTTTTGGGAGATTTTTTATTACTGATTCCATTTCAGTACTCAGTATTAGTCTGTCCAGATTTTCTTTCTTCCTGATTCAATCTTGGTAAGTTGTATGTTTCCAGAAATTTATCCATTTCCTCTTGTTTCTCCAGTTTGTTACCATATATTTGTTCATAATGGTTTCTGATTATCTTTTGTATTTATGTGGGATCTGTTGTAATAGCTTCTTTTTCATTTATGATATGGTTTACTTGGGTATTCTCTTTTCTTTTCTTGGTTAGTCTAGTGTGGGGGTTCAGTCAGGATGGTGGGAGAAATTGTAAAATTATAGGATATAGACACAAACCTTCTTGGAAGGCCAGAAGGTATTTGCAAAAGTCTCAAGATAGGGTTATGGCTGAAAGCAGCGTAATCCTTACCTTGAGTTAATTGCTTGGGGCACAGATACAAAGGAACATTTATCTAAATAGCTTGTTTACTCATGTGGTCGTAAGACCAACATTTGTTCAACTGCAGATGCATAATTGCTCTCTACTTGGGGGGGTCGGCAAACAGGTCAATTGCCCTCTAGTGGTGTGAACAAATGCGAGCTTTGCTGGTTGATCAGGGCCATAGATGCAACTCTTTACAGCACCTTCCTTGGTGTCTGTGTGTGGCCTGGACCCTCAGCTGAACTGACAAGCAAGATATCTGTGTCAGTGTACACCTCTCATCCATTACTGGGTCAGGGTCTGTGGGTCAGACTACCACAGCTGGTGCCCCGCATGAGGAATGCTGCAAAGGGAGATTGATGAACCCCCTGAAAATGAAGGTGAAAAAGGAACTGCGCAGTCAGTGAGTAATCAGTAAGTCATTGGTACTTGCTTGGGATTTCCAAGTTCGGGGCGGGGGATTGTTCAGGCTAAGGTTTCATCATGGGACAACAGTTATCAGCTCAACAGAAACAGTATATAAAAGTATTGAAATGGCTGCTTAAAGCTAGCAGAGCCTCAGTTTCACAGGTTTAATTAAGGAACCTAATGCAAACTGTTGTATCCCATAACCCATGGTTCCCCCAAGAAGGCATGCTAGACCTAGAGCTCTGGGAACGAGTGGGAAAAAATCTTAAGCAACATCATGTTCAAGGGTAACGGGTCCCAGTATCATCTTTAATGCTATGGGCCTTAGTAAGGGCGGCTTTGGTCCCATTATACACAGAAGAGCCTAAAAAGGGGAAGGACAAGGCACCATCATGTATTTTACCACCCGCAAGTTCCTCAGCCCTGATATCACCAGGCCAAAATAACAAAGAGGAAATGGAGGTTTTGCCTGAGCCCCCTCCTCCAATAGATAGGAAAAAAGACAGGAGACATGCTCCAGCTATGGGACCTTGTCTTAAGCAAGTGGCATTGGAAGGGGAGCTCTTAGCCTGCCTGGTAATGCAAGACCGACAAGGCAATCAGGTACATGAACCCATTTCTTTTAATGCTTATAAGGAGCTAAGAAAAAGCATTAAAGAAAACAGAGCTGCTAGCCCATTTATGAAAGGAATGATTGAGGCCTTGGCAGACCACTTTTCTATGACCCCATGGGACTGGGCAATGCTAACCAAAACAACTTTGGAGCCTAGCCAATACCTCCTCTGGAAGGCAGAATATGATGAGCTGTGTGAACAATAAGCTAACCAGAATCAGGCGACGGGGCAAGACCTAACAGCTGCTATGCTCCAGGGGAAGGATCCCATGCCTATGTACAACGACTAGATTTTGATTCCCCAGGCCTAAAATCAAGTGTCTTTGTGTGCTCTCAGGGCTTGGGACTGAATTCCTGAAAGTGGAGTTTAGCAGGGATCTTTTATAAATGTTCAACAAGGGCCTCAGGAGCCATTTGTTGAGTTTTTCAATTGGTTAACCCAGGCAATTAAGAGACAAATTAGTCACGCCCAGGCTGCTGATATCTTATTGTTGCAATTGGCTTTTGAAAACTCTCATGTGGATCACCAGCAGGCAATGCAGGCAATCAGAGGAAAGGCAGCCACAGTCGGGGAACTTATATGAGCATGTCAGCTGGTGGGAACTGAGACACACAAGCCAAAATATTGGTTATGGCATTAAGGCCTCCTAAAGTGAAAAGGGAGAGAAGCCAAAGTTGTTTTCTATGTGGAGAGCCAGATCATATGAAGAGGGAATGCCCCCATAATAGAGACGAAGGTAACTCAGGGAAAGAACCCCCTTCTATATGCCCCGGATGTAAAACGGTGAAACATTGGGCAAATCAATGCAGGTCAAAATTTGATAAAAACAGAAACCCCATAAGTAACCAGGTGGGAAACTTCATGACGGGCTGGCCCTAGGCCCTGCTTCAAACTGGGGCAATCCCACCAGCTTTCCTCGGTCTGATGGAGAGCTCACAGTCCTCTCTCTCAGAGCAGCCACCACTGGGAGTGCAGGACTGGACTTACTCTGCCCCAACAAATCAGTGCTGAAAGAAGGAGAAGACCCTAAAAGGGCTGCATACGGGATCTGGGGCCAGCTGCCTCCAGAAGCAGTGGGATTAGTCCTAGGGCGGTCTAGCCTGTCCAGTAAAGGAATTAATGTGCTCACTGGGGTAATTGGTAGTGATTACCAAGGTGAGATATTGGTTATGATGGAATGTAAAGGTCTGAATATTCTTCCCCCTGGATCAAAGATAGCTCAGTTACTGATTTTGCCATACTGGGTCCCCAGTGCCCACGGAAAGGAAAGGGGAAAGGAAGTTTTGGGAGCACAGGAGCCACAGGAGTATATGGGAATCAATTAATCACTGATCAGAGACCCATGATTATCTTAAAAATTGGAAATAATAATTTTACTGGCTTATTGGACACAGGGGTGGACGTTTCAATCATTAGTGATCAAAACTGGCTAGAAATTTGGCCTTGGGTCACTCAGAAATAAAAAATTGTCTGCATCAGGGAAGCACACAGAGCCAAGCAGAGCATGCACTCCCTAACCTGTTGCAATTCAGAAGGAAGAAAGGCAGTTATACAACCCGTAAGCATGCGCATCCCTGTTAATCTTTGGGGACAGGATTTATTAGCCCAATGCGGGAGGGGTGACTCTCAGCCCCCTTTATAACAATGGCCACTGTTATTATTCCTCCCCTACCCCCGTCGTAGCTCTCTCAAGATCCAATTTGAGTAGAACAGTGGCCTCTGAAGGGAGAGAAATTACAAAAAGCCTGTGAATTAGTTGAAGAGCAATTAAAAGCTGGGCATGTAGAACCATCTATTTGTCCTTGGAATTTGCCCATTTTCATCATTCCCAAAAAGTCTGGGAAATGGAGATTTTGCATGACCTATGTGCTGTTAATGCTAATTTGCAACCTATGGGACCCCTTCAACAGGGCCTCCCATCCCCTGTGGCGATTCCTCGAGATTGGCCTATAATCATTATTGACTTAAAGGACTGCTTTTATATGATTCCCCCAGCAGAACAGGACAGAGAAAAATTTGCATTTACAATACCAGCTATCAATAATGAAAGGCCAGCTTGTTGATTTCATTGGAATGTGCTTCCTCAAGGGATGCTAAACAGTCCTACCAAGTGTCAGTATCATGTAAATCAAGCTTTGCTCCCAGTAGAAAAGAATTTCCTAATTGCAAGATTATTCGTTTTATGAATATTTTACCAGCAACCCCAACAGAGCCAATACTTTTAAATTTATATACCTCTGTCATAAAGAATAAACAGCTAAGAGGTTTAATCATTGCACCTGAAAAAGTACAACTTTCTCTCCTTGGAAATATATCTTGGGTACATGCTAACTTCCTGGTCAGTAAGACCTCAAAATGTTAAATTAAATACTAGCAACTTACATTCCTTAAATGATTATCAGAAATTACTAGGTGATATCAACTGGCTCTGCCCCACTTTAGGCATTCCTACTTATAAGCTGCAAAACCTGTTTTCTATCTTAAAGGGCAATATAGCCCTGAATTCTCCCAGATATTTAAACCCTGCAGCAAAAAGGGAAATTGAGGAAATAGAACAAGCCATCTCTCAGAGGCAACTAGATCACATAGACACCCATTATTTCATCCAGTTGTTTATTTTCCCCACCAAACACTCCCCTTCAGGATTAATAGGACCGATGACCCCAGGACTGCGCTTTCTAGAATGGATTTTTTTTTGCTCACATACCAGGACTAAAACACTCTTTCCCTACATTCAGTTAATTAGTAAAGTCGTATATTCAGGCCTCAAACAATGCAGTCAGTTGCTAGGCTATGATCCTGATATCCTGAAATCATCAGGATTCCTTTAAGTAAAAAGCAATTAGAAGCAGTTTTGTCCCTATTGTTAGATCTGCAAATAGCTCTCTCTGATTACACAGGACAAATAGAGCATGTTCTTCCTGCTGATAAATTCCTTCATTTCTTATCTCATACTCCTGTGATCTTGCCTACAAAAATAGTTCACTCCTCCATACCTAATGCTTTAACATTGTTTTCTGATGATTCAGGCAAACATGGAAAGGCGGCAATCTGGTGGAGACCACATAATTCACTCACTCAATCTGGGTTTACTAGCATTCAGAGAGGTGAGATCGGGGCCCTGATATTGGCCTTGGAAACTTTTTCTACTCAGCCATCAATATAGTTAGTGATTCTGCCTACTTTGTTTATTTATTGCAAAATCTTGAAGCAGCCGTAATTAAGTCCACTCTGGAGCCTGCCCTGTGTGCTCTTTTTCTCTGATTTCAGCAATTGCTAGATCAATGTACACATCCTATTTTTATTACACACATTCGAGTCCACAGCTCACTGCCTGGCCCACTGGCTTATGGCAGTGATCAAGGAGACCTTCAGGTGATGACATCACTGCTTGACCAAACCACCCAATCGCATCAATTTTTCCACCAAAATTGGAGAAACTTATCTAAGCAATTTCAACTTACCCAGAGACTGGCTAAACAAATTATCCCACAATTCTCAAATTGCCAGCTAACAGGCATGTCCCCTCCTTCAAAAGGTGTTAACCCTAGAGGATTAGAACCTAATCAGTTATGGCAAATAGAAGTTACATCCCTGAAATTGGAAAACTAAGATATGTACATGTATCCATTGATACCAGCACTCATCTAATTAGTGCACACGCTCTTCCTTGGAGAGTCCACTCAATATGTCATTAAACATCTTCTTTCAACTTTTGCATGTATGGGGCGGCCCATAAAAATTAAAACTGATAATGGTCCAGTTTATGCCAGCTCACAATTTCAACAATTTTGTCACACGTGGAATATCCAACGTTCCATAGGCATCCCGTATAACCCCCAAGGACGGGCCATAGTAGAACGTGCCCACTCCAGCCTTAAAAATATGCTCAAAAAACAGAAAAGGGGGAGTATGGGTAAAGACCCTGCAACACTATTGGCACAAGCCTTATTTACCCTTAATTTTTAAAATGTAGATGACAAATTTCAATCAACTATAGAGAAACACTTTTTGCTAAAACCTCTCAAGACATAAAACCTGCAGTTTTATGGAAAGATGTAAGCAGTAATGTATGGTGTGGTCCAAATGAATTGTTAACTTGGAGAAGAGGGTATGCTTGTGTCCACACCCCCTCAAGTCCTCTTTGGATTCCAGCAAGACACATCAAACCATACCATGACATGGCTAGGACTCAACCCGGTACCAGAAATGAAGGAACTAACCCTGCAGGACCCACGGTCCCGGATGATGCAGCTTCCGTGGATGACACAAACCCTAGACATTACTGGGGGATGCTGAAGAGGACAACTCAGGAGGCTGAATGAACCCTGCTCTGGACACAGACACCATTCACTCCAGATAATTTGCTCCTTGCTATGATTTCTGTTGTACATTGCAACTCATGTAGGGTATTGATCCTTTTTATGCTCGTGCTTTGTCTGCAACCTGTTCCTGCTACACTCTATTGGGCTCATATCTTAGATCCGCCTTTCTTTCACCCTGTCACCTAGGCAGACACTCCCTTCCCAACTTTTAATAACATAACTGCTTGGCTAGGAGGGATAGATTTACCCCCAGTGGGGTCCCTCGATAATGGCATACACTGGACTAACGTGCCAGACACACTACATATCACTCCACTATCCTCCCACTGTGTGTAAGTTATAAAGATTATAACCCTTACTGTGTACCTGCCCAAACACAATTATGGCTACATCATGGCAAAAGAAATGCCTTTAAAGTCTTAGCTGCAGGTAGCTTCAAATCAGGTAATGCAATCAATGATTCTTTCCCGAACATTCCTTCCTGTGCTAAAGAATAAAGCTGGGAAAGTAATGGATTCCACTTTAGCTGGGAGGTCTGTCACGGGGAATAAGCTTGTAGCCTCCAGCTAGGCCATTATAATACCTTAGACTGGAGCCCCCACGGCCATTTTCAGGGCATCCTTACTGATGTCCTCATCTATCATGGTGTTAATCACAGTTTTGTAGCCTCATCACGTTCCCCTATGATTTAGGCCAATGGGGGGGATGGGTTATCCCATACCCCAAGTAAAGTCCATGCTACCCAAGACACTTTACGGTACCTGGGACATCTTAGCACCTCCTTTTCACCTGGCATGGGACATATCATAATTCCAGTGGCAAATACACTATAACCTTTATTCATAATCACACTGATCAGTGCCTAATTTATACTACCCATACATATATTTTCCTTATGGAAACTGATACTTCCATTACACCCCAAAACTCCGCATTTGTGACCCAGGTGCAGGAACAGGCTTGGTTTGCCTCATGTATCACTAATTATAATACATCTAATTTAAATATTACTAGTGTCATGGTATTAAGGAGACAATCTGAGGCATTCCTACCCAGTCAATTTGACATGCGATTGGCAAAGTTCCTCTGCCCTTGCCACCTAAGAATGTGCCCTGTCCTAGGCCAGACCCAAAAGATACATAGGCACACTTACAGCCTTTATAGTCTCAGCCACAGTCATCCTAGCAACTGCTAGTGTGGCTGTAGCAGCTATTACTGAATCACTACAAATAGGTGCTTTTGTAGATAATTTGGCCAGAAACGTGTCTAATGAACTTCTCTTACAGCAGGGTCTAGAGCAAAAGATTCTTGCACGTCTGCAAGCCCTTGAGGTCCTTGAGGCTGCCCTGGAATATATGGGGGAGTAACAAGATGCACTGGCATTCTAACAGCAATTAAACTGCGACTGGGCGCATAAACATATCTGTGTCACTTCTCTATCATAGAGTCAATCAATACATAGTTGGGATGAAGTGAAACAACACCTCTGGGGAACAATTCATGACAATTTAATAGCAGATGTAAAGCAACTTCAAACTAAAATTTTAGAATCCCTTCCCACTATAGATCTACACACCCAACAAACAGCCATATGGAAGGGTGTGCAAGATCATCACTCCTGGTTAGACCCCCGCTCCTGGGGTTCACTCTTTGACTGGAAAAGAATATTGCTAATTATTCTCATGATTGTCTTATGTTATTTGCTAATTCTAGGATGCAAAGCCGGAATAAAAGCGATGACTGCCTTGCCTGACAGACGTGTTGCTGCACACAACTGTACACTTCAGTCAACAGAAGAGTGTGTGCACTAATTAGATAAGTGTTCGTATCAATGGATACATGTACATATCTTAGTTTTCCAAATTCAGGGATGTAACTTCTGTTTGCCATAACTGATTAGGTTCTAATCCTCTAGGGTTAACACCTTTTGTGTTAGAACCTGTGAAGTAGAAGTAACTCAGAAGTGCTCCTCAGAGAGTAGACAGCTCTTTCTCTAACCATTTCCAGCTCAGTAGAATTTAGAAAGGCTTCTAGGAGGCCAACCAGTCTTTTTGATCCAACATTGAATTGTAAAACCGGATATGGAAGCCAAATTTCACAGTGGATCTAACAAAGTAGCTAATGGGTACTATGCTTCTGAGAACCTGAACAGGCATCTGAGAGCTGTAACTAGAAGAAAAGTAAAGACTCCGGACTCCAGCACCAAGCAGGTTTTCCTTAGCAATTTACAACCTGAAGCTCCAAGGAAAAACTATTTTAGCATACACCAAAACTATTCCCATGTGCCAACAGGTAAGGAGACTTGTACTTATATTCTGTTTTATTCTTCTCTAACTCGTTTCTGTGCACTATTTCTATGTTTTCTCCTTAGTTTTACCTTGCCTGGGTTTGCCCATTTGTTATTCATATCTATTTATCAATCCCAAAATACTAAAAGGATCCAGGCAGGGCAGCTTTAATTGGTGGCTGCACAGAGTGCTACTTCCTGTGAGGCAGCAATTCTAACCCTAGTTGGCATACACTTCAGATTTTCTCAACAGCAGAAGATGTAACCTTCCCAAGAACCCACTTCAACCCTCAGTTCTCTCACTTCTATGTCCACGTGACACTCTGATACATTTTCCCACTATGAAAAGAACTGTTCTCTTGATAGCATGCCATACCTCTCCCTTCTCTGCAACTCACTCAGGACAATCTCAGTACCTTTATTACCTGGTCACAAGTGAGGATGCTTCACACTCAAATCTCATTGGCTGGAGGGAAAGTCATTAAGCAGAAGTGATAATTCTTGTCATCACAGCTTTCTCCAAACCTTCTCCATCGGCATTTTACTCTCACTCTTAGAGCTTAGCTTCAACCATCAAACAGACAGTTGAGTGTTCAACAGTCCCTTTATGGGACAGATTTTTTTAGTTGACTGTGTATTCTAACCCTGAGCAATGGGGCCCCTGGCTAAGAGAGAGAAGGGAAAGCAGAGAGGGAAGTGTTGCAATGCTACCTTTTCAGAGAGGAAATAGAGACAAATAGTTTTTATGGGTGTAATACACAGCCTCCACTGTCCCACAATAAGAGCAATTGAGCTTAAATACCAAAAAGGGCTTTTCTATGTGAGCTGAAAACAGAAAGAGAGAGCAAATGGGAGGATGGGCTGGAGTAATCTTGTTTGAAGTTCTCTCATCCTAAGGAAGAACCTTTTCTTCCTCTGTCATACACGAGTGCTTAGGGCTTACATAAGCCCCATCTGCACGCTGCTAGGAGCAGATCATCCTACTCAAGACAATAAAAAAGGAATCATCATGTACCTTACATATTTAGAGATACGTGCGTACACTTTTCTCATAAATAAAGCAACACACCCCTGCCTGACCTCCTAGGACCTCCATAGTTGAGGTATAGTTATTTGGAGTCAGAGATTCTTAAACCAATCCTGGTTCTGCTTTTTTCACTTCACCAAACCAAACTTGACCAGATTCTTTAATGGCTCCAAAATCACAACCCTTTGAACTATTTTACTCCTGTTTTCCATTTTCCTTTATACCTCTGTCCAGGTGGTACAGATTTTTCTTAAAAATCTATGTCTGAGTGTACAGAGCTTCAAGTAAAGTTCAAGAAGGGAATAGGAGATCTATCACCTTCCTTATTACAGAAATATTGCTGATATTAATGCAGGCTAATGTTATATTAAGTCCCTTGACAGGTATATCAAACTATTTGGTCTTATCCAGTTGGTGGTCAACCAGATAGTTATAAGTGAGATGGAGAGACAGGTCATTCTCTTCCCATAGCCCTCTCTTCCTTACCCTATTTACCCCAAAACGCTGAGGCAGGAAATAATGCATACTCCTTTGTGCACTGCTCCTCCATTTCCCATTTTTAAATGGAGACATACTTAAGGCATAATCTTCAGCCCTTTGCTCATCTCTCTACACTCATTCTCCTGCAGATCTCAGTCACCCTCATGGCATCAATCATGATGCCACAGAAAAACCCATTAGTGTATAGTCTCTGGCTTCATCTCAGTATATGTACTGGGCACATCCGTCTGGATGTTCCGTCATTACCTCAAACTCTGTCCTTAATTTTTTTGTTAGAAACATCTCTTCTCTACAAACCATGCTTTGTGTTCAGCATGCTCATCTGGCATCCAGTTTAAGAAGGATATCTTCTGGCCATGATTTGATTTTTGTATGAAAAAAATCTTTGTTGTAGAAATCAGCATACTATTTTTTTTTTATTATTATTATTTTATTGATCATTCTTGGGTGTTTCTCGCAGAGGGGGATTTGGCAGGGTCACAGGACAATAGTGGAGGGAAGGTCAGCAGATAAACAAGTGAACAAAGGTCTCTGGTTTTCCTAGGCAGAGGACCCTGCGGCCTTCCGCAGTGTTTGTGTCCCTGGGTACTTGAGATTAGGGAGTGGTGATGACTCTTAAGGAGCATGCTGCCTTCAAGCATCTGTTTAACAAAGCACATCTTGCACCACCCTTAATCCATTCAACCCTGAGTGGATACAGCACATGTTTCAGAGAGCACAGGGTTGGGGGTAAGGTCACCGATCAACAGGATCCCAAGGCAGAAGAATTTTTCTTAGTACAGAACAAAATGAAAAGTCTCCCATGTCTACCTCTTTCTACACAGACACGGCAACCATCCGATTTCTCAATCTTTTCCCCACCTTTCCCCCGTTTCTATTCTACAAAACCGCCATTGTCATCACGGCCCGTTCTCAATGAGCTGTTGGGTACACCTCCCAGACGGGGTGGTGGCGGGGCAGAGGGGCTCCTCACTTCCCAGTAGGCGCGGCCGGGCAGAGGCGCCCCTCACTTCCCGGATGGGGTGGCTGGCCGGGCGGGGGGCTGACCCCCCCACCTCCCTCCCGGACGGGGCGGCTGGCGGGGCAGGGGGCTGACCCCCCACCTCCCTCCCGGACGGGGCGGCTGGCTGGGCAGAGGGGCTCTTCACTTCCCAGTAGGGGCGGCCGGGCAGAGGCGCCCCTCACTTCCCGGATGGGGTGGCTGGCCGGGCGGGGGGCTGACCCCCCCACCTCCCTCCCGGAGGAGGTGACTGCCGGGCGGAGACGCTCCTCAATTCCCAGACAGGGTGGCTGCTGGGCGGAGGGGTTCCTCACTTCTCAGACGGGGCGGTTGCCAGGCAGAGGGTCTCCTCACTTCTCAGACGGGGCGGCCGGGCAGAGACGCTCCTCACATCCCGGACGGGGCGGCAGGGCAGAGGTGCTCCCCACATCTCAGACGATGGGCGGCCAGGCAGAGACGCTCCTCACTTCCCAGATGTGATGGCGGCCGGGAAGAGGCGCTCCTCACTTCCTAGATGGGATGGCGGCCGGGCAGAGACGCTCCTCACTTTCCAGACTGGGCAGCCAGGCAGAGGGGCTCCTCACATCCCAGACGATGGGCGGCCAGGCGGAGACGCTCTTCACTTCCCAGACGGGGTGGCGGCCGGGCAGAGGCTGCAGTCTCGGCACTTTGGGAGGCCAAGGCAGGCTGCTGGGAGGTGGAGGTTGTAGCGAGCCGAGATCACGCCACTGCACTCCAGCCTGGGCACCATTGAGCACTGAGTGAACGAGACTCTGTCTGCAATCCCGGCACCTCGGGAGGCCGAGGCTGGCGGATCACTCTCGGTTAGGAGCTGGAGACCAGCCCAGCCAATACAGCGAATCCCCATCTCCACCAAAAAAATACGAAAACCAGTCAGGTGTGGCGGCGCGCGCCTGCAATCGCAGGCACTCGGCAAGCTGAGGCAGGAGAATCAGGCAGGGAGGTTGCAGTGAGCCGTGATGGCAGCAGTATCGTCCAGCTTCGGCTCGGCATCAGAGGGAGACTGTGGAAAGAGAGGGAGAGGGAGACCGTGGGGAGAGGGAGAGGGAGAGACACTATTTTTTAAAATATGGAGAGAAGATATTCTGGTGGCTGAAAGTGTGGTCTGGTGTCAGATATAAATGTGCAAATGCCTTCTTGCTGTCCTGTCGGTCTCAGTACATTCACCTTGTAGCTGCTGGAAATATCGAAGGTTCCTTT
Source organism: Homo sapiens (assembly GCF_000001405.40). Taxonomy (NCBI): domain Eukaryota; kingdom Metazoa; phylum Chordata; class Mammalia; order Primates; family Hominidae; genus Homo; species Homo sapiens. The sequence goes on from NT_113891.3 coordinate 4,472,871, forward strand.
TTTGTTTGTGTAAACTCTAATTTCTATCAAGGTGTCATGGACTTTTAAAATTAGTATTTCATTACAAATGTCTCAGCATTGGTCAATTTTTGCCAGGACCATTATTGATCAAGCAAATAAATGTATTATATAGTTAATAGTTTCATTTATATAGAATGCATAGAAACTGTTCACAGAATGTCCAGCATTTTGTATTTTTGCAGTAGGGAACATTTCTTCACTGAATTCCACTTTCACATTAGATAATTTAATAGTTTTATGGAGAAAGTAAAATGCCCGCCCCCCTCCCCCACCCAAAATTGAAAATTTCAGTTGTTGGTTTTCATGGACACACCTTATCAGGTAATTCCTTTTTATTCCTAGTTTTCTAGGACTTTTTATCATGAATGAGCAAATGCCTTTTTCTGCATCCATTTACATAATTACATAATTTTTCTTTTGTATTCTGTTAAGATGTGGAATCACATTGATTTTTTGCATGTTAAACATGCCTTCCATTCCTGGCATAAACTTTTATGATCATGTTATATCATCCTTTTTAATATATTATTGAATTCAATTTTAAAAAATATTTTGTTAAACATTTTCATGGCTATGTTTGTGTGTCTTTAGTTTCCTTTTCTTTTAATGTCATTGTTTGATGTTAGTATATTGGACTTGTAAATTATTGGGATGTGTTTTCTTCTGCTCTTTTGTTGAAAGAGTTTGTATTGAGTTTGTATTGTTTCTTCCTTAAATGTATAATAGAATTAATCATACAGACATTAAAAGTATTATGACAGTATTATGACAGAATACTATGGATTAATCAATGAAGCCATCTGACCTGGAAACCATTTGGCCTTCTCTGTGAGAAGGATTTTTAAAATTACAAACTTAATTTCTTCCATTGACAGAGATTTCTTCTTGATTTAGTTTTGGTAATTTGAATCGTTCAAGAAATGTTTCTATTTCATGTTGTTAAAATAAAAATTTTAGAGAAGTTGAATTTAACAGAGTTTATTTAGCAAAGAACAATTCATGAATTGGGGAGCCCTCAGAACCCAGAAAGATTCAGAAAGCTCTGTCCAGCAACATGTGAAGGCAGTGTTTATAGATAAAAACAGGAAGTGATACTCAAAACCAGCCAATTTATTACAGCTCAGTGTTTGCCTTATATGGGCATGGCGTGATGAGGCATTTGCCTTATGGGGGACATAATATGATCACTTGGCAGCCTGTGATTGGCTGAGACTCAGCTATTTATTACAACACTCTTAAGTTAGGCTGTAGTTTGTTTGCATAACGCAGTTATGTTAAGTTGGGTTAGTTTGCTATGTAGGAATTTAAGATATGGAGAAAGCTTTACACCAAATTTAATTTAATTTAACAATGTAAATTGTCAAATTTATTGTCATTTTTGTTTATTGGCATTTTCATAGCATTCTGTCATAATACTTTTAATGTCTGTATGATTTGTTGTGACGTACCCACTTCCATTTCTGATATTGGGGATTTGAGTCTTATCTCTTTTTCTTGATCCATCTACCTAGAGATTCATGAATGTATTGAGCCTTATTGAAAACCAGCAATTGACTTTGTTTATTTTCTTTATTGTTTGTCCATTTTATTGCATTTATTTCTGATCTTATTAATCTTGGGATTCATTTGACTTTTTTTTTCTAGCTTCTTAAGATGGGAACATAGATGGTTGATTTTAGAGTTTCCCTCCTTTCCAATTATGTAAAGTTATAAATTATTCTCTAATTAGTGTATCATACTAATTTTGATAGTGTGCTTTCATATTCACTCAGTTCAAAATATTTTCTAATTTTCCTTCTGACTCTTTTTAAATCCAGGTGCTGTTTAGCAGTATACTTTTTAATTTCTAGGTATTTGGGACTTTCAAGGTATTTTTCTGTTATTGGTTTCTAATTTAATGCTATTGTGGTCCGAGAATGTATTCTGTATGATTTCAATAGAGACATTTATTTATTTAGACATTTATTTATATGTGTTTATGACCCAGTGTATAGTCTGTCCTGTGGAATATTCTTGAGCATTTGAAAATAATGTGTATTCTGCCACTATTGGGTGGAATATTCTACAGATCTTGATTAGATCACGTTGGTTCATTGATAATGTTATTTAAATCTATCATGTCCTCATGAAGTTTTTTCCTAAATATTTTATTGTTTACTGAGTGCTAGAATACTAAAATATAATTGTGAATTTGTCTATTTCTGATTTATTTTTATCATTTTTGGTATAATGTGATTTAAGACATATTTTCTAAGAACAAACACATTTAGGATTGTTATATGTTGATAATAAAATGATCCTTTTATCATTATGAACTATCCTTCTTTCTCCTTGGTAATATTTCTGAGTCTTATATTTCTGATATTAACACAGCCACCAATACTTCCATGGTTGGCATTATTTTCGTTTTTTTTTTTTTTACTTTAAGTTCTGGGATACATGTGCAGAATGTGCAGGTTTGTTACATAGTTATACATGTGCCATGTGGTTTGCTGCATCTATCAACCCATCATCTAGGTTTTAAGCCATGCATACATTCGGTATGTGTCCTAATGCTCTCCCTCCCCTTGCTCCCCATGCCCTGACAGACCCTGGTGTGAGGTGTTCCCCTCCCTGTGTCCATGTGTTCTAATTGTTGAACTCCCACTTACGAGTGAGAACGTGTGGTGTTTGGTTTTCTGTTCCTGTGTTAGTTTGCTGTGAAGGATGGCTTCCAGCTTCATCCATGTCCCCACAAACAACATGAACTCATTTTTTTATGGCTGCATAGCATTCCACGGTATACATGTATTTTCCCATTCTTTTACTTTTTACCTGTCTTTGCCTTCATATTTAAAGAGGGCATTATGTAGAGAGCATGAAGTTGGCCTGTAGATTTTTTTGTGCATTCTGACAATCTTTCCCTTTTCATTAGAATATTTAGGCCATGTGCATTTAATTCAATTATTAGTATGGTTGTTTTAAACTCTACCATCTTACAGTTTGTTTTCTTTTTGTCTTACCAGACTTTCCCTTTTTTATTTCTTTATTTTGAATTAATTATGCTTAGTGTTCTATTTTATCTTCTCCATTGGCCTCTTGGCTATACCTCTTTTTTTTTCAATAGTTATCAGGAGCTTAAAATATTCATCTTAATACATTCTACCTTCAAATAATAACACACCACTTAACATGTATAAGAAACTTACAACATTATACTTCCATTTCTCCCTTCTATTCTTTGTGCCATTGTCATCATATTTTACTTCTGGGTATGTTATAAACCCCCAAATAATTTTTACTTTAAACAATTCCTTTTTTAACTTAAAAAAAACTAGAGAACATGTTTTTATATTTATCTGAATTTTTACCATTTCATGCTTTTTTCATCGTAATATCTAATGAACACTCATAAAGAAACAAAATCCTTGCTCAAATAAGATATTTTTCTTCATAATCATCACTATTCTCAAACCTTTGAAAGCTCTGGTAATCATGATTTAAGTTCTCCCACATGGAGTGACTATGGCTGGTAAAAATTGCAATGAATTAGGGCATTTTAAAAATTTTATTTCTTGGCTCTTAGTTTATCATGTAGAAAAATCCTCCATGAAATATTGCTATAATTACAATACAGCCTTGGGAAGGAAGCTCAGGGGCTGTGAATGGAATCCTAATCTGCCTGAAATCTTGATCCAGACAGACCAAATCTCTTCCCTCAGAGACTTCAAACACTGCAGTCTTCAAACTACATCCAAGAAAATCTTCATCCAAGTAAAATTTCCCCCAAATATCCTTTCTCTACCCCACCCTATCCTGTAGTTAGGGAAAAACCCAGGACTGAATCAATATCCTCAGACCTTTCCGTTCAAGTGGGATCAGAACCTTTAGTAACCACATCGGCAACAGAGGTTGAAACCACACCTTCAAGAAATAGTATTCACATGTGACCTGGTCCTAGACTTCCAGTAAGAATGACTCAGAGTCTCCCCGCTCTGAAATACTGAAGTATTTATTGGTCTTAGGGTATTCTCGGGAAGGTGACAGTGAGGGGTTCTTCAAAGGAGAACAGAGGATAAAAGGCTCAATGAAAGGATAATCTCCATATTAGTGCTACCAAAGTGTCATTAATTTCTATTTGTTGGAAACTTTACTAAGGAATGACTGCTTTGAGGTAATGGATAAGGACAGAGCTTGAAGGGTCAGCAATTCAGTCAGCCACTGGAGTAGTTTTCACATGAAGTGAGAAGAAAAGCTGAGATGGAGTTTGTAGGGCAGCTGGAGTTCAGATCTCTCCTAAGTCCTCTTCTGTTCAGATATTTTGTCACCTGCAGCAACACACACAGTTATTGTCATTCCTGGGTTCAGTACTGTAAGCCCGGACCCATCTTCCCCACTCCCTTTGCACCCGAGCTTCCCATTTCTCTGCCCTGTTCAGGTCCCAGGGAGAAGGTGGTCATCCCTGCACATGCCCTGGTCCTCCAGGTGAAGAGCACATAGGAGCCAAGGAGTTCACGAAAGTCATTGAATTTCACCCTCAAACCCCAGCTGACTGTGAGGCCATCCCACATGCTTCATGTCTCCAAAATATACAGACAAGGGGAAGGGCCACATTACTGAGGGCAGAGAAGAAGCTTAACCCTGGAATGAGAATTGGAAGGGACAAATATCCAAACCATATCAATGACGGCAATGAACGAAGGATACTTGCTCACATTGTGTATACTGCTCTTTGAAAGGATTTCAAAAACCAAGGTAAATTTTCTAAAATGACCTCTGTTGAACATCTGACAGCAGTACTTCCTCCTTCCTGAATTCTTTAATTCCTTGGCTCATGTGACAGCATATTCTCCTAATTCTTCTGCTTCTCTGCTTCTCCATTTTTGTTAAATACTCCTCTTTGGATGTTTTGTTAATCATGTATCTTTGCATTAATTTTGCCTTTTCAAGATATTTCATTAAAATATGATTTATTACTGAGTTCTTTTGGTATCCCCCAAATTTTGCACCTAAGCCAGGTGCATCCCCTACATCACCCTAGTCCCAGCCCTCTTTTCCATTCTTCCTCTTAACATCTGACATTCTACATTCACTTCACTCTGTTACAAATCATTATAGATATAATTATAAATGTGTGTGAACTAAGAAAAATAAACAAGAATTTGTCCTACTGGATACTAACACACACTACAATGTCATAGTAATCAAAATACTAGGACACTGGCACAAGAAGAGACAAACAGAACAGTGGAACAAGATGGAACTCAGACACAGGCCCACCTATAATGGGAGCTTTCAGTATAGCAAAGGAGACACTACTAACCTATGGGGAAAAGGTGAACTATTTAGTAGTTGTGGGAACACACTGGCCCATTATATAAAGAAAAATAAAACATGATCCCCATCAAACACAAAGATGAATCCCAGATGAATTAAAGTAGTAAATGTGAAATTTAAAACTGTAGGAGATGTTTTAAGAGTATCTTTGATATCTCAGTATAGGGAAGACTTCTTTTAAAAAAGACACACAAACAAAAATACAGTTGATGGACTTCATTACAAAATATTAAGGATTTCTCTTCAATAAAGGAAACCAAGGAGACAGTTGCCAGAAGTCAGATTAGAGGAAAACATTTGCAATGCCTAAAACTGACAAGGGACTACTAGCAGGACTATATAAGGATCACCTGCAAATCAATAAGAAAATGATGGAAGCACATAGTACAAAAATGGACAATGAATGTGAACAGGCAATTTATAGAAAAGGAACCCCCAAGTGGCTAATCAGTCCTAATTATAGCCCCAATTATTAGTAATTAAAGAAATGCAAAATAAAACAGCATATTTCTTTATGCACATGAAATTGGCAAAAGTTAGAAAACTGGATAATGTCCAGTGTTGAAGTCCATTTAGGAGTTGCAGGACAATTAGAGTACTGACAAAGGAAGTTCAGATGAGTACAGCCATTCTGATGAGAAGATGAGCAGTGTTTAGTCAAATTAAGGAGCTGCATCTCCAGCAACCCTGCAACCCCTTTCTAGGATACATACATTCCAGGGATGCAGGTCAGGCCCACATGTATATGCAGTTCCATGTGAGATACAAGCATTGCTTGCAATAGTAGAGAACCAGGAATGATCCAGGTATCCCAGGAGCAATGTAGATATGTGGATTAATATGATTTGGATATTTGTCACTTCCAAGTCTCATGTTGAAAATTGATCCCCAGTGTTGCAGGTGGGGCCTGGTGGGAGGTATTTGAATCATGGAGGAGACCCTCATGAATGGCTTTGTCCCCTCTCCGGGTAATGAGTGAGTTCTCACTCTATTAGTGCACATGAAACCTGGTTGTTAAAAAGAGGCTGGCACCTCTTTCTATGTCTCTTTCTCCCTCTATGACCATGTGATGCACTGGCTCCACTTGCCTTCCACCATGAGTAAAAGCTTCCAGAATCCCCCAACAGAAGCAGATGCTAGTGCCATGTTTCGCGTACAGCCTGCAGATCTGTGAGCCATTTAAAGCTCTTTTCTTCGTAAATTAGGTAACTTCAGATATTCCTTTATAGCAATGCAAAATGGACTAATGCATGGACATATAAAGTAAAATACTATGGAAGATTTGGAAGAAACAAACTGGATGTACAAAATTAGATCTATAATTTAATGCCATTTTGGTTAATTAAAAATACATGTACACTGGACACTACTACATATTACAGAGGATCTATGCAAATAAAAGGAAACATCAAATTCATTAAAATGTTTACCTATGAGGTAGGGGTAAGAGGTTAGATATGGGAGTAAGGACTGGAGATAAAAGGGACCAAATAAATCAAGGGAGAGAGAGAGAGCTCGGAGGCACCAATGATGATCATATAATGAACTGAGAAGTTCTTAACCTTTTGTACCTGAGGTCCAGCATGAATAACAATAATAATAATGAATTAGATGTGGTCATCTGCATGGAAGTTCACTGTCTAATGCTAAGAGAATTCCCAAAACATATAAAAATATAAAGCATGGTGAGTGTTATGATAAATAGAAACCTGTAAGATCTCTGGAGGGGCATTTTTTGTGTGAACATTGCCATGGAATGAGTCCAAGTAGAGACAGTAAGTAGTTACAGGCACCCACCACACTGTGTTGTAATTATGTATAGAAATATAGATCTGACTCCATTATTTGGCAATGGACTCTGGAGAATTTGAACTTGGTCTTTTCCTTCACAAAATAGGGTGAATAGGACAGTGGATAAACAGTCTTGGATCCAGACTTTCTGGATTGGAAGCTAGCCCTACTACTTCATAGCTGTGGGAACTTGATCAAAGTGCTTAAAGTCTCTGTGTATGTAAAAAGATGTAAGTATCTCTCATGTGAAATAGTGAAAATAATAGTACCTACCTCAAAGACTATGTGTGAGAATAAAGTGAGTTAATAAATGTAAATCCTCAGAATAGCGCCTGACCATATTAACTACTCAGTTAGTTATCGGTGTTGTTGTTGTTATGTGGCTGAATGCTTTTAACCCATTAGAAGATCAATGAACACTTATCAGATTGAATTTTTCCTCCCTTCCTTACATTCTACAAATCCTAGGGCCTCCTCTTTACATTCCCACCTTTACAGTATTTCACAGGGTCCCCTGGGCCCGGGGGTCATGGCCAGAACGCAGAGACTTTATGATGAGGACGGTGCCCACGATGATGCCGACTAGGCCCAGCACCAGGCCCAGGGCACAGAGCACAGTCTCCGTTGTCTCAGGCATCTGGATTGGCTCTTGGGCCTCTGGGGGAAGAATGAAGAGATAGGGTCAGGAGGTGCAGTGAGGGTGGTGATGGCCTGGGATGGTTGTGGGAATTGAAGGTTATGGACCAGTTAATTGGATGTTAGGACGAGGAGAGGACTGAGACCCAGCCAGTGCGGAAAGCTGGTGCAGAGGACACCAGGTCTTTGGAATAGAGGATGCCAGGAGATTATGGAGAGAAAAGCAGTTGCATACCCCAGTGCTTGAGGAGCGGCTGGTCCAAGCCCCAGTGCTCCACCCTGCAGTCATAGAAGTCCTCTGCTGAGGGCACAAAGGTCAGGTAATGGAACTTGTGGAAGCTGTAATCTGTTCTGGGCAGGAAGAGGCTCTCAGCGACACCCTCAGTGACCAGCTCCCCGTTGCACAGCCACGTGACGTTGAGCACTGGTGGGAAGAACTTGTCAATGTGGCAGATGAGGGTGTTGGGCTGGCCCAGCTCCACAGGCTCCTTGGGAAACACGGTCACCTCAGGGGGATCTGGAAGGAGACAGCACCAGGTTAGGCCCCTCTTCTGGGATGAATCACAAAGGCTCCACCTCTTAGGGGAGGGTGGTCCTCTACCTCAGCCTTAGATTTTATGGCAGCTCTGAATCACAGAGAGGGGTATCACACCACTGACCAGCCTCACTCTGCTCACCTTTCTCTCTCCTGAGAAGAGAGGATGCAAGCCCTTGCTGTAGTGGGATCAGCCCATGGCCACTAGGGGAAGAGGATCACACAGCAGGGGGCACTTAGGCTTCCTAGTCTGAGGGTGGCAGAGAGGCCCTCTCATCCCTTCCAGTTGGGCTACAGAGGAAGAGGCAAAGATAGGGCGTACCGTTGGTGGCCTGAGTGTGGTTGGAACGCTGGATCAAGGTATTCAAGTTGTTGTTCAATATAGCAATGTTAGCCAGCCCGCCCTGAGCCTCAAAGGAAAAGGCTTGGCCAAACTCCTCCAGATGCCAGACGGTCTCCTTCTTGTCCAGATCCACATAGAACATCTCATCTTCATCAAATTCAAACATAAACTCCCCTGTTGGTCTATGCGTCTGTACAAACGCGGCATAAGTTGACACATGGTCCGCTGCATAAAGACAGTAGAGAAAAACACGACAAAATGTCAGTTTGAATATGCAAGTGGTCAAAGCTAGAGAATGAATAAAGACTTATGAATATAAAAAGGAAGAAGGTAAGAGGTCAAAGGAAGGACATATGGGGAAGAAGAAGGAGCAACACCATAAAGGAAATAATACAGAGCAGATGAGCAGTTATAAAAAGAAAGGAGCAAAGAACAAAATGAAAAGTTTATCACTGATAAGTCAAGCTGCTTCCTGGTCTTTGAAAGTCTGGGCATCCTGACCCTACACAATAGTAATAGTAACAATGACAGCTAACATTTGTTGAGCACTTACTTGTGCCAGGCATCCTTCTAAATACTTTACATATTTCACTCGCTGAATTGTCACAATAACCCTATGAAGCAAATACATATCATACATTTTACAGGTAAGGAAATGCAGGGAAGTTACATATTAATAACTTGCTAAGGTCATACGGCTACTGGCGGAACTAGTAGAGAGGTTTTCTCTCCCATTAAGATCTTAATTTTTCTATGACACAGATGTAAAATTGTTTTTAGAGTCATGGGGGTGGGGGAATGGACATTTTCTTTTTCTTATTATAGAAAAGGTAGAAAAAAATACAAAATTGAGAGGAAGAAGAAAATATCCTTCAAATTTTAGGGCTCTTGACAGTTTTAAAGTTTCTGTCTTAGTTTATGAACATGAAACTGTAGAATGTATAGCTTTGTTGATAATATTTTTCATTTGGGGCATATAAATTCAAAAGTACAGTACAGTTATTTTGGCATTTGTTCCAAACTTTTGTTTCCTTTTTAAAAATATTTCAACATTTATTTTATGTTCAGGAGTACATGTGCAGGTTTGTTGTATAGGTAAACTCATGACTTGGGGGTTTAGTGTACAGATTATTTCATCACACAGGTACTAAGCATTCTAAACTTTTCTTACATTTATATTTTGATTTTTGTTTTAGAGGCCAACTAGAAATTATTGCTGAGTTTGGAACACCTGTAGGATTTAATTTATTTTGTTTCTTAGTCTTTATTAGTTTGTAAGAATTAGCAAAGATAAGAGGATAAAAGCAACTATTATCATGAAAGAAAACGATGAATGTGTATGTGAAAGTCTGGGTTTAGAATGATAAATGCATCAGAGTGAGAAGGAACTACGGGACTCTTCTGCTCTCACCTCCCAACTCACAGATTTCCCTGTGAGTTTTCAGCCCTGACATGTGGGGACCCAGTCTGTGCTTGGCCACTTACAGTGACAGGAGAATGACTCCTTGCCACTGTAATTGTAAGTGTCTAGAGGGTATGACCTGTGTCTTATTTTTCACTGAGAATGACTCCCTGACACAGTAAGTGGCCAAGCAAAGAGTGGTATTTGAAACTAAACAAAACAAATCCTATAGGTATTTCACTAGGAAACTTAGCTTGCTCCTCAGTTTAAAGGACTCAAAGGACTCATCAGGAAAAAGAGGGTAAAATAAAAAGACACAAAGTCCTCTAGCAGTTATTGGAAACTCATCTTCTTAATACATGAATGTCCCTTGTACTTTTTAAAATGCTTTTTAAAAAACACTTTCACAAGTTCTGCAGTCCAAAGATCAGCCAGCTATGGAACAGATTATTTTTCTTCAAAATATCATTTCCATTCAGACAAAAATATGTATTAAAAGACTACTATATGTCAAACACTGTTAGATGCTAAATACCCAAATAAAAATAATACATACGTCCTGTTCTGCAGACGCGTATAAGTCACAGAAGGAAACACAAGTGACAGGACAACAGCAGGTTCAGAAGGATAAGTGCAGATACGTAGGTATACACAAGATGCGACCAAACAGCACATCAGGGAAGGCTTCCTGGGGAACAGATGGCTTCAATGTAGGCATTCAGAAAACAGGGCAAAAGCCACTTCTCTCAGGGAAGACAGCCTGACCGGGAGAAGATACTGAGTTTACTGTGGGGCTATTGCACTTAGAAGACCTGAAAGTCATCTAAGGAGAAATAATACATAGATATTTGTGGATTATGGGTGGTCTCAGGAGAGGAATTTAGGCCATAGAACTGAGAGTCATTAGTGGCAGGTGCAGGTTAAATAAGATTTTCCAGGAAGAGTGCCAAAAATCAGAATTGCCGAGATCTCAGGGTATAATGAGAGAACATGATAGTTAAGAGGTGGTTTAAAAGATGATAAGGAGGATCCAGGTAAACAGGAGAAAAATAAGGACAGGGTAGTTCATCAGAAAGAAGTGGATTATAGTGCAAATGTTATTAGTAACTCAAGTCAGAGGCACTGAGAAGAACCCACTGAATTTGACCTTCTGTAGAGGTTCCTGATGGCCAAGATGAGAGGATCCTCAGGGATGTACCAGAGACAAGTCAGAAGCTTAGCTCCACGTGTGAGGACACAAAGAAAGTGTCTCTGGGACAGGATGCAGACTGAAGGCAAGGTTGTTTTTTATCAGTTGGTTTGCACTTATGTTTTTAAGGTAAATGACATGTTTAAATGTTAAGAGACTGGGCAGGGAAGCCCTGAAGAGACAGCTGAGCTCATTAGGAATTTCTACCAAGAATACTAAAAAGTATTTGCATCTATGAAGAGAAGCCTATTGTGGTGTTTATTATAACATAACATTAGAAATAACTCAGGTGACCGCGAACAGGGCAATAGATACTTCTGGTTCTACCCAGCCTGACCTCCTCTTTATTCTACACATCTTAAATAAAACTGTCTGAAGCCAGTGTGCATCTTGTACGTTATGGATTCTAACCTTCCCCATCACTAGATTTTGGAATGACAGCATCATGCACAGGCTTGATGTCATTCTCCCTGATTTCAGCTACAGGAAAAAGGAGCATTCACTACGGTCCATCTCTGGCTGAGTCCTTGCAGCTATCAAAAGTCTAGGCCTCCCTTGCAGTCCTGAATCTCTCAGAACCCGAATCACAAGGCTATCAAGACCATGCAACCCTGCTGTCTTGAGAGAGGAAAGCTTGTGACCACCCACAAAGACCCAGGAAGAGCCCTAGGGTCCTAGAAGAGAGGGAGGATACAGAAACACTCTTTGCACTTCGTCTCCTAATGCAGAGTCCATAGCTCGGAGTTCCTGTAAAGCAGCCACAAAAGATAGAGGCTGGGGATCCCAGAGAGATAGGAGGGCCCTGATAGTAGGTCACTGTGTGCAGGAATCTGGGGAAGGCAGTGTATGACCCTCAGAGCTGGGTCTGGACTTCAAACTTGGCTCGTTGATCTGCTGTGTAACCTTGGAAAACTTATTCATCTTTTTGAGCTTCAGTTTTTTCAAAATAATTTCTAAATAAAAGGAATAATTTCTAAATGAATGGAATATTATCTTCATTGAAGATTCCTGTGAGATGTAAATGGGGAAAGAAAATATGCAGGAGTCTCATAAATTCTGGCTGTTATTGCTGTTATTATTATGAGGGCCAGAGGGAACATAGACTATGAGGACCAGATAGATCAATGAGCCCCTAAAATCTGTGATCCCTGAAGCAGCAATTGATGTGAACCACCCCATCACTCACCCCGACGCTCCTGCGTCCTCCTGAGCACTCACCCTTGATGGCCCCAGCTCCTCGGAGACTCAGCAGGAAAGCCAAGGAGAGGGCTCTCAAGATCACAGCTCTGATATGGAACATTCTGTCTTCAGGGCGCATGTTGTGGGGTCTATAATTGATGACTGTGAGCACAGGAACAGTGATGAGGAACTGAGGCCGAGTGGAGGCAGATGAGACTGAAACTGTGGGCCTCTAGCACTGGAAATGGGTGGAGAGGAATCAGCATGGCTGGGATTCACCTATCAGAGAAATCATAGAGCTGACATTCTCTGTTGCTGGGTAAAGAGGACGCTGGAAGGTGCTGGGGAAGAGATGGGAGAATTTTAGGTACCAGCGTGGTCAAGAGAGCTCCAGTTCACAGTTCATTTTCAGAGTTAGAGAAAGAGATGTAAAAAGATAAGTTACACCTTCTTCTGACGGCAAATGTTTTCCATTATGTTCCTTCTCCCGAGCCCCACCCCCATCCCAGACAGTCAGATGATCTTTGATGTTTTTTGGTCACTATATTTTAAATCATGTTTTATGTTATGTTGTCAATATTTTACAAAAATATTCTGCTGATAATTAAGAATGAATGTGCTATCTAATAAAATATATAATTAATCTTTCTTTCAGGTCCACCTCCCTGAGATACCTCCTTTTTATTTAATCATTTCTGCAGAAGTGTTATAATTTCTATTTAGAGGTTTTAATTAACTTGAATGAAGTTGATCTTTAATTGTTTATCTATTCCTGGTTACCTTTGTTAGTGAAATTTCTAGATAATTTTTATTTTTCAGATTTCTTAGTATTTGATTTTTCCTGGTATTTAAACAGTGTAATAACATTTTTATCTTTAAATTACTAGTCTTGTTATTTCATTTTCATATAAGAATACCCAGGACAGCATTACCTGTGGTAACAATGTGCGCCCATATTTTGATCTTGTTTTTAAGAAGGGTTTCTCTAATGTTTTTCTGTTACAGGTAATGTTAATTTTTTATTTTATATTCTCTTTACCATATTTAAGAAATACTTTTCTAGTCTCATTTTAAATATTTCAATTTTGAGCTATTTATTTGATACTCATAGAGAAGGTCACAAAACATTTACTATTTAATGTAATGATGAAGTACATATATTACGTTAATATTTTATCTTATTTGTGGTAGCCTTACCTTGCATAAATAATAATTACTAACAGATTAGGACATGAGAGATTCTGTTATTAGTGCTTTGCATGCATTACCTCATTTAAACCTCATATTAAACCTGAGGGAGGTATTATTAATGTCTACTGTAAAAATAAATTACCTGAGACATCGAGGAAGTATTTGTCTAATTATCTATGGCAGGTAAATGACAAGGAGAAAAGTCCCACCCAGGCAGTTACTAAAAAAACTGAGTTTTTCTCCACAATCCTCTCCTGGCCCCTTAATCCTACTAGACACCTTCTACTACATAATTATTTTCTTCTCTTGCATTTTACATGCTAGCCTTCTATTTACATTTTAATATTGATTTAAAGAAATGATGCCAATTTGATTTTTTTTGAAATTAGAATTGGTGGTCCAACAGGATCACATTTATAAGTGTCTAAAGTAAGAAGTAATGTTCTTTGAAAGTTTGTAAAAATATTCACTCTAAACAAAATAGAATCAGATGCTTTGAAGGAGGTGGGGTCTTTGATGATTTTTTTTCACTTTCTTCCTTATTTACCAGTCAATTTATATTCTCTATGGACTTTATTTTTCCAAAGCAATTTCAGACCTATTGATCTCATTTGATCTTAAGAGCTTTGCTATAAGGCAGGTTATATCATCCCCATATTGAAGACAAGGAATCGAAGTCCAAGAGAGGCAGTGTCGTTAAAGCTGCATATTTACATGGTAGGGTAGGTGGTGTGTCCACGCTCCCAGTGTAAGGTCCCTAGACTGAGCCCTCCTGACCCTGATGACAGTCCTGTGGAAGAACCTGGTAACTCCTGCACATCGCAGGACTCACAGACCTCTGGGAGAAAGTAAATATGAATGGGTGCTAATCTTAAACACACCCTTGGACAAAGGCAAGACAGACAGACTCAGACCTCATTTGAGTTCTGAGATGGGTACTCTAATCCCTCTAAGTCATGCCACTGAATGACCTTTTACACACTAAGATAGCACTTTTTCCACAACAGACCATGTCCTGTGGGTGTGTGAGGTGTGGCAGAATTGGGGAAATGATAATCCCTGTAGATGGGCCAGCAGAATATTTGAGATCACCTTCAGAGCAAAGAAAACGCATAATCTCCCCAAACATCATGACTTATCTGACTGGTTAAAATGAGTATCACTGTCTTTCCTCCGTCATCTTAAGTGCATCACAGGCTTTATATTTTCAGACCTTTCATACTAACTTTCTGCCTAGTGAGCAATGACTCATACAAAGCTCAGTGTCCATTGGTTCTTTTCTCAGACTCTGTCCAATCCCAGGGTCACAGAAGACTACTTGGGTTCATGGTCTCTAATATTTCAAACAGGAGCTCCCTTTAGCGAGTCCTTCTTTTCCTGACTGCAGCTCTTTTCATTTTGCCATCCTTTTCCAGCTCCATGATGGTTCTGCAGGTTTCTGCGGCCCCCCGGACAGTGGCTCTGACGGCGTTACTGATGGTGCTGCTCACATCTGTGGTCCAGGGCAGGGCCACTCCAGGTAAGAGCCGAACTGCCATTCTTGGAGGGTCTGGCTCAGGGAACAATTCCTAGGGGACGTTATCTTTAAGGGATCAAATTCTGAGACAGGCTGCGGGGGCTCCTGCCCTAAGGCAGTGTCCTCTCTTCCCAGCTAGAGAAAGAGGTTCATCCCCTATAGGATAGCTTGCTACCCTACTGGCCTATTCTCTCTCCAAGGACATGGGTACAGTAAACAGAGAGAGGTGCCCAGTGGTCAGTGTCTTTGGGGAAAATGGGACCAAGAGGTCCTGGATAACCTTGGACAGACAAGGTTTGCAGAGAGAGAAGTTGGCAAGTGCAGGCTCCTGGGCGTGTTCATGTCTGCATCCAGCCTGGAGGGGACTCAGGCAGAGAGCCCTAAGCTGGAGTGTCCAGGCTCTGAGGATCACTGAGGATTCAGTGCTCACGAAGAATGCCTCTTATTCCCCAGGGTGGAGCAGGAGCCCACATCCCTTGGACAATTAAGGAGAGAAGGGAGGGAGGGGGATAGGTTTTAGCCCCTGAAGGCATTCTCATTAAAGGTACTTCTCCCAGCCTCCCCAGAACTTGGTTAGGGTACTAGAGTGGGTTGCGACTTGTAGGAAGAATGAGATGAGGTTGTGTGGGTGCATGACAGGGATTGAGTGTAGGTTATCAGACAGCCAAGGAAGCAGTAACCAAGTGAAAAATCTCTTCTTCCTGCTGCCTCCCTGTGGCTGGTGTAATATTATGGCATCTATGATCCATTGTTTTTCTCTCAGGATACTCTCAGGATATTTCTTTTTATATATATATATACTTTAAGTTCTAGGGTACATGTGCACAACGTGCAGGTTTGTTACATATGTATACATGTGCCATGTTGGTGTGCTGCACCCATTAACTCGTCATTTACATTAGGTATATTTCCTAATGCTATCCCTCCCCCCTCCCCCCACCCCACAACAGGCCCCGGTGTATGATGTTCCCCTTCCTGTGTCCATGTGTTCTCATTGTTCAGTTCCCACCTATGAGTGAGAACATGTGGTCTTTGGTTTTTTGTCCTTGCAATAGTTTGCTGTGAATGATGATTTCCAGCTTCCTCCATGTCCCTACAAAGGACATGAACTCATCCTTTTTTATGGCTGCACAGTATTCCATGGTGTATATGTGTGCATTTTCTTAATCCAGTCTATCACTGATGGACAGTTGGGTTGGTTCCAAGTCTTTGCTATTGTGAATAGTGCCGCAATAAACATATGTGTGCATGTGTCTTTATAGCAGCATGATTTATAATCCTTTGGGTATATATCCAGTAATGGGATGGCTGGGTCAAATGGTATTTCTAGTTCTAGATCTTTGAGGAATTGCCACACTGTCTTGAGATACCATCTCACACCAGTTAAAATGGCGATCATTAAAAAGTCAGGAAACAACAGGTGCTGGAGAGGATGTGGAGAAATAGGAACACTTTTACTCTGTTGGTGGGACTGTAAACTAGTTCAACCATTGTACTCTCAGGACATTTCTAGTCCAAATTTACACCAACACTCTGAGAGGAAGGACTGCAAAGTAGGTACCTTAGTTTTCCACTGACTTCCACTTTTCCTGCTTACACCCTTCCTCCTAGACCTCTCCACACCCCTCCTAGGACACACCTAGAAGGTACTGACATCATGTCACCTCCTCATCTTTCAGGGTAGCAAGGTTGGAATCTCCTGAATACAGCCCCTCAAGCCCTAAAACCTCTTATCTATTACCTTGGGTTCATTGTCCAGGAAGGGGAGGAGAACTTGAACTTGTAGTCACAGAAGGGTGCTGAGAACTAACCAGCAGGACGGCTCAGCCCTGGGAACTGCAGAGGGGTGAGGCTGGGGAGAGAGGAGGCTGGAGCAGCACTGGTGACACTGAACAGTGTCAGGAGGAAGTGACGGATGCAGCGCCCCCATCCCATAGGCAGAGCTGTCATGTGGGATGAGGGACAGTGTTGGGAGCCACCAAGGAAACCCAGAGGTGGGGGAGCAGAGAGCAGAAGGGGGCATGTGATGCTGGGCAGTGAAAGGGAGGACGGGCAAAGGCTGGGTTGAGGTTTGTAGGGGGAATGAGATGAGGCAGTGGAGCCATGTGACAGGGACTGAGGGTAGATTACTGGAGCTCCCTGCGTAGAATGAATGTTCAATCAAAACCTGCTGGAGGGAGAGCTGGAGCCATAGGGGAGTGGGTAAAGTGGGCAGGGCTGATTCCACAATTCCCTGCATGCTCCCCCAACTCCACACACATCCCCAACCTCAAACAGGGCACAAGACCAAAGGGCTGAGGAGCCAGGCTATAGCTTAAAGAGGCTGGGGGAGAAAAGCTTGGCTGAGACAACCCATAGGGAGCTAGAGGTTTTTAATATATCCTATTCTGAATAAGAGACGAATTCATTCAGATCAGTGGTTTCAAACCGTGCTCTGGGCAACTCAATTGCTAAGGGTTCCACAAACAGGATAAAGTTTCTTATATACAAAAAAAATGAAGGTTTCAAATTACACCATAAAACCCCTCATTGCTTATGTCTACTTGGCAGGTAAAATTCCATTTCAAAAGTTAAATGTACTTAAAAAATTACCTAAGACTGGGTAAATTAAAAAAATTAAATGTTGCAAAGAAAAAATTCAAAATTCTTATTCTTGAATGAAAAACGTTCTCTTACTGGTGATTGAGGAGGAGAAACAAAGACTAACAAATGAAAATGGGAGAATCCACACTCAGAGTGGGGCAATTGAACAGGCAGGGGCGGATGGATGGCAGAGGAGGAGGAATCTGGACTCAAGGAGCTGGGGGGCCCTGGGCCTGGAATTTCAGGGTCTGGCGCCCAAGGCACCAGGAGAAGAGGCAGGTCAGGATATCTGAGTCAAGACCTGGGATCTTGCCTTAGCAATGACACTGGAGACTAAAGGTGGACTCCATGGTGCCCTTGAGCCCAGCCCTACCCCATCTCCACTATCCTCTGCCACCAGCTGTGCAACTTCTGCAAGGGGTGAGGTTAATAAACTGGAGAAGTTAATTTGTGGAGCATGAAACAGATGAGCAGAACAATCACAGCACCTTAATTTCCCCAGTGTGCCCAAGAACAGAGCAGGCCTGAAGACACTCAAACAGAAACAAACATGTGCCGTGTCACTGATAATTCTGTGTAGACACACACCTGCCAGACACTGCTCATGGCACTCCCTAGGAAGAACAGCATGTGGGAAAGGCTGCCAAAATTGTTCATGTAAAAATTACATCAATGCTGTCTTCCTCGGTGCTGCCTATGCAGCTGGCAGCCATCTCTTCCTCCACATCATGGCCTCCCTCAGACTCCTCATGAAGGATAAGATCCTCAAAAAGAGGACCAACAAGTTCATGAGGCACCAATCAGACTGAAATGTCAAAATTAAGCATAACTGGCGGAAACCCAGAGGTCTTAACAGTAGGGTTCGTAGAAGGTCCAAGGGCCAGATCTTGATGCCCAACATTGCTTATGGGAGCAACAACAACAACAAAAAACACATGCTGCCCAGTGGCTTCCAGAAGTTTCTGGCCCACAGCCTCAAGGAGCTGAAAGTGCTGCTGATGTGCAACAAATCTTACTGTGCTGAGATCGCTCACAAAATTTCCTCCAGAACTGCAAAGTCATCATGGAAAGAGTCACCCAGCCGGCCATCAGAGTCACCAACCCCAGTACCACGGTGCACAGCTAAGAAAATGAGTAGAAAGTTCATGTCCACGTTTTGTGTGTAAATAAAACCATAAAAACTGCCAAAAAAAATTACATCAATGCCTCTAAACCCAAAGGACTCTACCCCCACAGGTCCCTGGTTGTTGTGGTGATTTTCATTGTGTAAAATACTTTCCACATCTTTTGACACCAAGTCTTTCTGCAGCCATGTTTGAAAATTAACTTTCAGGCTACAGAGTCTTTCTTATACCAAAGTTGAAGAAAGTTTTAAGAAATATATTTCTACATCTCCTACATGCAAAACAACAGGAGCAAGTTGAGGAATTCTCAAGAAACTGGTCGAGAAGAGAGAGCGCTTAGCTATGGAAAAGAGAAAGAAGGAAGGGAGGGCTTCCTGGAGGAGGTGGCATTTGAACCAGGACTGACATCAGGATGGAAATGTCAGTCAGGGAGTTAAGTAGGGGGAGCAGCTCCGCCCTCCACGTCCCCAGCTCCTCCTGCCCCTGTTTTTTCTCCCAGTGACCCCACGTGAAACGTCTCCGCCTCCTCCAGCCACCAGCAGAAGGGACTGCCTTCCCCTCAGTGCTCGCCCCTCCCTAGTGATCACTCAGTGCCCCTGAGCTCATTCTTTTCAGTAAATTCTCTCTCTGCGTGGTGAGAAAACAGGCCTGGAGAGGCTCTGCGACCCGCTTAGGACCACAGAACTCGGTACTAGGAAAACTCCTATTTTAAAATCCAGCCCTGGGTGGGAAGATTTGGGAAGAATCGTTAATATTAAGAGAGAGAGGGAGAAAGAGGATTAGATGAGAGTGGCGCCTCCGCTCATGTCCGCCCCCTCCCCGCAGAGAATTACGTGTACCAGTTACGGCAGGAATGCTACGCGTTTAATGGGACACAGCGCTTCCTGGAGAGATACATCTACAACCGGGAGGAGTTCGTGCGCTTCGACAGCGACGTGGGGGAGTTCCGGGCGGTGACGGAGCTGGGGCGGCCTGATGAGGACTACTGGAACAGCCAGAAGGACCTCCTGGAGGAGAAGCGGGCAGTGCCGGACAGGGTATGCAGACACAACTACGAGCTGGACGAGGCCGTGACCCTGCAGCGCCGAGGTGAGTGAGGGCTTTGGGCCGGCGGTCCCAGGGCAGCCCCGCGGGCCCGTGCCCAGGGCGCAGGAGCAGCCGGGTTGGCCTAAGGGACCTTAGTGCCGGGCGGAAAGGGGACTTTGGGTTGGGGATTCATGGGGGGAGCCCATCTGGAGCTTGTCAGGGGAGCGAGCGCGGGGACCTGGACTGGGCTGAGCATGGAGTGAGGAGGACGAGAGCAGAGAGACCCCCGGGACTTCATCAGGCCTGGCAGCTGACTGCATGTGGGGTGAAAAAAGGAAGCCACAGGACAGCGCACAAGGGTATGGTGTGGAGATGGAGGTGGAGATGGCACAGCAGGCCACACAGAGAAGAAACCTACAGGGAGGTAGCTGGGTTTGAGGTGCTTGAGGGGCAGATGGGTGGTCTGATGGGCAGGTAGACAGAAGGGTCTGCAGCCGGGGAGGAGACTGAGATACATGAGACCATCCAGGGAGAGGGGACCCAGGGGGAAGAGCAAAGGACTGGATCCTGGGAACTGGACAGTTGTGATTTGGCCAAGACAGAAAAGCCTGTGAAAGAGACCAAAAAAACCCAAGTGCAGTGTGAGGAGAGGCCCGCAGAGAAGAGTCTTGGAAGCTGAGGGGAGGTGACCTCAGCAGCACAGTGGACAGCGGTGCCAGTGACTTGGGAAGGTCAGAAAACAGAAGATGGAAAGTGGGTTTGGAAACCAGGGAGACCTGGGGAGAGCAGGTTGGCCGCAGCGGCAGGAGCTGGAATGGGAGGGGGTGCATGAGGCTGAGTGTGGCGCATCCTCCTCGGGGCTGAGATGGATTTTACTTGTCTTGGGTTCCCCACGGCTGTCACAGGGCAGTGTCTCAGTTCATTCGTCTTTTTCCTTCAGGAAGTCTGGGTGTAAAGGGATGGAGAGAGGTGAGGTGTGTGCAGTAAGAGGATTTCTCAAGGATGGGACAGGAAGGCCTTGGAGCTTTGGCTTCCTCCTGTGAACTTGTGGGGTGGGGAGCCTGGTGCACCAACCTGAGGGACTTGAGGGAGTAGTATCAGGATGTGGGATTGAGCCCTGGACCTTTTTTCTAGAAAGAGGAAAAAAATGAAGGGAGGAGGAGGAGGAAGCTGGGGAGATCACACCTTTGATTTTCTTGTTCCTGGAAAGTGAAAGGAAGTTCACCTGCTATGAGTGAGAAGGTGGACACACTGGGTGGGGATGAGGTGAGTGACATGAGCTTAGGAAAGTTGCTGAGGTAATTGGTTGAGAGAGGTGTTCAAATAAAAGTAATGCAATTGGCAAAAACTGTTACTAAGACTTTGTAGAGGCACAAATCAGTGACACGGCAGCATCTTCTTTCACAGTAATCAACTGCCAGATTGCAGGGAGCCTTGATACCAGCCTAAGGAGTGTGAGTTTCTCCTCTAGGCCCACAGGTCCCCAACCTCACTTCTCCGAAGACTCTCCTGGAGATCATCTGTGATGCGCAGATACCCAGACTCACTGCCCCGAGACTCAGATTCCCTGGGTAGGGAGGTCGGGGGATCTCTGCTTGTAATCAGCTCCCTAGAGGTTCCCATGTAGCCGGATAAGTATTGTCAGAACACTGAAGATTTTTGAAAAATGAAAAAGCGAAGGTTGGAGATGTGTCTTCAGAAGACTACTAAGGGTGCTGGGTAGAGGAGGGACCAGAGGCAGGGAAATGAGGTAGGAAACTGCTATTATTTGTCAGGGAAATTGCAATCAAGAAATGAGTTAGAACAGGGAAAAGACAGAGGCAGGGGAGAGGTGGAAGGGGGAGGAAAGGAGTAGTGACAATTCCAGGGTGTATGCTCACCCAAATCTAGAAGTAATTGAGCAAATGTTTTCTGGGCATTAGAGAAGGCAACTAGAACAAACAGGAATCCTTGCCTTGGTGAAATGTATTTGAACTGGGTCAGAAATGAGGCCATTGGGTATCAAGCCTTAACTCCAGCGCCCCCTGGAGGTCGCTGATGTGGCTCCAGGCTGACCTGCTCCTGTCAAAGAATATTGAGCAAGATGCCTCTCATGGAATGTTCTGGGACCTTAAAACAGATACCCAAGTATTCCCCCTGATTTCATGGTTCCCAGAAGCTCTATGGGGAAGAAATTGTACGTAATTCACAACTGAGATTTAGACATAAGTTGAATAGTGTAATGGACGTTGAGTTAACCGAGGTAATGAAGTAGTGAGACACAGGTGCCCCTGAAATAAACTCACATTGAGGGAAGAGGCTGACAATGTGGATCAGTCTGTAAACAAGGCAAAAATACAATAGGGAGTAAGGGTTGTGTGTCAGTTCAAGACTGTACTTTTACCTGGCCCAGCGCCATGTTGGGGTATTTGTGTTCTCCAGGAAGTAGAAAGGAAAGAACTGAGTGATTAGGGACCTAGAAGACTAATTTGAGACATTCCTCTTGATGAACTGTTCTCTAGGGTAGTCCTCTGAAAGAGCTGTTCTCTAGTGGATCTCCCTGAATGAACTGTTCTCTAGGAGCACTTGACCCTTTTCTGTGTTTGTTTTTTGTTTTGTGTTTGTGTTTGTTTTTGAGACAGGTTCTCGCTCTGTCTCCCAGGCTGGAGTGCTGTGGCGCCATCATGACTCACTGCAGCCTCAACCTCCTGGGCTCAAGTGATCCTCCTGCCTCAGCCTCCCATGTAGCTAGAACTACAGATACATGTACCACCATGTCTGGCTAATTTATTTTTCTTTTTAGAGATGGGTTCTCACTATGTTGCCCAGGCTGGTCTCGAAACCCTGGGCTCAAGTGATCCTCACGCCTCAGCCTCCCAAAGTGCTAAGATTATAGGCATGACCACCATGCCTGGCCTTTTCTGCCTTCCGAGAAGGAAAAAGGTACTGGTGGCAGAGATCCAAAAGAAAAGTTGCCAGTGGCAGTGTGGAAATTGACCTGAGAACAACAGAACAAGCTGGGGCACAAATGCAAAGATGCAGAGGGAGGCAACATCTGGTTATCTGTGAGACCTTCATGGGACCTGAAGACACATCCTTTTGGAAAAGGATGGGATTTCTACTACTCAAGCATGTAGGGGCTCAGGATATTATGTAAATATGAAGATTTTGAGTTTTTGTAAGTGAGGTAAAAAAAATACCTAGGTTATTTACAGAATAAGACATGTCAAGCTCTCTTCATTTTCTTTGTATTTTCATGAAATAAAGGTATTAGATTAACAGGCCACCATAATGCCATTGTCTGTATATCTTAATTTCAAGATATTATTTGAGTAATTTTTGCATCCTTTGTATCAAGATAGAACTTTGAAAAGACAGGTAATTTCACAGTTGATTAAATATTCTTTGCCCAAATTACTTTTGGTTAAAATTTCTCCTATATGTGCTACAGAGTGCAAACTCTGTCTCCCTGCCATTCCGCTATATACTTACTAATTATTATTTTATTCAAGATCATGCATGCTCTACTTGAAGGTCTATCTTTTCAGTGCTACCCTTACCCACTAGCCTAATCACATTATATCTATTTTCAACATCTAGGAATCAATTACGTAGTGAACATGCCTAAGAAATAATAATCTGGGCAGATGCAGTGGCTCAGGCCTGTAATCCCAGCACTTTGAGAGGCTGAGCGGGTGGATCACTTGAGGTCAGGAGTTGGTCAAGTGCTCCTAGAGAACCAGCCTGACCAACATGGAGAAACCTTGTCTCTACTGATAATACAAAAATTAGCCAGGTGAGGTGGCAGGCACCTATAATCCCAGCTATTCGGGAGGCTGAGGAAGGAGAATTGCTTGAACCCCTGAGGTGGAGGTTGCAGTGAGCCAATATTGCGCCACTGCATTCCAGACTTGGCAACAGAGCGACACTCCACCTCAACAAAAAGAAAGAAAGAGCGAGATTACGTCTCAAAAAAGGAAGGAAGGAAGGACAATCTCAAATGCTATTTCATTATTTTCCTTCCCCACTCGTAGTCCAGCCTAAGGTGAACGTTTCCCCCTCCAAGAAGGGGCCCCTGCAGCACCACAACCTGCTTGTCTGCCACGTGACAGATTTCTACCCAGGCAGCATTCAAGTCCGATGGTTCCTGAATGGACAGGAGGAAACAGCTGGGGTCGTGTCCACCAACCTGATCCGTAATGGAGACTGGACCTTCCAGATCCTGGTGATGCTGGAAATGACCCCCCAGCAGGGAGACGTCTACATCTGCCAAGTGGAGCACACCAGCCTGGACAGTCCTGTCACCGTGGAGTGGAGTGAGTCTCTGATGACCGTCTAGACCCCACCTCTGAAGAGCAGGGGACTCTCTGGCTCTGGGGTCCACTCATCTTATCTTCTGCATCTATACCCTGGGGCCATGTCCAAACCCCATCTTTCTTCTATACCAGCTCCTGAGCATAGTTTGAAGCCAGGGCAATGGAGACTTCCTGACCTTGGCTTAGGGGTTCCTGAAGATTCATAGTTCTCCCCCTTGTCAGAGAATCTAGGGACACTGGCTGATCTCGAAACCCTCACACACAGGAACTGACCTCACACATAGGAACAGTTCTCTTCTTTCAGCATTTTAGCCTCTTCTCAGGCATTTTGAGAGGCAACTTCTAGAATCAGCATTTGCCACCTTGTTGAGGTCACACCCCTGTTCCGGACATGAGGGTGGCTCTTTCTGAATTTCCTCTTAGCAAGCTTTTTCCCCTGCACTGTCTTCATCCCGATATTCTGCATCACGCTCCAGAATCTCAGACAGGACATGAGTAGGGATGCAGCTGGTGGAGGTGACACTAAACCTGGGTCTGTCCTTCCCAGAGGCACAGTCTGATTCTGCCCGGAGTAAGACATTGACGGGAGCTGGGGGCTTCGTGCTGGGGCTCATCATCTGTGGAGTGGGCATCTTCATGCACAGGAGGAGCAAGAAAGGTGAGAAAGCCTGCAAGGTGAGCGGGACTTACCTTCCCCTGGCATATTCACACTTACTCCATGATGAGGGTTCAGACAGAAAAGAAATGTCAGAAAGCTCTAGAGACCACTGAAATCAGATAGTCGGGGAACAAACATGACCTATGGCGAGAGGGGGATCCCAGGCTGGGATCTTAATGCAGCCAGATGCATGAGGTCCCAGGTGCTCAGACTCCTGCGGGGCATCCATTGAGTGGTGGTCAATGGAATTTGGTGGGATGGAAATGTTTCTCTAACTATCTGAGGTGGTTTCAATGGCTGAATACATAACCTTTCCTCTTTCATTTCAGTTCAACGAGGATCTGCATAAACAGGTAATATTCCTGCTTTGATTTCCTTGGGGGGTGGGTTACAGGAGGATATGACTCTTTTCTGTGCATTGTAATACTGAGGCTCCTCCAGGAAGGGAATCTCAGGCATGAACCCCTCTTTCAACCTCGGCTCTCGGGTGAGTGGGGAAAAAGCATTGCACGGCTCCATTGCTGAAGGAAGCAGAGATCAGTTCTGTTCTTTATCAGCCTAAGATGCAGCCTCTCACCATAATTTTTCTCTCCTGGACTTAAAGGAAGGAGGCCAGCAACCTGGGATAACTTGTCCTTTACCCCCACAGGGTTCCTGACCTCACCGAAAAGACTAATGTGCCTTAGAACAAGCATTTGCTGTGTTTTGTTAGCACCTGGTTCCAGGACAGACCCTCAGCTTCCCAAGAGGATACTGCTGCCAAGAAGTTGCTCTGAAGTCAGTTTCTATCGTTCTGCTCTTTGATTCAAAGCACTGTTTCTCTCACTGGGCCTCCAACCATGTTCCCTTCTTCTTAGCACCACAAATAATCAAAACCCAACATAAGTGTTTGTTTTCCTTTAAAAATATGCATCAAATCGTCTCTCATTACTTTTCTCTGAGGGTTTTAGTAAACAGTAGGAGTTAATAAAGAAGTTCATTTTGGTTTACACGTAGGAAAGAAGAGAAGCATGAAAGTGGAGATATGTTAACTATTGTATAATGTGGCCTGTTATACATGACACTCTTCTGAATTGACTGTATTTCAGTGAGCTGCCCCCAAATCAAGTTTAGTGCCCTCATCCATTTATGTCTCAGACCGCTATTCTTAACTATTCAATGGTGAGCAGACTGCAAATCTGCCTGATAGGACCCGTATTCCCACAGCACTAATTCAACATATATCTTACTGAGAGCATGTTTTATCATTACCATTAAGAAGTTAAATGAACATCAGAATTTAAAATCATAAATATAATCTAATACACTTTAACCATTTTCTTTGTGTGCCATCACAAATACTACTTAACCAAATACGGCTTGGACTTTTGAATGCATCCAGTAGACGTCATTTGTCGTCTAAGTCTGCATTCGTCCACCAGCCTAGGCCTCCTGTCTTAATTTTCATACAGACAGAGATGACTCCCCACTGGGGAAAGAGCAAAGCAATACGTGTAGCACTCTTTTTCAAACACTGGTCTTTTTTTTTTTTTAACAATCCAACATTGTTATGTGTTTTGCGTCTCATATTGACACCTTTCGGTCAAGGTAGAGGACATGTTTGTTGTAAGCTTTTTTTGTGTAAAGGATGGATTCTTTACTCCTGATACACATAATCAGTGCACAGCAGCTCTCTGATACATCCAGTTGATGCCTTAAGTCTCCCTGGCTTCTTACAAGTATCTTCTGGGCCTTGTGTGTCCCTGGGCGCCTGTCCCTGGTCAATTCCCGAAAGCTACTGTGCTCCTCTTGCCCATCTCCCCTTGCAAATAATATCCTCCATCTGGGGACTGGCTTCCTCCAATTCCAGGAGAGGTGGGGCTGAAGGTACAGACTTGGGCGTCACTGGCACAGATATAAGTAAATACAGCTGGAGTCTGCAGAGAGGCTGGACTAAGTCAGGGAGTCAGGAAAGAGAAGCCACACACAAGGACAACCAATCATGTTTCTCATAATCTTAACCTAGGGAATAGGACACAATCATTTTTTCTTTTTAAAACATCTTTATCCCTGATCAGCCTCATTTCCTCAAAAACTATAAAGGAAAATGCTGCTGACTTGTTTTTGTGTAGTAATTTCAGCTGTCACATAATAAGCTAAGGAAGGCAGTATATAGTAAATAAGGACCCTTTGTCTTATTTTCCCTTTTGGCTTCACAGGAAACTTGTGAGAAACCTATGCAACATAAAATTAATATGATTTCAATCCAGGGATTCAACGATGGAAGGAAGTCATGAGAATAGCAGAAAGTCTTCAAATCGAGATCATTATGAAATCCTCAGACCC